>NT_187660.1:3084883-3386688 GCF_000001405.40 Homo sapiens | reverse complement strand
AAAGCCCTGCAAGTCCACACCTAGGAACCCATCCTGAGGAGCGAATCCTGAAGGGATGCCAACATTGACACAGCTTTGTGTGCTACCGGGAAGCACAGCAAACAACCCAAACGCCCAGAAGCAGAGGGCTGGACACATCAATCATGGTCTGTCCATAGGATGAAACATCACGCAGTCACTTTTAAAATGACAGAGAAAAAGGCATAATAACCGTACAGAATTATTGTGTTTTTCATTACACACACATGCACCTGTCTAATCTATTCACGGAAAAAGCCTAGAAATACAAGGAAATATCAGTTGTTTTAGGATGGAGGCCTTATGGGTGGTGTTTATTTATTCTTTTGTACATTTCTACATTTTTTGTCTTCTTTAATCATTTTCTATCACAAATTAATTTTCCTTTTTTTCCCAGAAAATATATCTTTTGTACTTTTTATTAGTACATCATAGTTGTGCATATTGTGGGGGTACATGTGATTTTTTGGTGCATGTATACAATGTGTATGTTTTTTTAAACCTTAGCAAAAATTAGCAAAAGTAGTGGGGGAGGTAGGGAGGAATGAAAATATTTGCAGGGCCAGGCGCGATGGCTCATGGCTGTAATCCCAGCACTTCGGGAGGCTGAGGCAGGCAGATCACGAGGTCAAGAGATAGAGACCATCCTAGCCAACATGGTGAAACCCTGTCTCTACTAAAAATACAAAAATTAGCTGGGCGTGGTAGTGCGCGCCTGTAGTCCCAGCTACTCGAGAGGCTGAGGCAGGAGAGGTTGAACCCGGGAGGTGGAGGTTGCAGTGAGCCGAGACTGCGCCACTGCACTCCAGCCTGGGCGACAGAGTGAGACTCCATCAAAAAAAAAAAAAGAAGGAAAGAAAGAAAGAAGAAAGAAACAAAGAAAGAATATTTGCATAAATTGTGTTTGCGTTGACAAGGGATAGGAACTGAGAATGGGGAAGGAAGATGAGACACATTTTCTCTGTCTGAATCAGATATTTAGGGAGGAATTAAGAACGGAGCCCTGCCTCTCTATGAGTGCACTTGATGAATACGGGACTGATTCTGGGAAAGACTGCCTTTGGTCAGGTTCTCAAAACACCATTGTTTTGAACTATCCAGCAGCAGTTTTAATTCATGGCATTTGCAATTATATTTATAGCATAAATTGTCTATTCTCTGCAGTGTATTTTTTAGCCCTCCTCCCCCAGAAAATGTAATTGGAAATATCAACTCATGTTGAATGTGTTTGCTGTACCTGTTTATGTTTTATTGATTATTTTCTGGGAGAAGTTTGGAGTTGTGTTTGGTTTGGCTCTGTGCAACCTCATTTATTTGCTCTGTAAAGCTGATAAGCACAAGAAGTGAAATGACACTCAGGCATTTTAAGATGCGAGTCATCTTCATTCTGAACTAAGTGAAAACAAAACAGATTTTCTATCAACCTAAAATCCTCCTACTGGGGGCAGTAGATGTTTTTAGAAAATTGGCTTTGGCTTTGATTGACAATGTTTGGAAGATGTCCTATAATTTGAGAGTGTATGTGTGTGTGTCTGGGTGTGTGTGTGTAAATGCTGGACCTGGGAAGATGGAAGCCCTCAGCCAGGAGAATAAGAGGACACAATACCCCCAAGCCTTCCATGACCTAGAGATTAAGGGGATTTAACGTCTTAAAACCTCCATTAAGTAGACAGTAGCAAGAGACATGTTGCCCTCAGTGATATGCAAAGGCATATCTGATGGGTCAGTATCTGCCATCCTCCTCTTTTGCAAGCTCTGAGGTTAGACTCAGCCATGGGTGAAGGAATTACAGCATCCATTGGGAGCAGGCAGAGTCCAGGAAAGAGATTTTTCTGTTACCTCAGATGCCCATCGCGCCAGGAGCAATTTTCCCAGCCTCTTGTAGAAAGCACATATTAGTATCTATCTCACTGCTTTTCAGAAACTGTATCTTCAATTGCTAAGTGGGGAAAAATGCATTTACAATGCTAGAGCTGACTTTAAGAAAACAAGTTAACATCAGGCCACAGCACTCCCCTCCCCCGCTGCTGAGACCTTGTCGCTGTGCACCTTGTCCCCTCCCTCACGGCTTCTGGCTCCCGCTCCCCCAATCCCTGGCCCCCTGTCTGCCCCTGCCATTAAAGTGGCAAGCACAGGTATCCTCCTCCCTCATCACAACTTATCCATCCTGTGTCTGCTCCCCCAGGGTGGGTAATGCCTGAAATGCCTTAAGGTAGGGGTAACGCTCATGGCAGGTGGCCCTGGCTCTCCTGGAGACAGGGCACAGGAATGGGCAAATTCTTCAGGCTTGGTGAGGTGGAAAGCTTGCTCCTCGGGAATCATGGCCACAGTGCCCTTTTTTGTTTGTTAATCATTAAAAAGCATACTACATGAATATATAAAGTTGGAAAACCCCACAGAAGAGCCAAGTGAAGTCCTGCTTACACACTCCTCCTGATCCCTACTCTCCCGTGCTGTGGACCATGCTTAGTGTTTGACGTGTATTATTATTATTTTTGTGTGTGTGTGACAGAGTCTTGCTCTGTTGCTCAGGCTGGAGTGCAATGGCATGATCTCGGCTCACCGCAACCTCCGCCTCCCAGATTCAAGCGATTCTCCTGCCAAGTAGCTGGGATTACAGGTGCCCGCCACCACGCCCAGCTAATTTTGTATTTTTAGTAGAGACAAGGCTTCACCATGTTGATCAAGCTGGTCTCAAACTCCTGACCTCAGGTGATCCGCCCACCTCAGCCTCCCAAAATGCTGGGCTGGGATTACAGGCGTGAGCCACCACGCCCGGCCTGATGTGTATTATTCTAGACCTCTGCTGCCTAATAGAAATAGCACACGCGCCACAGACATAATTTCAAACTGTGTAGTAGCCACTTAAAAAGGAAAAGTAAAAACAAATAAGTGAAATTAACTTTAATTCTATAATTCATTTAACACAATATATCTAAAATATGATTGTTTCAACATGTAGTCAATACCAAACACATACTAATGAGGTATTTTATGTCTTTCTTTATTGTTCTAAGTCTTTGAAATCCTGCCACACACCTCGTTTTCAGCTCTCATGTCACAGTGAACATTAGCGTGCCATCTCACACTCACAGCATGTCTCCATTCACCCTGGCCACATCTCAGGTGCGCAACAGCCCCAGGTAGCCAGGGTCTACCATGTGGGACAGCTCTGCTCTTGAATATCGGGAAGTTTGTTCCTGTAGAGCTGGATCACATCGGAAATATTTTACTACGCTTTTTTTTTCAGTTCATAATGGAGACGTTTACACTTTAGAGTTCTGTGTTAGTCTTGTTCATGGTTGCATAGTCCATGATTTGGTACGTCGTTAATTGGTTTAATCAGTCCCCAAGGTAGACTAACAAAAAAGTGGAGGTTTCCAATTTTTCACTTAGCTTAAAATACACTGCAACAAACATCCATACATTGCCTATTTACATGCAAAAGTATTTCCAGGTGATCGATCCATGGAAGTGAAAGTGCTGGGTCAAAGACAGGCATGCACCCTTTGCTCTGAGAGGCAAGCCAGTACTCAGCCAAGCCGGCCACCAATTTGCCTTGGGGTTTGGACGTTGTTCCCTTAGAGGTAAAAGCAAAGAGTTGGGCTGGATACCCTCCATAGTTCCTAAATGCTCAGTTCCATGGCCCAAAGGGTGGTGATTCCTGCCAATGCCTTTGGTGGACGTAGTCTTGGGTGGGTGGGTGGGTGACAGCTACCTGCTCCCACTGGAGGGCAGGCCTGGATTGGGCAGATAAGCAAATCAACCACACACACCTTGTCTAGATAAGCAGAAAACACTCAGAAAAGACCCCAATTGTTTTATTTGTAAAATTGCTCTTTGGCTAATTTTCATGAATGTGGATCATTCATTAAATGTTATCATAGAAAAAGAGCAGAGCAACAAAGGGGCCCGGCAGTCTGATTCCCGTGCTGGCAGCCTCCACCGTCACGCTGAGCTGTGGTGAATGCCTAGGGTTTCACCCGCCTACCCCTCACTCCTGCTGGCGTGCACCCTTTCCCCACCCTGGTGGCCCCAGCAAACATCACAGTCCCTGAGGGCCAGGAGGCTTGGGTCCCCAGATGCCCACACCTGACAGGCCTAGTGCCTGAGCACTCTGGTGAGGGACTTCCCTGGACCATGGGAGCACTGCCAGAGGAGGCTCGAGGGCAGGGACCTGGATGGGTAGCAAAGGACAGAGAACATCGGGAAAGGAGAGGGTACTACCTGTGGGAACCAGGCAGGCACAAGAGGCTGGCCCTGAGCCTCTGCGCATCTCTCCTGCAGACACTGGCTGCACCTGCCTAGCCCCTGAAACCCAGACCAGGCACTCAGGCAATGAGGGGAGCTTCTTAACACAACACCTTCCCAACTGCTGTGCTTTTCGGAGTGAGCTGGCCAGGTGATGTTGGCCAAAGCAGGAAGGGGAGCTGTTGAGGTGCCCCAAGATCCTTGCTGGAATCCTCAGGTTCCCAGACAATCAGGGTAGACCCGGTGATGGGAGAAGGAGATGGGGACACACATGGATCCGAAGCTACAAGATTCTGCTTCTCTCTCCTGTTTTTGTTTATTCTTTTAAGATGTTTTATTGCTAAATAAAGCATTTTAAAAAGTGTATAAGATGTCTGCACATAGTTTAGAGAATGATAAAGCAGATCCTTGTGTTTTACCATGGGGCCCTTTCCCACTGCACTCCTTCCCTCCCAGAGGCAGCACTGCCTGACTTCTGCCTGGCTCGTTCCTGCCTTTGCTCTTTCTTTCTCTCTTTTTCCCTCCCTTCCTCCCTCCCTTCCTTCCTTCTTCCCTTCCCTTCGTTTCTTCTTTTTCTTTCCTTCCTTCCTTCTTTCTTTTCTTTTCTATTTTTATTTTTATTTTTTTGAGACAGAGTTTTGCTCTTGTCACCCAGGCTGAAGTGCAGTGGTGCTATCTCGGCTCACTGCAACCTCCACCTCCCATGTTCAAGCGATTCTCCTACCTCAGCCTCCCAAATAGTTGGGATTACAGGCAACTGCCACCACGCCTGGCTAATTTTTTTGTATTTTTAGTAGCGATGGGGTTTCACCACGTTGGCCAGGCTGGTCTCGAACTCCTGACCTCCAGAGATCCACCCACCTTGGCCTCCCAAAGTGCTGGGATTACAGGTGTGAGCCACTGCGCCTGGCCCCTGGCTTTTCTTTATGTTTCATTTAGTTTAGTTTTGAGGTTTACATATTTTTTATATTTATCTATTTATTTATTTTCAAATGGAGTCTCACTCTGTCGCCCAGGCTGGAGTGCAGTGGTGTGATCTCAGCTCACCGCAACCTCTGCCTCCTGGGTTCAAGCTATTCTCCTGCCTCAGCCTCCCGAGTAGCTGGGATTACAGGCGCCTGTCACCATGCCTGGCTAATTTTTGTATTTTTAGTAGAGACGAGGTTTCACCATGTTGGCCAGGCTGGTCTCGAACTCCTGACCTCAGGTGATCCACCCGCCTCGGCCTCCCAAAGTGCTGGGATTACAGACATGAGCCACCATGCCCAGCCATATTTTTAAATAATTTATTGAGATGAAATTTGTATCACATAAAATGGACCATTTTCAAGTGACCAATTCAGTGGTATTTAGTACAGTCATGAGGTCATGCAACTACCTTGTCTCTCTGTCCTTACTTCCAACACTACAAAGTAAAACCCCCTACCCATTAAGCAGTTCCTCCCCATTTCCTCTCCCTGTGGCCTTGCCCCTGGAAACCACTAGTTTGTGCTTTGTCTGTATGGATTTATCTATTCTGGATGTTTCATCTAAATGGAATCATACATATGTCACCTTTTATGCCTGGCTTCTATCAGTTAGCATCACGTTTCCAAGGTTCACCCATGTGGCATGCTTCAGAACTTCGTTCATTTATGTGGCTAAATAATATTCTTTTGTTTGTATAACATATACCACAATTTGTTTATCCATCTATCCACTGATGGACATGTGAGCTATGGCCACCATTTGGCTGTTATGAATAGTGCTGCAATGCTACATGTTTATTTGAGTCTCTGTTTTCATTTCTCTTGGGTATATACCTAGCAGTAAAATTGCTGGGTCATATGGTAATTCTACATTTAACTGAGGAACTGCCAAATCATTTTCCAAAGTGACTGTACCATTTTACACTTTCACCAGCAATGTCTGAAGGTTCCAATTCCTCCACATCCTTGCAAACACTGGTTACTATTTTTTTATTTTGGGATGTTTTTAATTATAATCATCCTAGTAGGAATGAAGTGGCACCTCATCATGGTTTTGATTTGCTTTTCCCTAATGTCTAAAGATGTTGGGTATCTTTTCATGTGTTTGTTGGCCATTTGTATATCTTCATTGGAGAATTGTCTATTCAAGTCCTTTGCCCAGTTTTTAATCGGGTTGTCTTTTTGTTGTTGAGTTGGAAGAGTTCTTTTATATATTCTGGATATTAGACCCTTGTCATATTTTGATTTGCAAATATCGTATTCCATTCTATAGGTTGTGGGTTTTTTTCCTTTCTTAATAATGTCCTTTGATGAATTTGATGAACAGTTTTTCATTTTAATGAAGTTCAACTTACCTGCTTTTTCTTTTCTTGTTCATGCTTATGGTATCATATCTATAAATCCATCGATCATGAAGATAATGAAAATTCACACATATATTTTCTTTTAAGAGTTTTATGGTTTTAGGTCTTACAATTTAGTCTGATCCATTTTGAGTTAATATTTATAGCTAGTGTGAAGTAGGGGTCCAAATTCATTCTTTTGCATGTGGATATCCAATTTTCCAAGCACTATTAGTTGACAAGACTGTCTTTTCCCCCATTGAATGGTCTTAGCACCTTTGCTAAAAATCACTTGGACATAGATATATGGACTTATTTCTGAAATCTCAATCTTACTCCACTGGCCTGCATGTCTGTCCTTATGCTAGTACCATACTTCTTTGATTACTGACGCTTTGAAATTCTGAAATCAGAAAATATGAGTCCTCTAACTTTGTTCTTTTTTTCAAGATTGCTTTGTCGGCCATGTGCGGGGATCATGTTTGTAATCCCAGCACTTTGGGAGGCTGAGGCGGGCAGATCACTTGAGGTCAGGAGTCGGAGGCCAGCCTGGCCAACATGGTGAAACCCTATCTCTACTAAAAATAAAAAAAATTAGCCAGGCATAGTGGCACATGTCTGTAGTCCCAGCTACTCCAGAGGCTGAGGCACAAGAATCACTTGAACCTGGGAGGCAGAGGCTGCAGTGAGCCGAGATCATGCCACTGCACTCCAGCCTGGGCAACAGAGCAAGACTCCATCTCAAAATAAAAAAACAAAAAAAAAAACCAGATTGCTCTGTCCATTTAGCCCATTGCAATTCATGAATACAGGATGTCTTTCCATTTATTTATTTATGCCTTCTTTAATTTCTTTCAGCGAGGTCTTGTCACTTTCAGTGTACAAGGCCTTCACCTCTTTGGTTAAATTTATTTCTAGATACTTTCTGATTTTTGATGTTATTATAAATTGAATTGTTTTTGCTGTACAGAAATACATCCAATTTTTGTATGGTGATCTTTCACCCTCCACTTCTGCTATATTAGTTTATTAGCTCTAGTAGCTTTTTTGTGGATTCTTTGGGAGCTTTTTTAATCTTTTTTTTTTTTTTTTTTTTTTTTTGAGACAAAGTCTCACTCTGTCGCCCAGGCTGGAGTGCAGTGTCATAATCTCAGCTTAGTGCAACCTCTGCCTCCCAGGTTAAAGCAATTCTCCTGCCTCAGCCTCCTGAGTAGCTGGGACTACAGGTGTGTGTCACCACACCCAGCTAATTTTTTTATTTTTAGTAAAGACAGGGTTTCACCATGTTGGCCAGGCTGGTCTCGAACTCCTGACCTCAGGTGATCCACCCGCCTCAGCCTCCCAAAGTGCTGGGATTACAGGCATGAACCACTGTGCCCGGCCCCTTATTGTTTTATTTTGAACTTCATCTGTATTTCTAAATAATGCATTGTTGAGCTTCACCTGCTTTTGAACTTTATACAAATGGAATCACACTGTGTGTATCTTTGATGACTCATTTCTTTTCTTCTGTGCTGTGTTTGGAGAGTCACCCATATGGTAGCTGCAGTTTGTCTGTTCTCGCTGCTGTGTGATATTCCTGCGGGACTATACGGCAATGTACTTGTACATGCTACCGCGGCTGGGCATCTAGACGGCTCTGTGTTGAGTGCTTATGAACAGTGCGGTCTCCTGGAAGATACATACATGCACAAGTATATTTCCAGTAAACCTCAGTGTGGAAGTGCTGGGCTGTGGAGGATATGCCTGCTCCACTTCCTGAGACAATGAGAAATCGTTTTCTGTCCTCCTGAAAGGGGAAGGCTCAAAAGCAAATGCCCATTTTGGAGAAAACATTTTGAATCTGCCAAAGGAGACCCTGAGTAATGAGGGACAGGGCTGGGGGTCCAGGTCCGGCTGCCTGGCCGCGTGGTCGGCCTGGGCTGGTGGCTCCACTGTGACCCTCCATCTCCTCTTTTGGTGCCACTCGCCTCCCAGAGCCCCTACCAAAACCCTAACTCATCCACAGCCCCAGTTTCTTCGTTCGTAAAACCAGGAGAGCTGGTGGTCTCTGCAGACTTACAACGCACCGACACCACACCTTTATTCTGTGGGACCGTCACGGTGGTCACCACAGTTAAGAAATGAGACCCTGCACTCTGCCTTGCCCCTGCTGTTCCCACTCCCAAGAGCATTTTCCCCAGAGCTCCTGCCTGGACCAATCCTCTCATCCTTCAGGGCTAAGCCAGTGTCCCACCCCACCCCACCCCACCCCTCAAGAGCCTCCTCAGTCCAGAGAGAAAAACTTTCTCCCTCATCCCGGCCCCTCCTAGACCACTTTATGGGGGCTTGGGCCCACCTGGGAGCTCCGAAGGGCTGAGTCCCCTTGACATATCTGGAGCCAGCAGAGCCCACCTCGTAAGAGGGCTTTGCAAGCTAACAGTTGAGCCACATGCATGCTGGGCTTTTTGTGTGACATTCAAAGTGGTCCAGGTTACAAAGGCCCCACTGAACTTTTGAAGAAGGTGTTTTTTGTTTTGTTTTGTTTTGTTTTCCCATAATCCTCCCAAGTTTTACAAGCTGAGTTGTGAGATGTGTGGGAACGTTCATCTATAAATATATGAGCAGCCCAGACACTGACCATGAGTCACTGGTCACCACAGACCACACTGGGTCAGGACAGCCCCAGAGGAACACAGCGCACATGTGAACCTCTTTGGGGGGTTCTCCCGCCCTCACCACCAAGTGCCACTCCTTATTCTTCTCTGTAGGACCACTCCCACCCGGTCAGCCTCCCAGGAACAACCCCTGCTGCTCCCAAGCCCAGCCCTTCAGGAGTGCCCCTCCGTGCCCTTCCCTGCCCTTCGGATCTGCCCCATCCTGGGTCTCCATCCCTCAGAGCCGACTGCAGCTAACTGGCCAACCTGCTAAACAGGTGGTGCTGAGATCTGAGAGGCGCTTACTGACTTAACATGTGCACGCTGGTCCCCAGCAGCCCCAGAAGTCCATTTAACATGGATAGTGACATCGTCCACAAAGGGCAGAGTGGGCAAATACTTGCAAAAGCCTTGGAAAAACACAAACCAAGATTTACGTCCAGCACTGTTAGGGCTGTGAGTTCTGGAGTGAAGCATCTCTGTCTCATTGTGTCCGATCTCCAGCACAGCAGGCGAGGCCCGGGTTTCACTCTCAGCTCTGCCATCCCACTGGCCTGCTGCTTCCTCGGCCATGGATGAGGGAATTGCAGACAATGTCATCAGTCCACCCAACCTACCCAACAGATCCCAGGCATTGAAACAGAAGCAGAACTATTACCCTCGTTGCACTTTTTTTTATCAGCTAATGCTTAAGAAACTTCAAAACTGTTTACTGAATACAATCGCTGCTAGACATTGGGCTTGAAGTTTTACACACTTAATCACACTTAATCCTTACAGAAACCATGAGAAATCAGCCTCATTACTCCATGTCATAGACAAGCTAATCAAGACTCAGGAAAGTTAAGTAAGTTGGCCAAGGTCATAAAGATAAGAAATGGTGGATCTGGGAGCTGACTCAGGTACGTCTAAAGCCCAAGTTCTCCTTCCACCACACTGTTTACTGTATTTTTTTTAAAAAAAGAGCCACTTTCAAAGCTTAAACTCGAAGAAATGGCCTTAATAGTAAAGCTTTCCAGCACCATTCAGACTTGTTGGGAAGATTTTTTCCAGGGTGCAGTTTCTTTTTTTTTTTTCTTTTTTGTTTTTGAGATGGAGTCTCACTCTGTTGCCCAGGCTAGAGTGCAGTGGCACAATCTGAGGTCACCGTAACCTCTGCCTCCCAGGTTCAGGTGATTCTCCTGCCTCAGCCTCCCGAGTAGCTGGGATTACAGGTGCCCACCACCACACCTGGCTAATTTTTGTATTTTTAGTAAAGATGGCATTTCACCATGTTGGCCAGGCTGGTCTTGAATCCCTGACCTCGTGACCGGCCTGCCTCGGCTTCCCAAAGTGCTAGGAGTACAGGCATGAGCCACCACGCCCAGCCCCAGGATGCAGTTTCATATGGAAAATACCACATGGAATCATTTCTAGAAAGCAAGAATCCCGGGGACAGCCACACCGGAGAACACCATGCAGCTGGTTGAAGGGTGAGGAAGCTGTCTGTGTAATGGCTCAAAAAGACTCCCATAAATGTTGCTAAAGTTTCCTTTTAAAAAGTCCTTTACGAGAGCATGTGTGCTGAGAACCAGGAAGAAATAGCTGAAGGGAACGCACCAGTGTTCATGGGGGTTACTGCTAGGGGCTAGGGTTGCAGAGGAAAAAAAGATAATCACTTTTTTGTTTCAATATTTCCGTATACTTTTAATTTGTTCCATTGAGCACATACTAGTTTAGGGTTTTTTCATTTGTTTTAAATTTTAAGCAAAGAAAAACCAAACACACACACACCGTAGTCACTTCCCACCCCAACACGGTGCTCCCGGCCAACCCAGGATCCTCTGCCCCAGGTGACATCAGTTCCCTGTGCGCCACATGGCACAGTTATCCCCTTACTCACAAGGGCAGGCAGAAGTGCCTTCCGCGGTGTTCTGGGGCCCAAAAGCTTATGCACTTTGGGGACACCATGTTGAGGAAAATGATACTAACCTATTACAAGTCTAAAGCAAGCTCCAGGCCTTGGAGAGGTCATCCAAGTGTCGGCCCTGGAGCTGACGCTTCCTCAATCATAGGGTGAACCGTCCCAGGGTAGCTGGGCCTGGACCCGTCTCATCAATTACAAACTCTCCCGAGCCAGTGACCCTGGGCCTCCTCGAGTTACAGAGCAAACGGTGCCGCTCAGGCCTGTCTCGGCCCCCCATCCACCGCTGCCCGGGAATGTGCTATTGCACACAGGCCTCCCCAGTGTTCTCCAGCAGTGTTGTGGGCCAGCACTAAGGTCAGCAGGCCATGGTCACCAATGACCTGTCATAGGCATCAAGCCAAATCCTACTGGACTCTGTAGGGAAGAAACAACGTATACTTCATAGATACTTACCAAGATAGCCTCCCGGATTTTGAACCAAGTGGGAAAAGTTAACAACCAAAAAAACATAACTATATATAAACCCTCCCGGGCAATGTTGGCCCACCATTGCCAACCCTCAGAAACCCACCCAGTGGGGGACACGCTGGCCACATGGTCAGAGAATTACGAACTACCTAGAAATGACCACTCCTGTTGCACAATAATGCAACACCAGAAGGCAAACAGCAGCAGCCTGTCTTCAGTTTCCACACTGTATTCATCACGAATTTTCTGTATTGATTTTTGTTTTTTAAAAATATGGCATTAAATGTTACTTATCCTAATTACTGGATTTCTGATACCCCCATTTGAGTGCCTCACTTGCCTCACCCTAAATCTAGAACTGCCCATCAGCCAAGAAAGTGCTGGGAGCCCCACTGCATCACAGAGGCGCCAGCAGCTTCCACGCAATTCTGCCACCAGACTTCTGGTAGGCAAACACTGATCTCCCGCTCGGGGGGCCAAATGTCAATACCCGCAGCAGGGCTTATCGCATCGCCCCGGTACAAAGGCCTCCTCTGACGCATCCCCCCAGCAGAAAGAACGTTCAGGTGTTTGATACCATGGTTGGGAACGTTCCCACAGGTAGCAGGAAGACGAATACCGCCGCTTCAGTCAATCTCATACGACGGCCCCCAAATCCCAAAAAGGCTTAGTATGAAATGCCCATCCTAGTCCGTGAGTGTGGCATGTCCGCAGTTTGTTCCTTCAGATGTTTCCTACGTTTCTTCCTTCCGGTGGGTTCTTGGCCTTGCTCACTTCAGCAGTGAAGCCGCAGACTTTTGCAGCAAGTGTTACAGCTCTTAAAGGTGGCGCATCCAGAGTTGCTCGTCTTTCCAGGTGTGTTCGTGGGCTTGCTGACTTCAGGAGTGAAGCCACATACCGTACAGTCAGTGTTACAGCTCTTAAAGGTGGTGCCAACCCAGACACTTTCTGCTTGCAGCAATAACATTTATTGCCAAGAGAGAAAGAACAAAAAGAAGAAAGCTTCCACAACCAATAAGGAGACCCGAGCGGATTGCCAGGGCTGGCGCTGGTGACCAGCTTTTATTCCCTTATTTGGCCCCACCCACATCCTGCTGATTGGTCCATTTTACAGAGAGCAGATTAGTCCATTTTAAAGAGTGCTGATTGGTCCGTTTTTACAGAGTGCTGATTGGTGCGTTACAAACCTTTAGCTAGACACAGAGTGCTGATTGGTGCATTTACAATCCTTTAGCTAGACAGAAAAGTTCCCCAAGTCCCCACCCGACCCAGAAGCCCAGTCGGCTGCACCTCTCACAAGGACTAGAGTGAAGCGCAGATAGCTGCATTTCTTAAAAAGTTGTTTTAATTGTGGTAAAATACACATAACATAAAATTTACCATCTTACCAGTTTTTAAATGTACAGATTGTGTTAAGTACATTCACATTGTTGTGCGACCAATCCCCAGAACTCTTTTCATCTTAGAAAATGGAAAAACTACCCATTCCTCCCTCCCACCAGCTCCTGGCGGCCACCATTCCATTTCCTGTCTCTATCAGTTTGACTGCTCTTGGTACCGCACATCACACAGCAATTGTCCTTTTGTGACTGACTTATTTCACTTATCGCCATGTCCTCAAAGTCCATCCCTGTTGTGGTATGTTCTGAATGCCCTTCCTGCTGAATCATATTTCATTGTGTGGATAGATCACATTTTGTTTATCCACTCATCTGTCGATGAAAACCTGGCTTACTCCTACCTCTTGGCTATTGTGAATAATGCTGCTATGAACACAAGTGTAAAAGTCCCTATTGAGGCCGGGCATGGTGGCTCACTCCTGCAATCCCAGCACTTTGGGAGGCTGAGGCAGGCAGATCATGAGGTCAGGAGATTGAGACCATCCTGGCTAACATGGTGAAACCCCGTCTCTACTAAAAATACACAAAAAAATTAGCGGGGCGTGGTGATGGGGGCCTGTAGTCCTAGCTACAGGACTACATGGAGGCTGAGGCAGGAGAATGGCGTGAACCCGGGAGGCGGAGCTTGCTGTGAGCCAAGATTGCACCACTGCACTCCAGCCTGGGGCACAGAGCAAGACTCCGTCTCAAAAAAAAAAAAAAAAAAAAAAAAAAAAAAATCCCTATTGAGACCTGCTTAACTGCTGGATCATAGGATAATCCTGTGTTTCATTTTCGAGGAACTGCCATACTGGTTTCCACAGTGGCTGTACTCTTTTACATTCCTGCCAGCAATGAACAAGTTTTCCGATTTCTCCACATCCTCACCAGCACTTGTTATTTCCTGTTTTTTCAGAGTATCCATCCTAATGGGCATGAGATAGTATCTCATTGTGGTTTTAATTTTTAGTTCCCTAGTTAAGATGAGTGATGTTGAGTATCTTTTCATGTTTGTTGGCCATTCATACATCTTCCTTGGAGAAATGTGTAAAGTCCTTTTTTAAATCAGTTTGTTCATTTGTTTGCTGTTATTGGGTTGTAAGGTATTGTAAATATTAATATATTTTAAATATTAATTGCTTATCAGATATATGATTTGCAAATATTTCTCCACATTGCATAGGTTGTCAGATATATACACTTTTAACAACCTCCCTTAGACCAGGGGAGAAATGCTTTGAAGAACCTGGCACAGGATCTGTGGGCCCCTTTCTAGAAGCAAGTTTCTGGGCCAGGTTCCACCTAGGAGCAGGGCCCAAGGGGAGGAGACAGGGAGGAGTGCTGGCTCCACTCAGACCCTGGAGCCCCTGCTGGGAGAGGTGGGGATGCTGACCTAGGCACCCACAGGCACCCAGAAGCCAGGGCCTCCCCCATTTACAGGGCACATCATGTCCCTGGTCACCACCCCTCGAAAGAGCATGATGCCAAAAAGCCCGGGCTGTGCCTGAGTCCCCTCTGCGATGGGGCAGGGGGCTGCACACATCTGCAAGGCGCAGCTTGTGTTAGAAGCACCTGCCTGGCTTATCTCCATGTGACTCTGTAAATGGGGAGCAGTGGAGTCTGATACCAGCAGGTGCTCCAGGCATCCAGTCTGATGCCTCGCAGGAGCTCCCTGCTCTGCTAGCTCCACCTGAAGGGCTAGAGGCCAACCTTGCCGCTCCCCCTCTCCTCCCGTCCCTTCCTCCCAGCCTGGTCTGATGCCCCATGGTTCTCCCCACAGCCCCCAGGTGTTCCCCAGTGGTCCCACCCTTTTCTTCAGGTCCAGCAGATGCCTTAGCTGGAGTTATCTGCTTATGACAGCCCTTGTTTATGACCACTGTGAAGGTAGTTCTCTGAAGGGTGAGAGAATTAGATAATCCAACACCCAGCCCAGTTTTCCTTTGCTTTTCTCCTCGGAACGGTCAGAGATCAGTGATCGTACAAGTTAGTCCCACAGGTCTTCCTTCCAGGACATCCTACACCCATCAGTCTGGGCCTGGGGTCTTTCTCTAAGCGTGAGGCCTGTGGCTGCGGGTCCAGGGTATCTTTTCTGCCAGTGGTAAAAAATGAGAAGCAAATATCAAAAGATTCAAAAGCCTGACCCTGGCTGCTGTCTGTGTCCAGCCAGGATAATTCGGGGTCTGCATTGCAGCTCTTCTGTTTTTGTTTGGTTTTGTTCTCCTAATTGACTATTTGCACTAACCAGGTCAGGGCTAACTAGTAACACCCTACATTCTGCACAAAAAATCAGCAACCCCATGACCTGTGATGAGGGTGGCCTGGCAGGAGGCAAAAGCGACAAGCGTTCCTGGTATCTGACCAGCACCACCTTGAATTAGGACATCAACACATGCGATTGGACTATAAATCATGTAATGACAACTGCAATGACAACTCTAAAAACAATTGGGCGTGTGCTCACATTTTCACAGTAAAGCCCCGACAATGTTGACAAAATCCACTGTTTGAATTCTGATACGACTTTCTTCCATTTTGTGATCTTTTTATTGCTCTTAATTACAACGGTTAGCATTAGAGACATACCCTATGATTCCATTATTTGCAATTGCAGCTTAAATATGCATATGTCCTAAATGATGGAATGATAACCAGCAGTGCCATTGGAAAATGAAAATATTAGTGATGCTGCAGAAATGCCAAGGATGTAACCATGAGGCTGGACTCTTGGAACTGGCCATAGCTGGGGAGACCTTGGACTGAGGCACCCTGGTATTGGCTGGGTGACCCTGGGCACATTCTCCTTTTTCTCTTTTTTAAAATAAGCTATGTTGGTCTTTAGAAAATTAAAAACACAACACGGACAATGAAGAAATTAAAGAAAAAGTCTGTATCCCCTCCCACAAACACAAAATGAACAAGTTAATGAATTTGCTTCCTTTTTTCCTAGCCATATTTTGTATTCACTTTAAAAAGAAAAAATGTTGGCTGGGCACGGCAGCTCATACCTGTAATCCCAGCACTTTGGGAGGCTGAGGCAGGTGGATCACCTGAGGTCAGGAGTTCGAGACCAGCCTGGTCAACATGGTGAAACACCCATCTCTACTAAAAAATACCAAAAAAAAAAAAAAAAATTAGCCAGGCGTGGTGGCGGGCGCCTGTAGTTCCAGCTATGCAGGAGGCTGAGGCGGGGAATCACTTGAACCCAGGAGGTGGAGTTTGCAGTGAGCCAAGATCGCGCCACTGCACTCCAGCCTAGGCGACAGAGTGAGACTCTGTCTCAAAAAAAAAAAAAAAGAAAAGAAAAAAGAAAGAAAGAGAGAAAAAATGTCTTACTGATAGCACTATTCACAATAGCCAAAAGTGGAAACAACCCAAATTCATCAACTGATGAATTCATGTAATGGAATATTACAGAGGCATAGAAAAGAGTAAAGTCCTGATCTGCGCTACCTGGATGACCCTTGAAAACATGACGCCGAGCAAAAGGAGCCAGACACAAAAGGCCACACGTTGAATGATTCCATTCATATAGAGTGCCCAGAATAGGCAAATCCATAGAGACAGAAAGTGGATTTGTGGTTGCCAGGAGCTGGGCAGGGTCAGGGAGGAATGAGGAGTGACTGCTAATGGGTACCGGCTTTTTTTAGGAGTGATCAAAGTGCTCTGGAATTAGGTAGTGGTGATGGTTTCACAGTCTTGGAACTATATGTAAAACACTGAACTGCAGACTTTAATAGGTGAATTTTAGGGTATGTGGATTATATCTCGATTTTTAAAAAAGAAAGTACAAAGAAAAATATCACTGTCTCTAAAGATCCAGCTCTGTTTCCTGGACTCTAGTCTAGAGGAGGATCTCTCAGTGTCCCCAGAGGAGAGCCCCTGGGAGAGAAGAAGGCTAGAAACCCGGAGGAAAGGGAACCCTGGCCCAGGAGAGGGGTCGGCTGTGACGACCTCCAGCATTTCCTGCAAGCCAGCCCTGTCACCTTCCTGCGGATAGTGATGATGAAGCAGAGGACAATAGGTTTCAAAGGTCTTCCAAGCATGGTGTCACTAGGCTCTCACACCAGCCTGTGGGGCAGATGTGAGGGGTATCATTGTCCTCATTTTGCAGGTGACGTTCCACAAGATGGGACTGAGGTGACCCTCAGCTGGGCCCTCCTACCTGTGCTCTCTGCAGCTAGGGGCAGGAGGCTGCATCTGACCTGAGAGTATCCCTGAGAAGCCAGAGCAGGACTCTCAGCTGAACCACCCAGAAATGGCCAGTTGGACCCAGGCCAGGACCTCCAGTGGCAGTGGAGCGAGGGGGTGGGAGGGTGGAGCAGGAAGGAGTGGTTGTGGCTTTTAATCCTTTCTGCATATAAGGCTGGGCGGCTTGTGCTTTGGCTGGCAGGCTTGTTTGATTCTCCTGCATGGAGAGTTTCAGGCATGCAGGTGCCACCCCAGGTGGGGCCCACAGGTGCCCCTAGGAGCCGGGCAAAGGCAGGTCCCAGGGAGCTGTCAGGGCACATGTGGGAACCCGCCGCCACCTGCAGCTGTGCCAGGACACCAGCCAGCGTTCCCACATCCTGAGGGCTTTCAAGAGAAGCCATAAGTATAATCTCCCTCTTGGTTAATAATGGCAGCTAAATGTAGTTTTCACAAAAGGTTCCAACCAAGCCCATATGTGGGCCACATGTAGCTGTGGGAATGAGAGTTTGAGTCGTCTGCTCTAAATATATACACAAAACAAGCAGTTTCTTCTGGATAAACTGGTCCACACATCATTCATTTCATTGCGGGGTTTGCTTGTTAATTTTGGCCCAAGACATAGGGCTTTGAGTAAACAGAGCCTCGCCCGGCAGTACACCAGCTCTTACATTCAGAAGCCACTTCCCCGAGCCATGTCCTCCCAGACCAAAGTCACACTGTGTCTTTGCAGCCTTCCTCCTTGTCTCCGTCCAGCCTTCTCAAGGTATCCCCCTGCACCTTCCTGTACCCCTCCTTGTGGGTCGCCCCCACCTGTGTGTGTAAACACCTTCTAGAAGGTCACATTGTTAAAGCCCCCCATGACCCTTCATTCCACTCCAGCTCCCACCATTTCTGGGCTCCCCTTCAGGGGAAGACTTCTCCTCGGGGTTGACACTTGCTGTCTACACTTCCTCGGCCCCCTCACTCTAAAACTACGTAAATGCCCAGAGAATAACATGACAACGTGCACCTGAGCAACCCCCACCCAGATGGTACAAAGGTTTCCTTGGCCATGTTTGTAGCAGATATTTCTTTCTTTAAAAAATAAATAAGTACAGAGCTGGCAGAACATTTCCCATTGCCCTTCAGCCCACTCCTCTTGGACTTTCTTCCCGCAGCCTCCCCGTGGCCCTTCATGGACACATGGTCCTGGCTACAGATGAAAAATCGCTGGGTCCTCAGCAGGGCAGTCATATTTGATAATGACCAGGATTGCATTTAAATCTAGTACCTCCCAGATACTGTACAGATAAGATCCCAGCTAAGGCTCAAAACCACTCAAAGCCATTTCCATTTCAGAGATGAGAAAATCACAGCTCAGAGGGGTTGGGGGCGTGGTGGCAGTGCCAGCAGTCCGCCTCCAGTATGACCTCCACTGTCCCTTCACTCAGCCGGGGTAGACAGACTTCCCAGCTGGGACAAGCACTCTTAAAATCTCAGTGGGATTTCCATCTCCAGTGCCAGTGCTCCTATCATCCGGCACAGAGGCATTCAAAATAACCATTTCTGATGGACTGGAATATTTTGCACAAGTGGGCAGTATCTCACCTAATGGGGGTGGGGAGGTTATGAAGGGTTTGTGAACAAACCACAGGAAGCCCTGCTTTCTCCTTTCACAAGGACAGGTGGCACCTGCAGGGTCTCCCCTGCAGTGGCGTTATCGTTGCACTGAAACTTGCATGACCAATCTGTAAGGAGTCAGGGTGGGTTCAGCCATTTGTTATGACCTTGGCATTGTTCAGCCCCAGAGCCTGGCAGGAGGGGAAGGAGGAAAGTTTGACTGAGGGGCCTCCACCCATTGCCTTTCACCTGCACACTGCCTCTGAGCAGATTCAGGAGACCAAGCTCCTCCCCAGGTGAGCCATGCCTCTCCTGGGGTGACCTGGCTTACTTCATGTGTGCCCTGCTGGCAAATGCTCTGCTGCTGTAGGTGGCATTAGCAAGGGCTGAGCAGGTGGCACTGCTCCACCGGGAGGTTGAGTAAATCACTGAGTCATTAGGAGATGTTGAGCTCTCGCCAGGCCCTCCTGGAGGCACAGGGGATACAGCAGAGAACTGAAGGGGGCTGCTGCCTCTGTGGCTTTGGTGCGAGGTTGGGGAGGAGGGGACAGGCAGGAGGTGGGGGAGAAGGTTTATGGAGAACAGAGCGCAGGGGTTGGGGTAGATGGGGAGTCAGGGAGCCCTGGTGAAGAGGCCACATTAGAGCAGAGACTGGAACAGAGGGAGGGCAGGATTTGTTCATCTTGCTTCCCAAGAAAGAGGCTGCAGGCAAAGTGACTCTTACTCCTCTTGTTTATCCTCGTAGGTTCTAGAAGATTTCTGAGGACTCAGCAGTAACTTGCAGTGCTGGACTGAGGCTATTTCCTTATATCAACTTTTTGAAAACTCATGGTTAATACCTAAGTAAAGCACTTCCACCTTCCCCCCCTCCCCCCCTGAGAAAGTACGTTAGTCACATGCTAGCGTTTTTATTAGGAAAAGACGGATTTCCAGTGAAGCAGAGGGAAGTGGATTGAGCCTGGCTCGGGCCATGGCGCCAGTTGCACTTGCCCTGGTGCCGAGCCACAGCAAGGGCTGGCACTCGGCACCATGAAAAGCCCTCCTTTTCGGAATCTGGGGGACAAAATGCAAGACCGATGCCCCAGAGTCATCACAGATGACCTTCATTGGCACGATAAGGGGGGGGACAGGGGGCCCTGCCTTAAAGGAGGCATCTAAACACCCCTTGTGATGGAACAGACTTAGCCACAAAAGCCAGCGAGGGGCACGTTGTTGCTCCCTCATCCGCCGGTGGCATTAAGTCCTGTAGGGCAGGCTGCGTTTCCCCCTTTCACGATGAGGGGCCTGAGCCTAAGCGCTCGGAGCCTGGGCTTTAGTTTCTGATTCCCCACGCTGTGCTGGCACAGGTTTCCTGGACAGCGCCCCAGCGCGGGTTTCTTATCCTAGGGCGGTGAGAGGGGCTGCCAGGGAAAGTGTGGGAAAGGACGAGGGGCGGGACTATGAGAGGGAGCGGGGCTGGGGGCGGGGCCTGGAGGACCGGGCTGAGAGGGCGGGGCCGTGAGAGGTAACAGGGGGCGGGGTGAGGGGGCGGGGTCGAGGACGATGGGGGCGGACTTGGGGGCGGGGCCTGGGGGCTAGGGAAGGACAGTGCCAGATCTTGTGTCCAGCCTCTGGAATCTTCCCTCAGTTCTTCCTTGTCTTTTCGTGGCCTTGACGTTTTTGAGGAACGCAGGTGGGTTATTTCGTAGGATGGCCCTCAGTTCGGGCTGTCTGATGATCCTTCCTCCAGATCAGGTTCAGATGATGTACTTTGGGCACTTTTGTTCCTCTTGGTGCGTTTTATCCAGAGCCTCATAATAAATATTTGTTCCATGACAGGCGATGTGCACTTTGTTTTAGGTGGTTCTCCCCAGAATTCTCCACTGTCAAGTTACTAATTTCTCCTTTGTAATTAATAAGTATCCATGGGAAATACTTTGAGATTATGTAAATACGTTGTTACTCTTCAGACTTTTACCCACTACTTTTAGCATTCATCAGAGATTCTTGATGGTTGCCAAATGGTGATTGTCGGATTCCATCATTCCTTCCACATTTAATAGGGACTTTCCATTGGAAGAAAGAGCTTTCTCCCTCCCCTGTGCGTTTATTTACATATGTATTTATATCAGTGTGGACCCATGGGTCTTTATTTAAGTCTAAAGGTTATAATTCTTCATTGTAGTCATTTATTTTCATGCTGAAGGGACCCCAGAGAAAGCCACTGGGAGCCCCTTCAAGCAGCCACTGTGTTCTTTTGGCATGTTCCCATGTCAAAAGTAAAGTTTCTCACTTGCTGGTACAGTAAGGTGTTCCAGGCTCTTCTTATACTTCCCCGCCCCAGCCCTGGATTCCTTTTAGTGGAGAATGGTATTTGGAAACCAGTATTGGAGCATGAGTATGCTCATTGCTATTGAAGTGTTATTGTGAAGCCCATTAAGGGAGCCAGGGAATGTATGAGTGTGTAAGCATACAGGCATGCATGCATATGTGCATATGTATGTAGGCATATGGCCCCAAGGTCCCTGCCTGCTGATATGCATGCTTTGTGTAACCCCCTCCCTTGAGTGTGGGATGGACTGAGTGACTCAATGCTAATGAATGGGCTACGGCAAAAGCCATGGGCTGTCACTTTGGACACCAGGTTATAAAGAGACCTGGCTTCTGTTTTGCATGCACTCTTTTGCTTGCGCACTCAGAGGGTGGTCAGCTGCCCCTTCGTGAGCTGCCCTGGAGAGCGGTTTCCCTGGCAAGGAGTTAAGGGAGGCCTGGGCCAACAACCACATGAGTGAGCCTGGAAACGGATCCTTCCAGGTTTCCTTCCTTCCCTTAAGACCACAGCCCCCACCCATAGCTCAGTCAAATCCTTGTGAGAAACCAGAGTCAGAAGCACCCAGCTAAGCCACATTCAACTCCTGGTCCATAGAAACTGGGAGATAATAATTGTTTGTTATTCTAAGCCACTAAGTTTTGGGGCAATTTGTTTTGTTACTCCATAGTTAATTAATGCAATATGTTATATCTCTATATATGTGTATATGTATAGACAGGGACCACACATACATTTATATCTGTTTTTATACCTGTCTCTATATATTACAAACCATGAGTTCACACTGATAACTTCAATTTTAGCTCAGTGCTACAAGGTTCATTGTGACCTTCCCCACTTTCCATATTTGTAACTCCTTTCTCCAGCAGTGAGAAACCCAGCTCCAATCATCTGCAATGTATTAATTTATTTGTTCAGTCCTAGAGGACACAAAAACAGCTTCAGAATTGCTATCCTATGTTCCAGAAAAAGTAACCTACTCATGGGAGTTCAATCTTTGTTTAGAGTTCTTGTCTTTAGTTGTCATATAGTCCAAATACTGCAACCCCTATGTTATAAAAAACAAGGGCTTCCCAGCTTCTCTGGGAAGTAAGGCATGAGATGCAAAGGGGAAAAGCACAGTTTCTTTCCAGGCAGCAGGTGCTGGGCTTCGCTGTCTTGCGCTGGAGAAGTGCGAAACAGACGGGAAAAGTGCAAAACAGAAGGGCAGGGCGGGGCTTCAGAGGCTCCCGCTCCATGCTTTCTTTCTCCCCTGAGCCCACACTGCCTGCCTCCCTTGCATTAGCACAAAAGCACCAACCTCTGAGGCCAGCGATGTTGTTTTTAAACAGTCATTAAATTATTTACAGAGAAAAGTGTACGGTGTTGCTTTTTGAAGGCTACTGAGGAAGGTTTGAATTTTCATCATTTCTATTATTCAAAAAGCCAAGTAACAAGCTGACTTGGATCTTCCCAGAAAGGCTGAGTTTGGGGGGTACTTGCACGCCCTAGTCCGCACAGCTGGGACTAGGGCTGGGGCTCTCCTAGAGTAACAAATGGGGCATCGGCATGACCTCTCTGCGGAGGGCCTCTCTGACATGCAGTTGTCACTGCAGACCTCTGCAGAGGTGACCTCCCCAGAGACAAGGGGCCTCCCAGAGCAGCACTGCTGCTTAGGTAAATGGGGACAGCCAGGAGGCCAGCTCCAAGCCTCACCCCGCAGATACCTCAGTCCCATCCTGGTCACAGGCACATGGGGCACTCCTCATGGCAGTTGTGGGAAAGTGGCCAAGGACACAAGGCTCCCGCCGGCCATGGTTTCTCTAAGATCTGACTCAGGATTGTCACATGCTAAGCGTTCTACTTCCCCATGCCTGCAAGCACCCCACAAGCTCCCCACAGACATACACACTACACAGGTCATAGTCATGCACACGCCACACTACACAGGTCATAGTCATGCACACAACACACTACACTGCACACATACCACACACATAACACCACACACACATCACAAACACACACCACACATGCGTGCGCACACACCCACTCACATACAGACTCATCACACACACACACATGCATCACGACACACTCTGCACTCGTACAACACACATCCATCAGACACATACACAAACATAGCACACACACACACACATCATACATCCACAAATAGCACAAATACGCACTGAGCCAGGCCTCATGGAGATCCAGCGAAGGGTGCTGGCTCTCTCCCTGCCTCCCACGAGCCCTTCCAGGGAACCCCGAGGCCCCTGCCCCACAGCCTGCCTGCACCTCCCTCCCACCTGCAGGAAGGGCTCTCCCCAGCTCTCTCTGCCAACTGACTCCACAAACCCTGGGAAGCAGACCCAATGGGGCCCTTCAGATGCAGGCCGGTTCACTTCCCAGTGCCCAGCCTCTGTGTGAGATGTCCCTGGTGACTGAGAACAAGAAGCCATGTGGGATAAAGCCAGCAGAAATCGCTGAGCATCCAGCACCAGCAGGGCCTCCACAGGGGATTTCCCTCCCACCTCCTTCTGCTCCAGGTGGCCTCCCTGAGCCACACCCCTAACGTGCCATTTCCAGATGGTAAACAACACTTGCACTGCAGTTTATCTCCTTGGAAATCCCCACAGCTCCCACCCCAGAACCGTGCACAAAAAATATCTTCAACAGGTAGATATGGATGAATTAAGGTGCAAAATGAGAACCATTAAATACATACTTGCAAGCCATTTCTCTTAAAAGGTACTAGAGCTAAGATCCTTAAAGACTTGCATCCACCATTATTGCAGATGACTATTCAGATGTTGTGGGCAGACATATTGTTTTATAAAAGTATAAGAATGGACTCTGATGATGGCTTGGGAATATATTGGTCCAATATCCACTTCTCTCTCTCTTCCAGGGTCAGAAATCTTGGATAGAGAAAACCTTTTGCAAACGGGAATGTATCTTTGTAATTCCTAGCACGAAAGACTCTAACAGGTAAATTGAAATCCACGATTAAGACATTATCCAAACCAGTGCTTGTCTGCCACTATTCTCATGTTTGTAAGAGGCAGAAAGAGGAGTCCAGAAGGGTGGCCAGAATCCATTCCCCATGGGAGTCACTAACAAGGGAGTCACTGGGGCTCCTTGTTACTCCATTAACATGCAAATGGCTTCAGAAAAGAGTTTCTGTCCACCACCCACCCTAATGCGAGCTCTCATAGCCAACTGGGCCCACATCATTCCTCTTAGTCTCAGCAAGATCAAGGAGTTGAGGGCTTTCAACAGGTTTCCAGGATATTTTCCAGGCCTCTTCAATAGAGTTTCATAATGTATTTAGATGAAAAGGAATTTCCATCACAGGAAAGATCTGAGCGGTTGAATGAACTAGCTATAACTTTATTAAAGGATTTGGCTTGTACACAAAACATCAAACAATTTTATTCACCTACATTAAAATGCATCTGTTATAAGCTGAACAGAGGCCTTGTAAAGTCATGTAAGTAGAGATTAATTTAACTAAAATGTCTCATCTCTAAGGGCAAAAGCTATGAGGCTGAGTCTGGGGGAAGGGGAACAATTTATCCATACATTCGTCCAATATGAAATTCATGCAGGTAGAATAATGACACAGAAGTACACACTCTTCAAGATCACCTGCTTCAAATTTGTTTCACACATGCAATCACAGTCCCTCCACATCCCCAAGCTGCCCCTTGCCCCACACCACCCTGCAGATTCTCCTCCCTGCTTAAACCCCAGTGATTGCCCCCCCGAGGTAAGAAATGCCATTATGAAACAATGCCAACGGTCACAAAAGTCTCCCCTTTGTTGCATCTACATGTCCCTTCTTATTTCAATGGCACATAGGCCATCCTGGGAACTCTCTGTGCCAGCACTGCAGTCCTCCATGAAGCCAGATGCCCAGGCAATAGAGGGCAAAAAGTGCTTCTGGGCTCACATACAAGCCTCCTTGATGCACTCCATGCAGTCCCCAGCATGGATTAAAAAAAAAAAAAAACTAGAATGAAAAAACCAACCGTTTAAACCCTTGGAAATGATCCCAAAGACAAACAGCAAGTAAAGGAATATCTTTAGAGAAAGCCAGCAAAAATTCAGTAAGAAAGGCTAGAGTCTGTGGGATTTGAACCAAGAGTTTCCTCCCTCCCTCTGCCCAGCTCAGCAAGATAGAGACTCTACTCCAGAGTGCTGCAGCCAAGAACACAGAGCTCCCTCTCCACCAGCTCCCAGTCAGGGGGCTTTCTTCCTGGGAGGAGCAGGATTTCAGCATTTCTCATCCTGTCCCTTACCACCTGTTGCTGAGGCTAAGTCCTGAATGAATGCAGTTGAGAGATAGAGGCTCCCTTCTTCCACCCGTGCCCCACTCATGTAAGCAGCAACCACAGAAAGTGAGAGTGGTTATAATGGATTCAGACAAAACATACTTTAAAGCAAGAAAATGTAACTAGAGATATTAAGAACATTTTATAATGATAAATGGGACAATCGATCAGGAAGTTACAACAAATATAAACATATATGTACCTAAAACAGCACCAAAATGCATGAAGCAAAACTGACATAAACAAAGGGAGAAGTAGACAATTCAACATGACAGTTGGAGACTTCAATACCCCACTTTCAATAATGCATAGATCACCTAAACAGAAGACCAACAAGGGAATAGAAAGCTTGAACAACATCATAAACCAATTAGGCTTAACAGATAACTATAGAGCACACCACCCAGTAACAATAGAAAACACATTCTTCTCAAGTGCATATGGAACATTCTCCAGCATAGACCATGTGTTAGTCCATTAAAAAGCCTCAAAATATCTAAAAGGATAGAAATAATACAAACTGTCCTCCAACCACAATGTAATAAAATTAGAAATAAGAAACCAATAGGAGGAAAAAAATTGGAAACTCATAAATATGTGAAAATTAATACACTACCAGATAACCACTAGGTTAAAGAAAATGTCAGAAGGTTAATTAGAAAATACTTTTAGGTAAATGGAAATGAAGACATAACAAACCAAAACTTAGGGGATGCAGGTAAAGTAGTACGGACAGGGAAATTTATACCTGTAAATACCTATATTAAGAAAGATATTTAATAAGTAACATAACTTTCTACCTTAAGACACTGGAAAAAGAAGAGTAAACTAAACCTAAAGCAAGTAGAGGGAAGGAGATAATGATTAAAGTGGAATTAATGGAAAAGAGAATAGAAAAGTAGAGAAATTCAATGAAATTAAAAGCTCTTCTTTAAAAACCTCAACAAAATTCACATATCTTTAGCTAGAGTCATAAAAGAAGAGAAAGATAAGACTCAAATGACTAGACTCAGAAATGAAAGAGGGGACATTACTACCAACCTTATAGAAATGAGTATGAAAGAATACTATGACTTATATGCAAACAAATTAGATAACTTAGATGAAATGGGAAAATTCTGAGAAATATACAATCTGCCAAAACTGACTCAAGAAAAAATGTACAATCTGAACAGATCTATAAGGAGTAAAGAGATAGGATTAGTAATAAAAAAACTGTCCAAAGAAAAGCCCAGGCCCACATGGCTTTTTCGATGAATTCTAAAAAACATTTAAGGAAGAGTTAATACCAATTCTTCACAAACTCTTCAAGAAAATAGCAGAGAAGGGAACATTTCCCAACTCATTTAATGAGGCCAGTACTACCCAGATACCAAACTAGACAAAGATATCACAAGATAGAAAACTATAGAACAATATCTATTACGAACATGGGTGCAGAAATTCTGAACAAAATACTATCAAACCAAATCCAGCAACATATAAAAATAATGATACACCATGACCAAGCAGGGTTTATCCCAGGAATGTAAAGTTGGTTTACATTAGAAAAATAAATAATGTAATATAGCATATCAATATAGTAGAAACAAAAATCACATGATCTTTTCAATAGGCACAGCAAAAGACTTGGATAAAACTCAACACTCTTTATAAAAAATCACTCGGAAAACCAGGAATAGAAGGGAACTTCCTCAACCCGATAAAGAACAGCTATAAAGAATCCACAGTTAACATCAGACTTAATGGTGAAAGATTGCTTTCCTCCTAAGATTAGGAACAAGATAAGGATGTCCTCTCTCACTACTTCTATTCAATATTTTAATGGAAGTACAGGCCAAAGCAATTAGGTAAGAGAAATAAAGAAAGAAAAAATATTGAGATTGGAAAGAGAGAAGTAAAACTCTCTATTTGCAGATGACATAATCTTATACATAGAAAAATCCTAAGGAATCCACCAAAAAATATTAGAACTAATAAATGAGTTCAGCAAGATTGTGGCATATAAGATCAATACACAAAAATCAAATGTATTTCTATACACTTGCAATGAACTATATGGAAATGAAACTGGCAACATAATTTATCTATAATTGCATCAAAAAGAATAATAGGAGGACTCACATTTTCTGATTTCAAAACTTAATACAAAGCTACAGTAATAAAAGGACAACGATACTGGCATAGGATAGACATATAGACAAATGGAACAGAATTGACAGTCCAGAAATAAACCCATACACCTATGGCAAATTGATTTTTGGCAAGGGTGAAAAGTACTTTCAATGGCGAAATAGTAGTCGTCTCTTCAGCAAATGGTACTGGAATAACTGGATAGCCACATGCAAAAGAATAGTCTTGGACCCTTACCTCATGCTATCTATAAAAGTTAAAATGGACCAAACACCTAAATGTCAAAGCTAAAACTATAAAACTCTTAGAAGAAAATGTAAGGGTAAATCATGACCTGGGATTTGGCAAATGATTCTGAGATATTACACCAAAAACATGGACAACAAAAACAACAAAAAAATTGTCTTTACCAAAATTAAACACTGTGCTTCAAGGGACGCTATCAAGAAAGTGGAAAGACAACCCACAGAATGGGAGAAAATATTTGTGAATTATGTCTCTGATAAGGGACTTGTATCCAGAATACGGAAAGAGATCCAATAATTAAAAAAAAATAAATAACCCAAGTTTTTTAAATGGGCAAAGGAAATGAATAGACATCTTTCCAAAGAAGATACACAAATAGTCAATAAGCACATGAAAAATGCTCAATGTCCTTATTCTTCAGGGAAATGCAAATCAAAACCATGATGATAAACTGCTTCACACTCAGAAGGAAGACTAGAATGAAAATGTAAGATAGTGTGTGGGAGAGGATATGGAGAAATCAGAACCCTCAGACACTGCTGGTGGAAATGTACCATGATACAGCCACCTTGGAGAACAGTTTGGTGGTTCTTCAGAAGATTAAACATAGAGTAACCGTATGACCCAGCAATCCCATGCCTAGTGTATACCCAAGAAAAATGAAAACATTCATCCACTCAAAAACTTGTTACATAAATATTCATAGCAGCATTATTCATAACAGCTGAAGAGTGCGAATAGCCCAAATGTCCATTAAATGATAAATAGATAAACAAAATGTTCATCCATTCATACGAGAATATTATTAAGCCATAAAAGGGAGTGAAGTACCAACACATGCTACAATATGGATGAACCTTGAAAACATGCTAAGAAGCTGATCTCCAAAGACCAGATATTACAGGACTGTATTCATATGAAGTGTCTAGAACATGGAAATCCACAGAGATAAAAAGTAGACTTGAGGTTGCTTATGGCTTGGGGAGTGGTGCACAGGTAGATAGATGGTGGTGAGAAGGAAGATAACTTAAAATATGCCATGCCAAGTTTCTTTTTGAGGTGATGAAAATGTTCGAAAATTAACTGTGATGATGGTTGCACATATCTGTCAATACTAAAAACCATTTAATCTCTCTCTCTCTCTCTCTCTCTCTCTATATATATATATATATATATATGTTTTTTTTTTTTTTTTTGAGACGGAGTCTCACTCTGTCAACCACGCTGGAGTGCAGTGCCACGATCCCGGCTCATTGCAACCTCTGCCTCCGGGGTTCAAACGATTCTCCTGCCTCAGCCTCCCAAGTAGCTGGAATTACAGACGTGTGCCACCACACTCAGCTAATTTTTGTGTTTATGGTGGAGACGGGGTTTCACAATATTGACCAGGCTGGTCTCGAACTCCTGACCTCAAGTGATCCACATGCCACGGCCTCTCAAAGTGTTGGGATTACAGGCGTGAGCCACTGCTCCTGGCCTGAATCACATACTTGAAATGGGTTGATTATGTATTACATGAATTATATCTCAATAAAAGGAAAAAAGAGAGAGAGAAAGAGGGAGGGAGTGAGGGAGGGAAGATGGAAGGCCATCAGAAGGAGGGTGGGAGGGAGAGAATGGGGAAGCGAGGAGGGAAAAGAAAAAGGAAAACAAAAGGAAAGACAAGGCAGAGAGGAAGCCCCAAGGCTGGCCCCATGGGAGCACAGAAAGCCTTCTGGCAAGGGCCCTGCACATGTGCATTACACACGTGCACGCATACGCACATCTAGCCCAGTAAAGACATCCTCTCTAGTCCTCAAGCCAACTCCATCCCCAGCTCTCCCACCCCATTTGCTAGGGTGCACGGCTGCCCACACAGGCTCCTGCTGGGTCCAGGAACAGACCTCCCTCCATGCCTTCCCTGGATTCCATCTCCACCAAGGCATCACTCCAGGCTACTGCAGTTCTTCCTAACAAACTTTTCAAGTTTTTGGTGGGTCCAGTCCACTCAAAACAGTGGCAGCCAAAAATGATGGAGTAACAGATGAAATCCTAGGCACACTAGGAAAAGAAGCTGGCACAAAGCCAGGGAACATGTTCAGAGAAGACTAGAAAGCCAGAGTTCAGGGAGGGCGTGAGAGGTTGGCTGGGTTTTGGGAGAGATGCTGTAGAGCTAGAAGATCCCTGATGCTGGGGCGGGTTATGGCCCAATGGGCCATCTGTCCAAGGCAGAAAAAGACATATTGGTCACTTTTGAAATAGCCTTTTAGCATTACTTGAGTGGAGAAATGTTTTACTAAGGAACAGAACAATTCAACAATATGGAAAAATTTGGCTGACACCTAAGTAAGTAATTTTAGAACTTTGGGAGGCCAAGGCAGGCGGATTGCTTGAGCCCAGGAGTTCGAGACCAGCCTGGGTAACATGGCAAAATGCTGTCTCTACTAAAAATATAAAAACTAGCTGAGCATGGTAGTGTGTGCCTGTGGTCCCAGTTACTAGGGAGGCTGAGGTGAGAGGATCACCTGAGCTTGGGGGAGGTCTGGGCTGCAGTGAGCTATGATAGCGCCACTACACTCCAACCTGAATGACAAGAGAAAGAAAAATCTGGAAGGTCAACTCTATGTTCGGAGGGCATGTCTATACTTTGTCACAGAATGTTTAGTACTTGATGTTTATACTGATGTTATCAAGACATCAAAAAGTTGAAATATTTTCCGAAAGAGCAACCATCCAATGTGTCTAAAATCGACTGGCATATAAAGAGATGTGCACTGATTATCTGGAAAAGGCCATCAGATGGGGCATTTCTGTCCCTAATAACGCTGGCTTACTGAAGTGTTAGTAGGCTCCTGTTTGGGCCCAACTCACCTGTTGAGGTTAATTCATTTTTGCTAATGAAGGGGAAAGGGGGAGATTGTTGTAGAAAGACCCTGCTTTGCCTTTGTTTTCAGGTGTTGCTGTGGCCAGTTCACCAACCAGCATATCCCCCCTCTGCCAAGTGCAACACCCAGCAAAAATGAAGAGGAAAACAAACAGGTGGAGACTCAGCCTGAGAAATGGTCTGTTGCCAAGCACACCCAGAGCTACCCAACAGATTCCTATGGAGTTCTTGAATTCCAGGGTGGCGGATATTCCAATAAAGCCATGGTGAGAAAGGCATTCAGACATGGTGCCACTAGGATCACAGCTTTCATTGGCGGCCAGTCTCCCAGCCCCAAACTGCAGATACCTGGTCTTCTTCATGGCTGTGGCTCAATCTTCCTAGATATTTCATTGAAAAACCAAGAGATATATCTGTGCACATGGCTTTTAGCCATGAGGCTTGGAAACTGGACACCACTGTAAAGAACATCTAGTGTCCCGTAAATCCATACCAAAGCTCTGAATCCACAAACCAGGCTCTGGCCCAACCCTGCAAACACACTCCATTGCTCCATCTTCAGTAAAGGAAGACAAATTCATTTTTCTAATAACTGTGGACCTGCAGCCCCCTTAGATGTGTTGAGAGTCTTTGGAAATATTTTCCTCTGAGGTCTGTCCACAGCTTCCCTGGGCCTGCGCTCAGCTGGCCCGAGAAGGACCAAGGTCCCTCACATTTGCATGTAAACAGGGAGTGCCCTCTGCCCTTCCAGTGAGCCCTGCCAGCGTGGGGGAGGCTTCAGCTCTGTGATCCGTTCCAGCTCACTCTGAATTACACTCCTACATGCCCAGTCACAGACTTTTTGCAATTTCATTTTATTTCACTGGCCCAACATCATTGTTAAAATAAAATTTAGTTGTGTTCCAAATGCTGCAATATACAGTCTTCTGAAATGGCACCCTACATATTAGCCCAGACACAAAGAAGCAGTTTATAGGAGACAAGGCATCTGAGCATTATTAGCCTCCTCCTCACTTTGAAGAGGTCAAGTTCATGGGTGGGCCCATGATCGCCTGACCCATTTACTCAACAACATCCTCATCCAACTTCTTGGGCCACTGTTCTAGCTAAGCCAGCTTTGGAACCTATTCCTCCAACATTAGGATTGCCAGATAAAATACAGGACACCCAGTTATATTTGAACTTCAGACATACATTGGATAAATTTTCAGTACAAGTATGTCCCAAATATTGCATGATTTATTGCATTTAATAAAAATGTTGTACTGAAACATTTTTCATTGTTCCTCTAAAATTCAAATTTAACTGGGTGTCTTGGTCTGTTTGGCTGCTATAACAAATTGCCTTAGGCTGGGTAATTTATAAACAACAGAAATTTATTGCTCACATTTCTAGAGTCTGGGAGGCCCAAGATCAAGGTGCCAGCAGATTTGGTGCCTGGCGAGGGCCCATCCTCTGCTTCATACATAGCACCTTCTTGCTGTGTCCTCACATGGCAGAAGCAGAGAACAAGCTCTCTGAGTCCTCTTTTTTTTTTTTTTTTTTTTTTTGAGTTGGAGTTTCGATCTTGTTGCCCAGGCTGGAATGCAATGGCTCAATCTTGGCTCACTGCAACCTCCGCCTCCCAGGTTCAAGTGATCCTCCTGCCTCAGCTTCTGAAGTAGCTGAGATTACAGGTATGCGCTACCACACCTGGCTAATTTTGTATTTTTTTTAGTAGAGACGGGGTTTCAACATGTTGGTCAGGCTGGTCTCGAACTCCTGACCTCAAGTGATCCACCTGCCTCGGCTTCCCAAAGTGCTGGGATTACAGGCATGAGCCACCACGCCCAGCCCTGAGTCCTCTTTTATAAGGACACTAGTCCCACTCACGAGGGATCCATGCTCATGACGTAATCACCTTCTAACATCCCACCTCTTAACACTATTGCATTGGGAATCAGGTTTCCACGTGAATTTTAGGGGAATACAAACATTCAGACCATGGTACCAGGCATCTTTTATTTGTATTTGCTAAACCTGACAATCCTCTCCAAAGTTCCCTTCAGTCACTTGGCCACAGACTCACACAGAGGGCTCCAGGGCCCTGAGGAAGAGACAAGCCAGGCAGTTCTTGCTTGGACATGAGCAATAGCCTCACTCCCCTTTGACACGAGAAGCAAAACCAAGAACAGAGGCTGAGTGCCACACACTCTTTCACAGTATATCCGTGTATCCTATGACACCAAGCCAGACTCACTGCTCCATCTCATGGTGAAAGATTGGCAGCTGGAACTCCCCAAGCTCTTAATATCTGTGCATGGAGGCCTCCAGAACTTTGAGATGCAGCCCAAGCTGAAACAAGTCTTTGGGAAAGGCCTGATCAAGGCTGCTATGACCACCGGGGCCTGGATCTTCACCGGGGGTGTCAGCACAGGTAAGAGCAGGCCCTTTCCCTCCCGATAATCAATGTACCACCCAGAACTCACTGTGGTCCCCAAAGAGCTTCCTAATAACTAAGGACAACAAAACATATTGCATCCTGATCCTATTTATGACTAAAGTGAAGTCTTTATTCCCTAGCTTGTGTTTTTTACTTTGATATGACTCTTAAAAAAAAACAGCAAATATAGTAATGATTGTCATAATGGTCAACATCTCTGGGTCACCCATGACATGCAATATTCCTTGAACTGAGCCCTGTACAAGCATCATCTTCATTAGACCTCTCGACAATCCTTTTCCTGTTATAGGACAGGAAACTAGGCACAAAGACATTAAGGAACATACCAGGCAGTATGGCTCTCAATTTTCACTGAAGGCAGCCAAGGAATGCCAAAAAGACTCCAGTTATTTCCAGCTTTAGGCCTTAGACATCTGTAAAGGAAATCCCTACACAGTTGCTTTGGTTTCTGTTTTTGTTTTCCCGTTTCTAGAGTTAATGCAAGATTGCTCGTTATCATGAGCTCAGACTTTCAGTGTACTTTGTTTTAATGATAAAGATGAGTGTGTCTCACCCCTGATCTGTAGGGAATGTAGGGACTCAGGGCAAGTGTCCCTCAATTTCATGAATGATGGTGTGCTGGGAAGTAAAAGAGCCTAAAATATGACCAATGGCTGCTCACAGGTGTTATCAGCCACGTAGGGGATGCCTTGAAAGACCACTCCTCCAAGTCCAGAGGCCGGGTTTGTGCTATAGGAATTGCTCCATGGGGCATCGTGGAGAATAAGGAAGACCTGGTTGGAAAGGATGTAAGTGTTTTCTCTGCAAATGTTGGCAGTTTTTTAAAATTAATGATTGATTTTGAGGTAACCGTTGATTCAGATGCAGTTGTAAGAATAATAAGAGAGCTCCCTTGCAGCCTTTCCCATTCCTCCAATGGTAACATCTTGCAAAACCATAATGCAAGATCACAACCCGGATACTGTCATTGATAAGGTCAAGGTGCAGAATGTTTCCATCAACACGAGGATCCCTCCTGTTGCCCTTTCATATACATATACCTCACTCCTTCCTACCCCCACCTCTTCCTTAACCCCTGGAAACAACTAATCTGCACCACCCCGCATTTCAAGAAGGTTCTGTAAATGGAATCATACAGTAATGTAACCTTTGGGGATTGGCTTTTTTTTCACTCCACATAGTTCTCTGAACACGCGTCCAGGTTGCCATATGTATTGGTCTTCATTCCTTTTTACTGCTGGCTGACATCCCATGATATGGAGGCACCAGTTTCTTTAACCATTTGTCTGTTGAGGAACAGTTTGGCTGTTACAAGTAAAGTAGCCATAAACATTCCAGTGCAGGATTTGAGGTTAACATAGGTTTTCATTTCTCTGTGATAAATGCCAGGGGTGCAATTGCTAGGTTGTCATTATCTAAAACAATTAACTTTCTTTCTATTTTAATGTAACAATTGGCAAAAATAAAACCTTCAAAAGGCAGGGTAGAGATGTGAGAATAAGTTTTAGTGCAGTCACTCCACACATATGTATTGTGCTTGCTTCCCTTGTTGGTCTTAACATCCAAGTCCTGCAGGTCTGATTTGCGCTGTGCACTTTGTCAGGTAACAAGAGTGTACCAGACCATGTCCAACCCTCTAAGTAAGCTCTCTGTGCTCAACAACTCCCACACCCACTTCATCCTGGCTGACAATGGCACCCTGGGCAAGTATGGCGCCGAGGTGAAGCTGCGAAGGCTGCTGGAAAAGCACATCTCCCTGCAGAAGATCAACACAAGTAAGTGCTGGCAAAGGCACGCAGTCCTCCTGGGCTGATGCCATCACAGTGGAAACAAGGCTGAGAAGGAGATTGATTGCCCAAGGGGATTAGAAGATTAACCTTGCTTCTTGTTAGGTCAACAGAAAATGACTCACCTAGATGTCTTACCTTAGCCACCTACCAAATCACATTCACTGGGCTACATGGGGATGCTTTGCCCCAGGTTCACAAGTTAGCACGAAATAACCCTCAGTGCTCGCCATGGTGATGGCCTTGCCCACCCTGTTGCCCAGTGGTTCTTGTTCCCTGTAATTAGTTGTTATTTTTTAAGTGTTTTAACAGGAAAACAATTTCTCAAAGATTTAGTAGGATTCTTTCTATTTGCTGATAAGTATTATGTGATTATTAAATATCTCTGTAATGCTGGGCCTTTCATGTAGACTAAGATGGCCAGGTGGGGACATATCTGGAGAGGGCTGCAGGAGCCATCTGCTCCTGAAGGGGCATCATCCTTGCTGGTCCTGAGGGGGAGCTGTCACTGTCAGACGAAAGCTGAGGTCGAACTAGAGAGAAAGACGCAAACCTCAACCAGAAGAAACAATGATAACAACTGGTTAGAATTACAATAACTGGTATAATCTCTTGGAGCATGTTTATACTCCAGTAATTCTTAACGTCAAACAATTGTTAAATGATCTGAAAGAGTAGTTTGTTTTTCCCATTACTGGCAAGATTTTTGTGGGAGACCATCTAGTCCTGGCGAATGGTCATTGGGAATCATCATGTATGGGACTGTGATGCTGCAGAGTGGGTAGAATGGGGATGGCCTACTAGGAAAAGTTGTAGATTTCCGAGAATCAGATCTCGAAGAATACATTGGTCGATGACTGAATGTTTTTTGTTCTCACATCTCTAATTTTTCTGGACTTGTAAGTTTTTACAACACCCCATTTCACCTGGCCATGTGACTTGTGGGCTTCCCTTTGTCATCCTTCGCCTAGGGCTCTGAGCAGGGCAGGGACAGCAAAGGGGTGCTCAGTTGTCACTTCCCACAGCACGGAGCTTCGAGGACTCCAGCCTAAGCCAAGAAGAACCTGTTCTACTCTGTTGCTCGAAAAGAAGGTGATTTGGCCACCATATTCCTAAAGATTGAAAATACCAATCCTTGCTTGGGTTGGAAATCTCAAAGGCGGAGTCCAGGATATCTTAGTTCATTTTTCCAATATCTCCTGGTCAGGGCTTTGCACAAAGCAGACCCTCAATGCATGTCTGCTGAAATGAACTTAGCTGTAATTACTCTGGTGGACACAGCAGAGTTATTCAACATATGTAAGAGTCCCTGACTGTAGGAACACCTCATGGAAGCAAATTAGAAACTCTGAAATGGCTCATTTGAAATTCTCCAATCTTCTCTTAACCAATGCTGGCAGATTTTTATCTGAAGCCCTTCAGAGCTGAGACCAACTATACTTCCACTTGCCTTTAGTTAATATCGATCAACTAATTCCCATCACAACTAATGGACAGCTGGTGAAATAGGCTCAGAGTGTGATCTGTCATGGCCAGTGTGGCATAAAATTAGGAAGTAGGCAAATGTGCCTCCACTCCCATTTCCTTCCCATTCCAGAATCCCAACTTCCTGGAATCTTCCTGCCACCTCTTGCTTCCCAGAGCCATGCCTGCAGGTTCTGCCACCAAAAGTTAGTTGGTACCCACTGTGTTCTTGAAGAGTCCTATTAACTGATAGAGACAGAGGGAGGACTCTGGGAACAGGTCATTAACTGATGGGCCACTAGTGGTCCAAGTGGCTGCGTCCAAGATCTGCACTTTATTCCAGCCACTGAAGACAGAAACGTCAACAAGAACAGTGTGCCTCATTTGTATGCTACTTAACGTTTACAAAATTATTTGCTAGCCAAACACATATTCTGATATTTTTACAACTGCAGGAGTTAAAGGAAGCACTGTGATTGTTCACCTTTTACAAATGGCTGTCTAAGGCTCTTGGTGATTTGGTGATTGGCCCAGTGTCATAAGGGAGAAGCCAGGAATTGAACTGCAATTTCCCTGGCTGGTCCAGATCCCCTTTCATCATCTTATTCTTCAGGGACAGCCATCAGGGTGGGAATTTCAGACCATAGGCTAGGACAGCCAGGGGGATATTTTTCCAGCCAGGAATACCTTCCAATATTTCTCAGTGGTCACCTTGAAGTAGCCCCAACATCAGGTGGGTGGGTTATTCAGGAGTTTAACCATATGTGAGTCAGAAAGTTTCAGACTTTGAGGTCCTGGTTTTCCCAATGAGGCCATAATATGTGACAGAATGCAAGAATGATAACTGGGCTGGGCACAGTGGCTTACACCTGTAATCCTAGCACTTTGGGAGGCCAAGGCAGGTGGATCACTTGAGCCCAGGTGTTTGAGACCAGCCTGGGCAACATGGCAAGACTTCATCTCTACCAAAAATTAGCCGGGTGTGGTGGCATGTGCCCGTAGTCCCAGCTACTCAGGAGGCTGAGGTGGGAGGATTGCCTGAGCTGAGAGGGAGGTTGAGGCTGCAGTGAGCCATGATCATGCCACTGCACTCCAGCTTGGGGGACAGAGTGTGATTCTGTCTCAAAAAAGAAAAAAGAAAAGAAAAGAAAAAGAAAATTGTTATCACATGCCTGAATTCCTTCCAGCCAGATAGAACATCCCCCAAGTCGTAATGTTTTTACTCTTCCCCATACTTCAGGAGTTAAAACGACTGGGTGGACAGTGCAGGGCACAGGTGGTATGGGCGAATGTGGTTTGTGTTGCAGGACTGGGGCAGGGCGTGCCCCTCGTGGGTCTCGTGGTGGAGGGGGGCCCTAACGTGGTGTCCATCGTCTTGGAATACCTGCAAGAAGAGCCTCCCATCCCTGTGGTGATTTGTGATGGCAGCGGACGTGCCTCGGACATCCTGTCCTTTGCGCACAAGTACTGTGAAGAAGGCGGGTAGGATTTCTGACGCGCGAGGAAGGGCGGGTTCGTAACTCCCTCTTTGTCGGGCCAAGGAGAAAATCTAAAGTGGTCTGCTTAGACATTCCAAACGTGTTTAAATCAGGAAGATTTGCTAGATCTCCTCTCCCATTTCCTCAGGTCAGCATCCAGGGGAACCATCAGAGGCAGGGTGTTCCTGATGGAATTCTCTCTCCCTCATTTCCAACTTCATTTGCCCTTAGAAAGTTTGCAACAAAGCTGGAATTTAGGACAAGTGAGAATACGATGTTTGACTATGGTTACTTTTTGTCTCCTGTGTCAGGATATCCTCCCACAGCAAAGTCTCAAATCAAAGACAGAGATATGTCTGACTCATTCATATATAGATTTAACTTGCCTTGTTTTGTTCTCTTGCATTTTCTTTGAACAGAATAATAAATGAGTCCCTCAGGGAGCAGCTTCTAGTTACCATTCAGAAAACATTTAATTATAATAAGGCACAATCACATCAGCTGTTTGCAATTATAATGGAGTGCATGAAGAAGAAAGAACTCGTAAGTGTCTTGAATTTATTTCCAAACAAGCTCTGTGGAGAGAATTATGTTTCCTTTTCTAATTCCGCCCATGTGTGCATGACAGGGTTATTCATATTTTAGTCCGGCCTTTTCTGAGAGACAGTACAAATGCATACCAAATTGGTGGCTGTGTCCACATGACAGAAGCTGAACGAGCCCACACAGGGGAGGGCCCCTGGTGCTTTCAAACTTTAGCAAGTGGGGCATGACACCACACAACACCCTCTGAGGCTCATAATATTACTCAGATTGATAGTCTTGGGGAAAAGGGCCACATACCACCCTGTCAGGCATGTTTACAAAGTTCTGTTATTTTATTTCCCACTCCTTCCCTCTTCCGTTCCATTTACAAGGAATAGGTACTCTTGTCGTGCACATAAGATGGCCTCTTCAAAATTCTAATTCCTACAAATATCTCCTGTCTGATTAGATACGACTTTGCATCTCCGATGGCGACTGAGATTTCGGAGTGTAGCTCCCTCCTCTCGAGGGTGCCAGAAGGGATGGGGAAAATAATAAAGTCAGTATGCAGGCAGGCACCCCACGGCAATGCCATAACTTCTGGAAATCAGCCGGGCACAGTGGCTCACACCTGTAATCCCAGCACTTTGGGGGGCTGAGACAGGCAGATCACCTGAGGTCAGGAGTTTGAGACCGGCCTGGCCAACATGGTGAAACCCCATCTCTACTAAAAATACCAAAACAATTAGCCAGGCATGGTGGCGTGCACCTGTAATCCCAGCCACTTGGGAGGCTGAGATAGGAGAATCGCTTGAACCTGGGAGGTGGAGTTTGCAGTGACCCAAGATAGCGCCATTGCACTCCAGCCTGGGCGACAAGAGCGAAACTCCATCTCAAAAAAAAAACAAAAAGAAAAAAGAAAAAGAAAAGAAAAAAAAGAAATCAACAGCACTTGCTTTGAAACTGTTTAGTGCTCAGGATCATTTTATTACGTGTCAGTCTCTGTGGTCATTTTGTAACAACACCCCATATCTCCTTCTTGTTTTCAACTTGGCTTTAATTCAGTCTTTTCACATTTTCAGGTCACTGTGTTCAGAATGGGTTCTGAGGGCCAGCAGGACATCGAGATGGCAATTTTAACTGCCCTGCTGAAAGGTGAGCTCTCAGGAAATGGTGACTCCTGTCCCTCTGATGTTGGCCTAGCCGGCAATCCTTCCCTCCCGGCCTCCCATGGACTATGTCTGCTGGTGCTAGACCCTGAGCCAGCCAGGCCACTTGAGCAGTCTCAGCATGAAGCCACGGCAGAATGACAAGGCTCGCTGTTTCTGTGGGGCAGAGGTCTGTGGGTGCTCCTGGACCATCATGGGCTGAGGTCAGAACCGTTTCTATTTGTAACTGGTTCATTGAGGGCCTCAGCTCCTAGAGTGTAAACATCAGATGGGTTCCTTTGCAATCACTGCATTCCGCAGTGTTCTGTCCAATTTCCCCGTCTTGGTTCTAATGACAGGCTTCAGGCCAGCGTTCATGGCCGGGCGGGGAGGGTCTGCTCTGGGATGCACACTTCCTCCCTGCCTCTCAGTTAGCCTGGTGCCATGAGGGGGCAGGGAGGACAGAGAGAGGGGAAGGGTCACTGTCAGGCTGGCTGCCTGGCAGTCCCAGGGTTCCAGCCTTCCTGGAGATCATCTCCAGGGTCCCTGAGTCACTGGGTTCCTGTTCTGTCCCTCCCAAGGAGACCATGCACAGCTGGCATGGGAAGAGGCTGCCTCCACCTTCCTCCAGGGAAGCTCTTTCAGCTCGGAGCCTTTGTGGTCATTCAGGGCAAGAGCAAAGCCAGCAATGCTTAGTTCTAGGCCAGCAGCCCAAGGGAAGCCTGTGCTCACCACCCAGCACCTGCCAAACCCTGGCGGTCCAGGCGTGGAGTGAAAAATCATTCCGGTTTCTTGCCTTTCCAGGAACAAACGTATCTGCTCCAGATCAGCTGAGCTTGGCACTGGCTTGGAACCGCGTGGACATAGCACGAAGCCAGATCTTTGTCTTTGGGCCCCACTGGCCGGTGAAACTGTTTTTTTTCGATTCATATCATTGATCTTGACTTTGTACAAGTGACCTATTAGTATGTTCTCCCTTGTGACATGGAATTCAGGAAATTATGTGGGGTTTCTGATGATATGATATGTAATCTATTAGGCTCATTAGAAGATGTCACTGTTTAACTTCAAAGAACCAACAAGAAGTAATTCCACATTCAAACCAGTACTCCTGAAGAAATTAATCACCAAATATTTTATCGTTGCTGATGAAAGTGGGTTTTTACCTTTTTAAAGAAAAAGAAGAAGAAATAAAATAGCTTATTAAAATTTAATGCAATGCTTCCATCCAGGGCAATGATTTTTCAAACTATGTTCCATGAAACCCTGGAGGCCTAGAGAACTCTGTGTGTGTGTGTGTTTATGTGTGTGTGTGTATGTGTGTGTCTATGTGTGTGTCTGTATGTGTGTATAGGGTGTCTGTGTGCATGTGATATGTGGTGTGCCTGTATGTGGTATGATTTTGTGTAGGTGAGTAATGTGTGTGGCCATGGGTGGTATAGTGTGTATGTGGGTGTCATTGGGAGGGTATTGTGTGTGTGTGATATGGGATGAGCAGTGTGTGTGGAGTGTTGAGGAGTACTAATGTGTGTGTGTGACATGGGGATGAGCGTGTGTGTGTGTGAACACACATAAGTCTGCATGATAAAGGACTCCAAGCCTCCTACTTCTTCTTCAGTCAAAGCAGCTTCTTTGATCCATTTTATAGATTAGGAGTCAGGATAAATTTGTGTTTGCAAAAAGGGCTCTGCTGCTTATGAAAGGTAGTAGGAATATCTAGAGAGTTTATGTTGGTTTTAAAAACCACATTTCTTGGCCAGATGTGGTGGCTCACACCTGTAATTCCAGCACTTTGGGAGGCCGATTTGGGAGGATTGCTTGAGGCCAGGAGTTCAAGACCAACCTGGTCAACATAGTGAGACACCATCTCTACAAAAAATAAAAAAAATTAGCCAGGCATGGGAGTGCATGCCTATAGTCCCAGCTACTTTGGAGGCTGAGGCAGGAGGATTGCTTGAGCCTAGGAATCTGAGGTTACAGTTAGCTGTGACTGCACCACTACACTACAGCCTGGGTGAGAGAATGAGATCCCATCTCTAAAACATAAAACAAAAAACAATGCAAAACCATTTCTCAAAACATCCCTGGCATATTGCTGCACAAATGCATTTTACTTAACTGCCTCTGTGTTTAGGTCTCCCAAAGCATTTAATTGCCTCCCAAAGCATTTAACTGCCTCTGTGTTTAGGTCTCCTGGAAGTTGCTTCCACACATTGCCATAACACGTTTTATCACTCTTTATTGATTGATCATGTGTAGACGGATCCATCAATTCTCCACTTGGTAATAGAAGGAGGTGGATTGCTCACTCTGCTTCCACTGCCCCTGTTCCTCCTGGATTTGATAGTTGCCTGTTTAATTCTATTTTTTCTTTTTTTGAAATGGAGTCTCACTCTGTTGCCCAGGCTAGAGTGCAGTGGTGTTATCTCAGCTCACTACAGCCTCTGCATCCCGGATTCAAGCGATTCTCCTGCCTCAGCCTCCCAAGTAGCTGGGACTACAGGCACCCACCACACCCAGCTAAATTTTTTTTGCATTTTTAGTGGACACAGGGTTTCACCATGTCGGCCAGGCTGGTCTCAAACTCCTGACCTCAAGTGACCCACCCGCCTTGGCCTCCCAAAGTGCTGGGATTACAGGCATGAGTCACTGCACCCAGCCCTGCTTAATTCTTATATTGGTCACCTTTATGACGGTAAAGAGTACGTGGAACCACCTACTTGTTCTGTCCGCTTCAGACTCCCATTTTGTTAAATGAGGAAATTCACTCCATACTCCTCCTTCCTCTCCTGACAAGTTTCATCTTCCTAATTCAATCAGCCCCACTTTTACAAGGTGCTTGACATGATGAACATGTACATATCCTTCTTTAATCATTGAGGTCCTGCTTACATCTTACTCTTTAATCATCATTCAGTTTTTGTACTTAGTCTCTATGTTGATTCTAAAAAAATGGAGAAACCAGCAGCTTTGACATTGTTGTGATTACATGGAGATTGTTCACTGCTGAACCGCAAAGTAGGATTGAAGTCAAGGAGAAGGGAAGGTAGTCCTGGGTCATTTATCTGGCTCACACAAAGGAAAATATGACAGGCATCAAGGTTTCCATCATTCACCAACTATTTAAAATTAGGTGACACTTTAATTTCCTTCATATTTGGACCATGACTTATTTGAATAGATATTTGCTTTTCTCCACATTTCTAATTGATTCTCTTTTTTTCTTCCAAACATTTGCCTTGATGTCATTGCTGTATCTATTCTTTTTTTTTTAAGTATTTTTATTGTATCTTTAGTTTGGTTCCAAACAAATAGATGTAAAGTTTGGTACCTGCCTATGTACACTTGCCACTGCTAATGTTGAGGCTTATACTAGTCCGTTTTCACACTGCTATAAAGAATAGCAGTCTTCTGAGACTGTGTAATTTGTAAAGGAGGTTTAATTGACTCACATCTCCAAATGGCTGGGGAGACCCCAGGACACTTACAATCATGGCGGAGGACAAAGGAGAAGCAAAGGCACATCTTACACGGCAGCCCGTGAGAGAGAGAAAAGAGCACAAGGGGCTGCCAAACATTTTTAAAACCATCAATTCTCATAAGAACTCTTTCACTATCATGAGAACAGCGTGGGGGAAACTGCCCTCATGATCCAATCACTTCACATCAGGCCCCACTCTTGACACCTGGGGATTACAACTGGAGATGAGATTTGGGTGGGACACAGAGCCAAACCATATCAAGGCTCTTGTCAGCAACGTGGATATATCAAGCATGGCTGCAGCAAAGGCTACCCTGTGGGGAGCTAGGGCAAAATTATTGCACTCTTTCCAAGATGAAGCCATACAGATATTACCTTAAAAATGCCATTTTGTACTTTTATTTGCATATACATAGTTTATATTTAATATATACTTTGTACTTTAAGTTCAGGGGTACAAGTGCAGGTTTGTTATGTAGGTAAACTTGTGTCATGGGGGTTTGTTGTACAGATTATTTCACCACCCAGTTATTAAGCCTAGTACCTGCTAGTTGTTTTTCCTGACCCTCTCCCTCCTCCCACTCTCCTCCCTCCAAAAGGCCCCAGTGTCTGTTATTCCCCTCTATGTGTCCATGTGTTCTCATCATTTAGCTCCCACTTATGAGAATATGCAGCATTTGGTTTTCTGTTTCTGCCTTAGTTTGCTAAGGATAATGGCCTCCATCTCCATCCATGTCCCTGCGAAGGACATAATCTTGTTCTTTTTTATGGCTGCAGCCATATCTATTCTCTTAATTGTTACTGTCCCATTTCTTCTTGAAGAATCTTTCAAAGCCCCATGAGTTCCTACCCCCATCTTCCCTGGATGCTCTCAATGCCTACTGTACAGTTGTCTACATCAGACATCCCTTCGTTGCACTCTGAGACTGGCCATTGCCTCCTAGACCCCATGTCTTCCTCCCTTTCAGATTCCTTTTTCATTTTGCTGGAGTACATCTTCAAGTAACTTTTACATAAAAGCATGTGGGAGAATTACTGTCTGAGTCTGTGTTGTGTTTCTGTAACAGAATACCACAGATGGGGTAACTGATAAAGAAAGGAGATTTATTTCTTACAGTTCTAGAAACTGGAAAGTCCAAGATCAAGGGGCTGGTATCTTGTCAGGGCCTTCTTGCTACATCATCCCATGGTGGGAGGTGAAAGGGTAAGAGAGCGAGAGACAGCGAGAGAGGGCTGAACTCTTAAAACAAATCTCTCAAGATCATGAACCCTCTCCCTCTATAAAAGCATTAATCCATTCATGAGAGCAGAATTTCATAACCTAAACAATTTTAAAGGTCCCATCTCTCAGCACTGTTGCACTGGGGATTCAGTTTCCAACACAAGAACTTTGGGGGACACTTTCAAACCACAGCAATTATCATTCTGTGTCTTTACATGTCTGAAAAAAGTCTGCCTCACATGAGGCTCAAGATTGTCCTATGATTTTCATTCAATTATAGATGAACCATTGTTTTCTCTCTGCTCTTTGCTTTTTCAGTGCTTGAAAATTTCACAAGGATGTATCTCCTATTTCAAGCAAATGAAAATAGAAGTGTATAGAGAATACAAACTCAAGCAGCCATATCTTCACACATGTAGACATTTAATTCTTCTGGCTTTCAAAGGTCCCTTTATGCTGAAGACCTGAATCAGCTCTGTGAAATTTTCTTCTATCTCTTCTTTGAGTATTTCTTTCTTTATTATCTCTTTCCCTTCATCTGGATTTTCTATTAGTCAAGCAACTGCTGGTCCCCTTCTCCCAGATTGACCGTCCATTTTCGGTTTTTTATTTCTCTATCATTTTGCTGTATGTTTTTGGAAATCTCAACTTTTTCTTTAGCTTTTATACAATTTTTAAAGGTTTAGGCACTCATGCTTTTTATATTTAAGAAAGTGTTTTTGTTCCTTAACAATTTTATTTTCTTATTAGCCTATTTTCATCTCACAGATGCAATATCTAAGGATATGAATTAGATTTTTTGAAGTTATCTTCTGTTCCCTAGATTATCTCTATTTTCTCCCTGGTCAGCTGTTCTTTTTGTTCATTTTGGGTTTTTCTGTTATGCTGTTGATTTTCTCAAATGCTCTAGATCCTTGGCTGTCCATCACACTACAGAATGAGGGATAGAACTGCTTAATTGGTATGGAAACCCATTTTGCCAACAGGTTTTTCTCCTCCCTGGGAGGACTGCCCAGGAATTCCCTGCTTAGGAAGGAGAGTATCGCCTGAACCTCCTGCTTTGCTGAGTGCCGACTGGAGAGGGCTGGTGGGCTCTGGGCCTCCCTATTCTTTAGCAGACATCCTCCCAGTTTTTACTGGGAGTGAAGCCCAGGAATGCAGTTGCTTGCTCTGCACCCACCACAGTGGCAGCCTGGAGACCGGGAGGGGATGTGTGGCCTCCTGCTCTGTAGACCATCTTCCGGTCACCATGCCTTCTGCCCACCACATGCCCTCTTCTTTGTATCTTGGAAAATCTGGTCTCACCTCAAGAGCAACCTCCACATTACACATTTTGGGCTTTGGCTTCCTCTCCATAGTTTTAACTGGTCCTTCAATGCTTCCAGAAATTTGTTAAAAACTCTCTGGCCCGCCTCTTCTCCCTGAAATAGATTTTTCTTTTTCATACTCCTCTGCTGTCATTTAAATAGTATCTGGGGAGGGAGGGAAGACAGGAAACACATGCTCAGGCTGTAACCTGGAGCCAAAAGTCCTTCTCTGTCTCCCTACAGTGGGATATAAGGTCTCCAAAATCTTCTTTTAATAGTTGAAGCACTCAAGAAAGGATGTGCCTGTGAATCTATAGTCTATCTAGAATTCTTCATATAGTAGAAAACTTGTGGTAGGGAGGACATAAGAATTCCAACACAGTAAATCAATCTTAGGTCTGATTTGCTATATATTACTAGACAAAATTCTTCTATCTATATTTTCTGTTATTGAATGCAAAAAATAAAAGCTGCATGAGAGTATGATGTGGTTATCAGAAGCTAGGATGTGAGGGATTGGGAGATTTTGGTTTAAAAGTACAAAGTCTCAGTTAAGAAGAATAAATTCTGGAGACCTATTGTACAACATAGTGACTATAATTAATAATAATGTATAGTGCACTTGAAAATTGCTAAAAGAGTAGATTTTAAATGTTCTCATCACAAAAATGATAAGTATGTGAGGTGATGGATATGTTAATTAGCTTCATCGTTCCACAATGTATACATATATTTAAGCATCATGTATACCATAAATATATACAATTTGTCATTTGCTAATTAAAATAATTAATTAAAGTAAAAGCTTTGCAAAAAAAATTCTTCTTAAAACATGCTTTTAAACATAACGAAGAGGCCAGGCACAGTGGCTCACTCCTGTAATTCCAGCACTTTGGAAGGCTGAGGCGGGTGGATCACCTGAGGTCAGGAGTTTGAGACAAGCCTGGCCAACATGGTGAAACCCCGTCTCTACTAAAAATACAAAAATTACCCGGGTGTGATGTTGCATGCCTGTAATCCCAGCTACTTAGGAGGCTGAGGCAGGAGAATTGCTTGAACCTGGGAGCCGGAGGTTGCAGTGAGCTGAGATCATGCCACTGCACTCCAGCCTGGGTGACAGAACAAAACTCCGTCTCAAAAAACAAACAAATAAACAAACAAACAAAAAACATAATGAAGAGAGAGAAAAAGAGAGACGTTTGATATATACAGGTAACAAAAGGCAATTTATTTATTTATATTGAATCATAAAAACTTTGGACTAACAATTTTTGAAGGAAAATCATCACCAACATTCATCTCAAGAGCTTTTTTATCTTGCAAAATGGACACTCTATGCCCATCAAACAATAATTCCCCATCCTGCCCTCTCCTGTGACTGGCAACCACCATTCTACTTTCTGTTGCCATGAATATGACTACTGTCAGTACCTCCTATAAGTGGAGTCATGTAATATTTGTCCTTTTGTGACTGGCTTATTTCACTCAGAACAATGTCTCAAGGTTCATCCGTGTTGTAGCATTTGTCAGAATTTCCTTCCTTTTAAGGCTGAATAATATTCCATTATATGGATAGACCACATTTTGCTTATCCAAGCATCCATCAGTGGACACTTGGGTTGCTCCCATGTTTTAGAATAATGCTGCTATGAATGTAGGTGTACAAATACTTCTTTGAGACTTGCTTTCAGTTCTTTTGGGTATGCCAAGAAGTGAAACCATTGATCACACGGTAATCCTATTTTTAATTTTTTGAAGAATCACCAAACTCCTCCCACAGCAGTTGCACCATTTTACATTTCCACCCCCAGTGCACAGGGTTCCAGTTTGTCCTCATTTTCACAAACATTTGTCATTTTCTGTTGTTTAGATAATAGCCATCTTGGCTGGGCACAGTGGCTTACATGCCTGTAATCCCAGCACTTTGGGAGGCCAAGGCAGGTGGATCACCTGAGGTCAGGAATTGGAGACCAGCCTGGCCAACATGGCGAAACCCCGTCTCTACTAAAAATACAGAAAAAAAAAAAAAAAATGAGCCGGGAGTGGTGGCACACATCTGTAGTCCCAGCTACTGAGGAGGCTGAGGTAGGAGAATCACTTGAACCTGGGAGGCGGAGGTTGCAGTGAGCCAACATCGTGCCACTGCACTCCAGCCTGGGCAACAAGAGCAAAACTCCATCTCAAATAAAAGGAAAAAAAAAGATAATAGCCATCTTAATGGGTGTGAGATAATATCTCAGATGGTTTTGATTTGTATTTCCCTAATGATTAGTGATATTGAGCGTTTTTGTGTGTGTTTATTGGCCATTTGTGTATCTGCTTTGTAGAAATGTCTATTCAAGTCTCTTGCCTATTTTTGAATCAGGTTGGGTTTTCTTGTTGTTGAATTTTAGGAGTTCTCTATATATTCTGGCTATGAACCCCTTATCATATACATGATGTACAAATATATTCTCCTATTCTGTGGCTACCTTTACTCTGTTAATGGTATTTTTTGCTGCACAAAACTTTTAAATTTTCATAAAGTCCATCGGATTTGTTATTAATAATTTTTCCGTTTGTGCCTGTGCCTTTGGTGTCATATTCAAGAATTGAATTCCCAAATCCAATATAGTGATATTTTTGCCCTATGTTTTCTTCTAAGCATTTTAGTTTAATTAATTAATTAGTTTTTGAGATTGAGTTTCACTCTTGTCACCCAGGCTGGAGTGCAACGGCACGATCTCAGCTCACTGCAACCTCTTCCTCCTGGGTTCAAGGAATTCTCCTGCCTCAGCCTCCTAAGTAGCTGGGATTACAGGCACCCACCACCATGTCCAGCTAATTATTGTATTTTTAGTAGAGATGGGATTTTACCATGTTGGCCAGGCTGGTCTCAAATTCCTGGCCTCAGGTGATCCATCTGCCTCGGCCTCCCAAAGTGCTGGGATTACAGACATGAACTACCGTGCCCAGCAGCATTTTATATTAGTAGTTTTCGATTTTATGTTCAGGTCTTTGATTCATTTTGAGTTAATATTTGTATATGGTGTAAGGTAAGGGTCCAACTCCAGTCTTTTGCATGTGGATATCCAGTTTTCCCAGCACCATTTGTTGGATGCGGTGTCACTCTGTCACTCAGGACCATAACGGTTTTATCTGCATGAGGAGTCAGCCAAGACACTTTTTCATCCATATTTGTATGTTGACCAGGAACTATATAAATGCACACCTCCCCTGACATAAGCTCTGCCTCAGCCCTACTTAAGGGTTTTAAGCAGGAGAGTTACTTGCTTCCATTTTTATATTTAAAGGTCACTCTGGAGTTACTGTGGAAAATGCACTGGGTGGGTACCATGGCAGGTGTGCAGAGTCCTGTTAATAGGCCTTTGAAATAATTCAGGCCTTGGACTAGAGCAGAGGCAAAGAAGAAGGCAAGAATCAGAATTAAGCAAAATTTAGCATTAAACATGGCTGCACATAGGGGTAGATGAATCATTGAGGGCACTGGAGGGACTGAGATGTCACAATGCTCCCCAGTTCTCTGGTTTGCACAACTTGCAAGCTGTGGTAACATTTCCCTGAGATAAGGGACCCTGGAAGAGGACTGGGTCGGAGGGTAGGTCCTGAGAGTGGTTTGGGGCATAAGGAGCTGCATGTCTTTGAGACATGCAAGCAGGATGCTGAGCAGGCAACAGGAGCTCTGGGGAGAGAGGTGGGCCGCAGCCAGAAAGGAGAAGTTGTATGCCAATCAGTGGTGACTGGTGGTGTGGGGGTCAATGAGGTCGTCAAGGAAGAGAGTAGAGTGGAAAGGTAGAAGGCTGAGGACAGAGCCCAGAGGAACCTTGACATTTAAAGCTGCACTGAGAAGTAGTGGCCAGACAGGGAAGAGGAAAGCTGGGAGCTTGTGATGCCCAAGAAGCCAAGGGAAGAGACTCTAGGAGGAAGCAGGCAGTGGAGTCAGATGTGCTGAGAACCCAGCATGAAATGCCCATGAGGCAGGCACCAGCACAGTTCTCAGCAACTAAACCCACAGCCCAGGACAGATGGAAGAAGCAGCAGGGTGCGTGCAGGAGAGATAGGAAGAGAGGAAATGGAGGCTCCTCAGGTAGGCAACCCACCAGGAGCGTTTGGTAAGAGGAGCGGGTGGGTCTGGCAAGAGAGGACGCCAGCTGGAGGGTCCGGTTGTTTAGGTGCTGGCTCTGTGTCTGCACCAGGACACACTCCCACATTCTCCACCAGACCAGGAGACAAGGCCACGGGGCCAGGCCTACTTCTGCTGTCCCTCCTGTTCTCTGGAGTAGAGCACACACTCCCCTTGATGAATGAGTCTGTCACCGCATTGCATGCATTTCAGTGACATGCGGAGAGCTTCTTTACCCGCCGATAAGCTCCAGTTTACGTTTACATCCAGGCAGGCATCCTCAGTTCTATCCATTGTCTTGTACCCCCTTCACAATCACTTTTTCCCATCATTAAACAACTATGGACACATGTCTTTGGTGCCTTTGAACTCTCCTTTCAGCATCCTTTCCTCCATGCAAAAGCACACATGGATCAAAATGTCAGCCACTTTAAGTATGCAAAGCCGCTGCATCAAGTCAAGTGTGTGTTTGTGCACACGAGTAACAGTGGTTCCCAGTATCAGAGCCTTCTTCAGACAGCCAGGCCTGCGACGACTGAGTATGTAGGTGTATGGGATGGAGTCCGTGTGCACCTGTACATATGTGTGGGCATATGTGTGCACTGTGTGGGTGTGCACATGTACATTGTGTGCATGTGTGGTGTGCATGTGTGCACATACAGAGGTGGGAGGGTCAATGAGCTGGTCTGGGGACAAGAAAGAGCCTTAGTACCATTTCCCAACTCTGATTGCTGTGGACTGCAGCCCCTGGGAAGCCTGGCACCCCCGACGGACAGCAAAGCCACAGAGAAGGAGAAGAAGCCACCCATGGCCACCACCAAGGGAGGAAGAGGAAAAGGGAAAGGCAAGAAGAAAGGGAAAGTGAAAGAGGAAGTGGAGGAAGAAACTGACCCCCGGAAGATAGAGCTGCTGAACTGGGTATGTGGAAGGTCACAGAGATCACGAGCTTGGCATCACCCTTCCCCAGGGGAAGGGATGGTTCTTGTCCTTGCTTCAGTCCCACCCAGGGCCCTGATCCCAGGAGGGACGGGTAAAGGCTTGACTGGGTAGTGTCAGCATTTCAAACTACAACAGCACATTCGCTGCAATGAGCCTGTCGGTTGTCCAAAACACCAAACGTTCCTGCTTTGGGGGGAATGATGCCACCCACAGAGGGGCCCTGAGTCATCCTGTTCAGCAATGGTTCTGTACCTGGCAGACATGCCAATGCTTGATGCATGAATATACAGCAGACAAATCAGTTGTCACCAAATAAATGCAATTCATGAAAAAGCCCTTTTTTGACAGACAGAGCCCATGATTGGGTGTGTGGGGTAACAGCAGTTTAGGTGGGGAGGCTGGAGCCACACATCGCATGGCAGTTCTTGGTCTTGCTGCCACCAGGACACAGGCAAGACAGGGGACCAGGCCTCTGTGGTGACGTGTGCCTGCCCTTATCACAGTCACTCACCCACACGGCACCCTGGTCATGCTGCCTGCCCATGCAGCTCCTCCTGGCACAACTTCTCAGTCAAGGAAACAAATGGTGGAGACTGGGCAGGCCAATGCCAGGAGGGCTGAGATTTTGAATCCTCTTCAATCTATTTTTAAAAGGAAACAATAATTTACAGACATGGATGGAACATGTAGAGGCCAAACTGAGAAGAAAGGAGAGGGGAGATGGGGAGTGTTTACCCAAGATAAAGAGCAAAGAGTACCATGCTGGAGTGCTCTGGAATCTGGCGTTCGGAATACCCTTTCCTCTGTGTTTCCAGTCGCCCCCCTCCCCTGTGTCTCTGAGAGGCCACTCACAGGCTCCCGGCCCTTGGTCCCTGCAGGTGAATGCTTTGGAGCAAGCGATGCTAGATGCTTTAGTCTTAGATCGTGTCGACTTTGTGAAGCTCCTGATTGAAAACGGAGTGAACATGCAACACTTTCTGACCATTCCGAGGCTGGAGGAGCTTTATAACACAGTGAGTGCTCTAGAAAAAGGGAAGGAAGCGGGAGGCAGCCACCTAAATGTGTTTGTCACTGATGCATATTGTGCATAAATGTGCTCATCTGACCTCCTTCAGCTGGGAGGTCCGTATTTAATGGCAGGCGGCTACTTCTCACCTGCTGCTGGCCACAGCCTGTGTTCATATTCTCACCACCTCCTGCCATGCCTCGCCAGTCACTCCTTTCTCGGGCAGTATTAACTCTTGTCCCGCATTTAAGGGTGGTGTGTGAGTACTTGTTGCTACAAAGAGGGAATCTAGCTCCCCAAGCCATTAGCAGAGTGAAATGTCACCAAGGGTGAGAAGTCAATTGTTCCTTGGGACCCTCACATTTGATGAGGCTTTGGGGTAAAACATAGAGCTAAGTTTCACACCCAGGAGCTCTGCTGGAAGGGTTTGAATGAAATTCCCTTGGCTTATATTATTACAATATAAGTTTTGAGAATTTACATTTCCTTCCCTATTGTAAGATTTTAAGTAGCAGAAATGATCCTCAGCAGCTGCTTGCTAAAACTTGGTGAATTTTTTTTTGTTTGTTCTGAGACAGAGTCTCTCTTGTTGCCCAGGCTGGGGTGCAGTGACATGATCTCAGCTCACTGCAGCCTCAACCTCCTAGGCTCAAGCCATCCTCCGATCCCAGCCTCCTGAGTATCTGGGACTACAGGTGCACACCACCACACCCAGCTAATTTTTAAAAATTTTGTAGAGACAGGGTTTCGACATGTTGCCCAGGTTGGTCTCGAACTCCTAGCCTCAAGTGATCCACCTCCCTTGGCCTCCCAAAGTGCTGGGATAATAGGCTCAAATATACTAATTTGAGCCACTGATTCTGGCCAACTTGATGAATTATTAACACTATATTGTGCACCTTAAGATACTCTTTTAAAAAAATGCAACAGAAAGTATTTCACAACTTTTGAAATGTGTTGGATACTTTCTAACCATGACCAGCTCTGTTTTGTAAAAGAAAAAGGCTGGTGTGGGTTACACTCCAGCTCTCACAATTCATTAATTATATAGAGTAGGGCAGGATTTTGCTCGAAGAGTTCAAGAAAAAAACTTATTTATTTATTTATTTATTTATTCATTCTTAGACGAGGTCTCACTTTATCACCTAGGCTGGAGTATAGTGGTGCAATCTTAGCTCACTGCAGCTGCCTCCCCGGTTCAAGTGATCCTCCAACCTCAGCCTCCCTAGTAGCTAGGATTACAGGTGCCCACCACCACGCCCAGCTAATTTTTGTATTTTTAGTAGAGATGGGGTTTCACCATGTTGGCCAGGCTGGCCTCAAACTACTGACCTCAAGTGATCTGCCTGCCTTGGCCTCCCAAAGTGCTGGGACTACAGGCGTGAGCCACCGCGCCTGGCCAAGAAAAACATATTTAACACACATGAATGCTTCTCTTTCAGAGACTGGGTCCACCAAACACACTTCATCTGCTGGTGAGGGATGTGAAAAAGGTCAGTCTACTGTTTTACAATTCTTACCTGTTGGCATCTTTCACAAAATCATTTCTTAAGAGCAAGTTTTAAATTTTCAAAATGTATTATTATTCCAGGCACAGGAGATAATGAATTCCTTCTTTCGTAAAGAGTCTATTTAAAACTAAGAAAGCAAAGGATAATCTTTTTTAAGTTGCATGTTCATCCAAATCCATGATAGGGACACTGTCAGTGACAGCCGGATTATAGGTTGACGCCAGCGCCAGGCCAGGGCGGCCACTGGGTGGGGTTGGGGAAGGGGGTGGCCTGGCTGCTGACCTGAGCCCCGCTGTCTGTCCATGCAGCCTCTCGTTCTGTCCCTCCTTTGAGATCTCTCACCCACTGCCTGTGGCTCTTTCCAGAAGCACCGGCAGGAGGTTCCTCAAGTCATTCTGTGCCCTGTTGATTGCAGCTGCTGTTCTTGGCCCTTTCTGCCACCTTGTTATCAAGGGATAGATGCTTTCCCCAGCCTGAATATTGTTTAATCCCCCACCCACCCACCTGTTACATGAACTCCCAAGTGGGGGCCAGGACAGCCACTTACCCCCTAGACGTGTGATGAAGTCCACACTGCGAACGCATTCTCACAGGGCCTGAGACCAGACTTCTTTTACAGAGCAACCTTCCGCCTGATTACCACATCAGCCTCATAGACATCGGGCTCGTGCTGGAGTACCTCATGGGAGGAGCCTACCGCTGCAACTACACTCGGAAAAACTTTCGGACCCTTTACAACAACTTGTTTGGACCAAAGAGGGTAGAACTCAGTGCCTGTGTAGTGTTCTGTGGTTCGCGAGTACCATGTGGTTCCTCGCTTGCTTTTCAACAACTTGGCCGGTTCAGAGCCAAGCCCTTCGCCCTGTCCCCAGCACAGCTGTCCTGCCTCCTACAGTGCTCTCAGGCCAGAGCCACGGCATTCGCCAGCTCCCCTGAGCACGGGCCGCCCCGCCCATCCATTGCATTTGCCCTCCTTTTCTATCCACAGCAGACTTCCTCCTGGGCTCCGGGGCTACTGTCTGCCCGCTCCAGCCTATTCTACTATCCCACCACTGTACCTGCCATAATCTTCCAAAGCAAGGGACATGCCTGCATTCCCTGCTTCAAGCCTCCCAGAGCTCCTCACTGCCTGGAGAATCGTATCCAAACTCATTATCACAGCAGCCAAGGCCCTCCACCAGCTGGCCCTCACCCACATGGGAGACCACATACCTGCACCAAAATCAAATCCTGTGATCAAATCAAAGACGTGTACCTGCCACGTCTTTCCCCACTATCAGTGCCTTTCCCACCCTTATCAAAAGTCCAACTCAAATGTCTGATCTTTCATGATGCCCTCCTCTCACACCCACCTTACAGCCCCACAGCTCTCTACATGTCTATTAGGGAACTTCTCGGTTTCTACCTGGAATAAGGGCCACGCGTCTGCTGAGCTTTCTTCTCAATTAACTTCTGCTGACAGAAGAAGAGTTTCTATATTAAAGCACTTCTTTTCCTTGGATATTATCATTAATTGTTAATGATACAAAGTGCTTTTTAATCCATTCGTATGTCCACTATCAACAATACTGCTAATGTACTACTAACATTAGTTATCTAAGTAAATTGATTTTTTTTCTTCCTCTTTCACCATGCAGCCTAAAGCTCTTAAACTTCTGGGAATGGAAGTAAGTAGAACTTGTTTTCAACAGTTTTATAATATCCTGGTCAAATATACATAGCCCTTTTAAGTTCTGTATTTGCGAATATACGATACTACTCACCAAAATTTACCTAGATGTCTTAGTCAAATTATATAAAAGGACCATATATACATTTTCTTTAATGGGGATAAAAGCTGCACAATCCATTTCTAGAACTAACAAAACCACAGTTTCAAAAGCAAAGATTAAGCAAACAAAAAAACTAGAGAGGAACACCACTTACGTATGCAAAAACCATAAGTAAAAAACCAAAAATAACACCAAAAAGAATTCAATAGACTATTTTCATAGTCCTAAATCAAAGTAGAGTCCTCCAAGAATGCAAATACAATGCAGTGTTAGTCTTTAATATATTGCATCATATCTATGACCATCTCTCAGCAGGTGCTAATGAAGAATTTGAAACACATGTAAAACATATGCCTTACTTTGTTAAAAAATATATAGTTTTCTCAAAATAGAATGATAAAATACTTTCTTGGAATGATTAAAATACACGTATATCTTAGAGCAAGGGAAACGTATGATGAGCAGTGCATCCCTGAAGTCATGTCCATGAGAATCAAGAACAAGACAAGCATGCCCAATATCATTGGCGTCATCTACTGTTTTATAATTCTTACCTATTGGCATCTTTCACTAGTCTCCAAAAGTGTTCTGGAAATTGAACCACAAGGAAAAATAAATGCTAAAAAAAGAATACCCAAGAAAGGGAGAAATTATTATCAGCAAAAAAATTTGGGGGGAGTTAGAAAATCCAGGAAAATCAACTAAAGTTCCCTCACAATAGGACAAAAGTACCAGAAATTACCTTTACTAGCAACCGTAAGAACAATGTCCCAGACCTAAAAATATTTAAATGAATGGAAGAAATGCCATATTGTGGAATATTAGGATTGACTCTTGGAAACATTCTTTTTAAATAAATTTATGAGCTAAACAGCATCCCGATTCTTCATGGATTCAGTGTAGACGGCTTTCATTCTGTGTTGACAATTAAGACTGTCCTTTAACACGGTGCTCCTGGAAGGGTTATGAGCTTTCTGTGATCTCCTGTTCTCTCAAACTCTCCAGGTCAGGGTTTATTTATTCCATGAAGGTTTGGTGGACTCACCTGTAAAATTTCCGGGTCCAGTCCTATTTCTTAGAAGTGTGTATTTCATAATACTACTTCATAATAGCCATTATAAATATAAGTACATTTCAGGCTTTTTATTTTCTAGAGTCAACTTTGGTCATTTATAGTTTCCTAAAATGACTTATTTCATCTAGACTTTCAAGTTCCCTGGAATAAACTTTTACATAGTATTCTAGTTTTTTTCAGTCTCCTCAGTATCTTCAGTTGTGTGTCATTTCTTGTGCCAATTTTTTTTTTTTTTTTTTTTTTGAGTAGGAGTCTCACTCTGTCACCCAGGCTGGAGTGCAATGGTGCAATCTCGGCTCACTGCAACCTTAGCCTCCCAGGTTCAAGCAATTCTCCTGTCTCAGCCTCCCAAGTAGCTGGGACTGCAGGTGCATGCCACCATACCAGGCTAATTTTTGCATTTTTAGTAGAGATGGGGCTTCACCATATTGGTCAGGCTGGTCTCAAACTTCTGATCTCAGATTCTCAGGTGATCCACCCATCTTGGCCTCCCAAAGTGCTGGAATTACAGGCACGAGCCACCACGCCCAGCCTCTTGTGCCATTTTTAAACAAAATTTATATCTCCTATTTTCTTAAACTTTCTTTCCTACATATTTTATTGGTATTTTTGCTTTATCAAGCAACTTCCTTTTTCTGTTTCTATTTTATTAATGTCTGCTTTTATTTGTATTTGTTTCTTCCATATACTTTCCCTACTGTTATTGCATTGTTCGTGCTAACTCAGTTTGAAAGGAAAATTCACTCATTTTCCATCTTCACTGTATTCCTATAAATGCATTAAAGGTATAAATTGTTCTGAGCATTGTTTCATGGTATTCCACAGGTTTGGATAAGTAGAACCTTCATTGTCGTTTTTTCTAAGGCATTTATTATTTCCTTTTCAATCCAAGAGTTATTTAGAAGTGTATTTCAAATTTCCCAGATACAGACTTTTGTTGTTGTCATACTACTGTTATTGATTTCAAAGTTTATTCCTTGTATAGAAATATCCTGTAATTTTTTTTCAAATTCATTGCTAAGTAAGGTGTGTTACTTACTCAACTATGGTAATATGTCAATTTTTCCTTACACTCCCAGTTCAGATCCTTTGTTATTTTATTGGTTTTTTTCCCTTTTCCTCATTGATTTGTGACAGGCCTTTGCATTTTAGGAAAATTAACTCTTTGTTTCTCATATTCTCTCTCTGGCAGTTTTTAAAGAGAATTTACATGCAATTAATATTTTAATAATATTAGATGTTATTGAAAGGTAGGCTTAAAAGGACTTCTGTTTTATAACATTTCATTAGTCATTAGTTAATTTTTATTTTATCTTATATATTCTTGAAAATCTATGTTTATCTAAACATTTCTACGATGTTCATTTTTAACCTGTGTAGATGAACCTTTCCCATATCACTGCGACTGTAGCTTCACTGTGACAAAATTAGAAAATTAGAACAAAGATATTTAAATTGGAGTCAAGATACTATATTTTCCATTAAAATGTTATCACAGCTCATTATGATATTATAAAAATTGGGTCAGTCGTGGCCGGGCCTGGTGGCTCATGGCTACAATCCCAGCACTTTGGGAGGCCGAGGCGGGAGGACCACGAGGTCAGGAGATCGAGACCATCCTGGCTAACACGGTGAAACCCCGTCTCTACTAAACATACAAAAAATTAGCCGGGCGTGGTGGCGGGCACCTGTAGTCCCAGCTACTCCAGAGGTGAGGCAGGAGAATGGCATGAACCCGGGAGGCAGAGCTTGCAGTGAGCCGAGATGGTGCCACTGCACTCCAGCCTGGGCGACACAGTGAGACTCCGTCTCAAAAACAAAACAAAACAAAACAAATTGGGTCAGTAGTGAACAACCTGAGATAGGAATTGGAGAGCCAGGATACCTCCTATAACTCCCCATGCTCCAGACCACTCCAACTCTGTGAATGTGGCTGAGTTATTCAGACTGAGCCACAGCTTCCTAATCTGAGGGAATGGAAGGAATTCACAACCTCTCAGAGTCCTTGTAAGAATAAAAGAAGATAACTGATGGGAACGCTGTTTGCAAAAGAACAAACATCTGTTTCTGTTATTCCATTGAATACTAAAGTATTAGCCTGGAGTAGTCTGAGACCCACATATTTCATGCCAATTTTCCCAATCACGATCTGCCTTTCTTATGAATCCTGATCCATTCACAGAACAGTTCTCATAACCCCTTTAGGAAATGGGAAAGATTGGCCTTCCTTTTTGCACCATATGGGGAAAAGGACAGTGCTCACTAAAAGAGGAATGTTTGCTTTCTTAAAACACTGGAGGGAAACCTAAAACATTTTTCTCTAGCCCCTTTTGCATGTTTCCTGTTAATTTCTGGTTCAGCTACGTCTGGCAAACGAGTGTTATTTTTGCTACATTTGAAGACCTCCCTGAGGAAATAAACTGTAGACCTTCCCTCTTCCATGATGTTATTTGTGTTTAGTTTTGGGGGAGGTTTTGCTTGTTTGTTTTAGTTTTGCAGCGTCGCCTCAGTTAAAGGCTTCTAAGTAAAACTGCTGACCCAGGGGTGCAAGTTATCCAAACAGTATGCCTTCTCAGTTCATTTGGTTTTAGATAGTTTACTTATCATAATAAACGTGTGCATCTTTTCAAAAGAATTCATATGCGGAGTGGAAATGTAAGATGTACTTCAGAAGTCTCTTTATTACCTCTGACAGAAAGGGTTCCCTTTCTCCAGGAGTTCTGGAACTCTTTGTTGCATACTTTTATGGCAAAACCATGAAATCCATGTTTCTCCCCTCAGGATGATGAGCCTCCAGCTAAAGGGAAGAAAAAGAAAAAGAAGAAAAAGGAGGAAGAGATCGACATTGATGTGGACGACCCTGCCGTGAGTCGGTTCCAGTATCCCTTCCACGAGCTGATGGTGTGGGCAGTGCTGATGAAACGCCAGAAAATGGCAGTGTTCCTCTGGCAGCGAGGGGAAGAGAGCATGGCCAAGGCCCTGGTGGCCTGCAAGCTCTACAAGGCCATGGCCCACGAGTCCTCCGAGAGTGATCTGGTGGATGACATCTCCCAGGACTTGGATAACAATTCCAAGTTAGTGTCTAGCGGGGATTTAAAGGCCAGGAGAGATGACCATCCTGAGTACTTGTCTCTGCAGGGAGGGGTGGCCAATGTACTTCTCACTTAAGGACAATGGTGGTTAAAGCTTGTTCACAAATCACTTCGTCTGTCATGTCAGCATTTTTCTTTCTGTCTCTCAGAGGTGTTTTTGGACTGTCGTTGTTTTCGTGTACTGCCTTCTCTTTGCATCAAAATTGAAACACAATTTTTTTCCTTTCCTTGAAACACAATTTTAATGCAAAGATGGTGAAATTAATTTCCATAGGGAAACACACACTAACAAGGAATACAACATTAATGAGCCTGTGCCCTGGACTGTGACCTGGACTGTGACCTTCACAGGTGTTTCTGATTTTGCTCCATGCTTAGGTGGGACAGGATGGCTAGAGGGGGCTGGAGTTGGGCGTGCTTCCCCTGGGTCAGTCAGGCTCTGATCAAACCAGCAGGTGAGGCTCTGGTAAAATTGGTTCTCCTGGCCGGGCACGGTGGCTCATGCCTGTAATCCCAGCACTTTGGGAGGCCGAGGTGGGCGGATCACAAGGTCAGGAGATCGAGACCATCCTGGCTAACATGGTGAAACCCCGTCTCTACTAAAATATATTTTAGCCCGGCGTAGTGGCGGGCGCCTGTAGTCCCAGCTACTCGGGAGGCTGAGGCAGGAGAAAGGCGTGGACCCAGGAAGTGGAGCTTGCAGTGAGCCGAGATTGCCCCACTGCACTCCAGCCTGGGTGATAGAGTGAGACTCCATCTCAAAAAAAAAAAAAGTTGAAGGAACTTGGAACGTTTATGGTTATTGCCAAATATTTCAATCTGGATCATGTGGGGAAGGCAGTAAACTTTATGCTCAAAATTCAGCTTGTGCCACCTTCTCCATGCCCCCCAACTTCTATCACTGTCCCCATCAGTCATTAGACGCCCTCTGGCCTGGGCCCTATGACAACTATGCCTCATCCCTGTCATAGCACTGAGAATGTTGGCTTCTCTGTAATCACTGTGATGGTGAAGTGTTACACGGGCAGAGAAAGGCATACATCCGAAATGTCCAGCTGGTGACAGTCCACAGGTGGGACATGCCGGCACCACCAGCACCCAGATCAACTAAGAACCTAGCCGGCACCCACCAGCCCTCCTGTGACTCCTTTCAGTGTCCACCTCCCGCCACCACCACCACCAGCAGCCCCGCTACTGTGGCCTCCAACTCCACAGGTGCTGCATTTGAAGTCACTTTTGCTGTCTTTTCTATCTGCCTCCCTGATCTGTGCACAACTTGAGGGAAGGGACTTTGTCTTCTCGTCTCTATGTCCCTGGCGTCTGAGGGGCAGATGTGGTCTCAACCTACAGCTCCATTTGCAGCAGTAGCAGTCAGCCCACCTCCTGACTGAGCTCCCAGCCACTGTCCCTGGCCTTCCCCCTTTGGGGACACATCCCTGGAGCTTCTTGCTTGCAGAGAACCTCAGAGCCCCTCCAGTGAAGGATACTGTGTCCCGTGGCTCCATAAGTCCTTGGTGGATATGCCTGTCTAAGAAACAGCTTGCGGCCACTGTGGCTTCACCCTGGTCCCTTCTCTTTCCCCCCAGAGACTTCGGCCAGCTTGCTTTGGAGTTATTAGACCAGTCCTATAAGCATGACGAGCAGATCGCTATGAAACTCCTGACCTACGAGCTGAAAAACTGGAGCAACTCGACCTGCCTCAAACTGGCCGTGGCAGCCAAACACCGGGACTTCATTGCTCACACCTGCAGCCAGATGCTGCTGACCGATATGTGGATGGGAAGACTGCGGATGCGGAAGAACCCCGGCCTGAAGGTGCGTGCAACGTGCTGCGAGGCGGGCCAGGGTGACAGTGACAAGTGACTCTCTGCCAGGCTGAACTGAGCACTTTCTGTGGCTTATTTCATTTATTCCTTCTAGCAACCCCCTGAGGGAGACGCCATGACAATCATTGTCTTATAGATGAGGAATCTGAAGCTTTGAGATGAAGTGACATGCCTAGGATCTTAGCTGGTCAGCATGGGATCAGAACCTACACTCAGGTGCTCTAACTCCAGAGCCCCACCTGACCAGCCCACCAGGCTGCACAAACCCCTGCCACAGTCAGAGTCTCCTAATGGAGCCCCCCATAACTCAGTATGCACACGCACCCTGGTTGGGTCGTCTACCCACCATTAAAGGAGGGACTGGAACTCTGTTTCTAGATTCCCTTATAACTCTGAAATTGTGTATTATTTTAACTAGTGATGTTTTCATGACATGGGAGAAAATTACAAGAAAATAGGAAGCTACGAAAGGGTTTGAAAAAGATATAGTGGGGGAAAAATTATATTGCAATCAAACCCTAGCTCTTGGGTTTACTGCTGTTAACTACTAGGTTATCTTGAGAAGAGATTCTAATCTGCAGATAACCTAGCAATCTAATGGCAGTATTATATCTATTTTAGAGCTCTCCATGAGGATAAAGAAAAGACTATACGAGTTACACTGTGTAGTATGGTTCTGGCAAATAGAGGGCACTTTGTTTCTTAGAAATGTGAATGTTATGCTTAACTGTCTAATTCTATATAATATGCTAAGCTGATGTTATACATAACTTAGGATATTAATAAACAGTTTTCAGAATTCCAAGAATAAAGAGCTCTTTAAGGTTTTCAGGAAACTAAAGTAGATCGCCTACATGGGGATGAACATCAAATTGGCATCAGACTTTTCATCAACAACACTGAAACCCAGAAGGCAGCACTGGAGTAAGGCCTTCACGGTTCTGAAGGGAAGGCATTTGGAGCCTGGAATATTTTCTACCCAGGCCAACTATTCAAAAAGCATGAGAAAAGAATATCTGTTTAAGACAGGCAAAGACTCAAACTATACACCTTCAACCTCCCATGCAGAAGAATTAGTTTAGCAGGTAGTCCAAGCAAAAAAAAAAAAAAAAAAAGGGGAAGCATGTTTTCTATCTATGAGCCTGGGCATCCGGGCATCCTTTTGTTGTCTAGGCCGAGCCCATGTTAGTCCTTCTTTTCTGAGTCACATTAGCCTTGCAACTCTTAGTTCACATAATCTCATTTATATCAAAGTTATTTCTATATAAAATACTTTTGGCCTACTTCACTAGAGGTATTATATTTTATTTATATTATTCTATTTTAATTTAAAGATTTGCCTTCCTCAAAATTTCATGTAAGGACTTTTATTTTATTTTATTTTATTTTATTTTTGAGACAGGGTCTTGCTCTGTCACCCAGGCTGGAGTGCAGTGGCGCGATCTCGCCTCACTGCAAGCTCCGCCTCCTGGGTTCAAGTGATTCTTGTGCCTCAGCCTCCCAAGTAGCTGGTATTACAGACGTGCACCACCATGCCCAGTTAATTTTTGTATTTTAGTAGAGATGGGGTTTCACCATGTTGGCCAGGCTGGTCTCAAACTCCTGGCCTCATATGAGCCACCAACCTTGGCCTCCCAAAAGTGCTGGGATTACAGGTGTGAGCTACCATGCCAGCCAAGACTTTTCTTTTTAAAGTTAGGATCACCAACAGTGCTGTTTGCCATTCATCTAAAAAATTTAGTGTATGTTCTTAAATTGTTTTACTGCCTGCAATTCTACTAATTTACCAAGCACATGTCACAGAACGTCAGACCAGGGATAACATTCCAGGGCTCCTAGGTTATTGAATAATGTTGAAGGTCATAATTTAAAAATTTTAACTATGCTGGGACATTTTTCTAGAATTGCCACAGCTTAAAAAATCAATTTATGTTCCGTAGGTTATCATGGGGATTCTTCTACCCCCCACCATCTTGTTTTTGGAATTTCGCACATATGATGATTTCTCGTATCAAACATCCAAGGAAAACGAGGATGGCAAAGAAAAAGAAGAGGAAAATACGGTCAGTGACACACTTGACCCTAAGCATATCAGTGTAATCTTGTTTTCAAAATTGTTGAGATTTCTTGTACCACAGATTGAGAAATCTCACTGGTTAAAGGTATTTTTGGAATTGTGTTTTTCTAATGGTGCCTGTGTGCCGGAGTGCCTTGCATTTCCCATTTAGCCACCTGCCTGTCATGTGCTGTGCTCTGTTTTCCAGGATGCAAATGCAGATGCTGGCTCAAGAAAGGGGGATGAGGAGAACGAGCACAAAAAACAGAGAAGTATTCCCATCGGAACAAAGATCTGTGAATTCTATAACGCGCCCATTGTCAAGTTCTGGTTTTACACAGTGAGGCCTCCTCCTGAACATTTGACATTCAGTATATTTTGAATGCTTTGATATGTTGGAATCAAGAAAAACTTCAAGGGCTTAAAAAAGTATCTAAAAATTCACTGAATTAAAATGAATTATGAGAACAAAACTGGGACTAATTGAGATCTCTGGCTAACATTGGATCTCGATATCCTGTCATATATTGATATATGGCCATCCTAGTCCCAAATACACCATCTCATAAGGCAAAATAGTCACATGCTATTTGCTTAAGATGAATTCTTCTGATGCCTTTAGCAATACAAACTTAAGGAACTATAATTTTATTTTTAAATGAACAGAGATGACTAGTGATTTAAAGAGCAAATTCACAGATTCCATTTTTCATGAAATTGGTGGGGTCATTACAAGGGCATGGCTAAATCCAGATGGTAAACTCTTGGAATAGGGAAACAAATCAAGGCGTCTCATTCTGAAGTGCTCACCAAACTGACCCGCTTGGCTGGCAAGCCATCCTCCAGCCCTCTCTGAGGCCCTGGGTCTACACAGCTCCCAGAGTGTGGCTCTCTGCTAACAAGAACAGGAGAGGAGGCAGGAGGGCAGATCAGAGCGCCTCTGGGGGAAATGGCCGAGCTGCAGGCGGTCCCAGCGGGGGTGGCCAGGCACACTGTGGCTTGTGCAACCACGTCAGTCGGGAGGAGAGAGACTTCTCATGAAATCCCAAGCATCAAGCCACAGCCCCCGCCAGGCAGGCCTCGGTGCTGTGGTTGCACTGGTGATGAGGTGGGAGCAGGGTATGGGACATGAGGAGCTGGGTCCCTGGCCGTGGTCTGGGCGATGAATGAGGGTGGGCTGGGGGCAGAGCAAAGCTCTGTGTGGGGGCCCACCTCAAGGGTCAGCTGAGGGCCTGGACACCCAACCTTGTGGCAGCCAAGATTGATGATACAGTCGAAGTCACTGCTGCCCATCGATTCTGGTTAGAACCATCTGAGGGCCTGGGGTGCACCCAGCCTGCAGGAGAGCCCAGCCATAGAGGCTGCTGCCGGAGATGGGGCCAGGAAGCCATCGAGGCCTCTCAGCCTTGGGTCTCACCCCAGACCCTCTGGATCGGGTGGAGGGTGGAGTCATCACACATTGTGCAGCTTCGCAGGGATTAGGATGCAGCCCAAAGTCTGAGAACATGGCTCTAATCTTTCTTCAAAGAGTGGATAGTGGATCTTGGGGTGGGGCCTGCCTCTCTCCTGGTAAAGCTTATAGGCTTGGGAGGCAGGATCTTGAAAAAAAAGAAAAAAAAACCAAACTGCCCAGTTACAAATACTCAGTTTTTAGCACCCCTCCCCCAAGCCTTCCACAGGGGCCTGTGCCAGTGAGGGACCCAGAAGCTTAAGTTTCCTTGGCATAATGGTGAATCACTGGGGACAGGTGATCTACTTCAGACGTCCTCCCCCAACCCCTTAACTCCCTGCTTTTGCCTCACCCACTGCCACCTCCAGCTCTGCCTCTTTCCCTGCCACAGAGATAGGGGCCCTGCTGTGGCCACAGCAAATCCTGGACATGCCACCAGTAACTGAGGGGACTCTAGGGTCAGCTCGCATATCTGGGTGGGCAACTCATCCACATGTCCTCTCATCTAACTTCCCAGTTGTGGAAAGAATCAGGAAGGAAATTTCTGAGGCAGGGAGGAGTAAGTAACATTTTCCAGTTTCCAGGAATGTAGAAGACACTCCAGCAAACTATTAAAAGTTTCCCGTTATCATAATGTTTGCAACTTCATAGTTTCCCCATGAGGATGACAGCACCAACCAATATGTCTCCATGTAGAAAATGAAAAGTCAGGGCCCATATCGTGCTGAAGTATAAAATGCCTCCCGTCCTGCCTCCAGGTCTTCTGTCTGCACTGGTGAGGTGCAGTGAAGGTTTCCTCTCAATGAGTCAGTCCAGTTGGAAACAAAGATTCTTTTAGATGTGTCAACCTGAAAGAAAACAGCGTTTCAAAATTTGATTGCTATGTGATTCCCCCAAACACGGCTAACAGCTTGTCTTTCTTTCAGATATCATACTTGGGCTACCTGCTGCTGTTTAACTACGTCATCCTGGTGCGGATGGATGGCTGGCCGTCCCTCCAGGAGTGGATCGTCATCTCCTACATCGTGAGCCTGGCGTTAGAGAAGATACGAGAGGTGGCTACTCCAAAGGCCTCCCCCAGCCCACTAACCGCTGACTGCAAATGCAGATATGGCTCCTTACTGAAAAAACGTTTCATGCAAATTATGCATGTTGGGCCAGGCGTGGTGGCTCATGCCTGTAATCCCAGCACTCTGGGAGGCTGAGGCGGATGGATCACTTGAGGTCAGGAATTTGAAACCAGCCTGGCCAACAGGGTGAATGAAACACTGCCTCTACTAAAAATAAAAAAAATTAGCCAGTCGTGGTGGTGCACGCCTGTAATGCCAGCTACTAGGGAGGCTGAGGTGTGAGGATCACTTGAGATAGCAGTACTTCGAAACCAGCCTGGCCAACATGGTGAAACCCCGTCTCAACTAAAAATACAAAAATTAGCCGGTCGTGTGGCAGTTGCCTGTAATTTCGGCTACTCAGGAGGCTGAGGTGGAAGGATCACTTGAACCCTGGAGGCAGAGGTTGCAATGAGCCGAGATCGCGCCACTGCACTCCAGCCTGAGTGACAGAGTGAGAGTCCATCTCGAAAACAAAAACAAAAAAACAAATTACACATGCTGTGGGACTTTTTTTGGAGGTATCACAATCCCAAGTTTATTCCATTTCTTTATTTAAGATGTATACATCTTGAATGAACTTGAACTTGCAAATCAAAACACAAGGCAAAATAAAGATATTTAATAATGAAAACAGGTTTGAATGCATAGGAAAGCATCAGCAAATGCTGCCAGCGACCTGAGATAAACCAATTACCGCAACTGGGCACAAATTTTGGCTTAGTTATTTGGGATCAGAGGGAGAAAGAGAGATACAAGAGACACTTGCACAGTGTGGTCCAAAGCCCAAAGTTACAGGAAAAATGCCATCTCTTTTATCTCTGGACTCTTGTGCAGGAGATTTATGAAGGGAGGGCTCCCAGTCAGGAGGAAAAGGAGCTAAGTGAGGTGTGGCTTCAGGTGGATCCTGTCCTTGGCCTAATCCTGTAGGGGGCTCTGAGTGGACTGGACACTGTGGAGTCTGTCTCACCTTTGGGCCCCACCTCAATTTGTCATTGGTACCCACCAGAGACATGGCTCCAAGCATCTAAGAGCAAGCCTCCCAGAAGGGGGCAGGTGTGGGCCTAACAGCAGCACCTGCAGCAGATGGGGTGGGCAAGCCCACCTGGGGAAAAGCTCCAGGGGATATGGGAGGGGCCTAGAGCGTTTGCTGCAAACAGAGGGAACAGGATTTTCAACTCAGTATTGCAAAAGAACAGATACCATCTCACATATGACTCGTTATCCCAGAGAGCTCGAGTGAAAATGTAACTCCCAGTAAGCAATCTCTGCAGACAGCAGAGGAAAGATAGGCCGGATACTTCCCTTTCCAATATCATTCAGAAGTTTTAATTCACTAAATTTGCTTATAAAGAGAAAGCATGTATCCAAGCAAAAAAGCAACTTGAGCTGAAAAAGCCCACAGCATCATTTCATATCCTTTCTCCAACTGATATACAACCAATACTATTATTTTGCAGTAATTGTTGACCCTTTCACTGAACTGAAAAACATTATTAACCTAGTCCAGATAGAGGGAATCTGATGGCATCGGTCTAATTAGAGCCTGAAAAACCAAAAGAGCACTGAATCCAAAATTATACTTGCCACCTTCTACTACTGTTCCTTTTCTAGCTGGGCCTCATTCAAATTCTGCAGGTGCTGCAACTGGTATTTCCTGAGCGGCCTGCTTTACCATCGCTGTGCCGTCCTGGCCTTGCTGAGGGTCCACCATACACCAAGACACTGTTCTTTATTCCAGAAACCTGCCCCCAGTTATAGGAGAGAGAGGGTGGCCATCGGCTAGTGTGCATGGGTTGTTAAACTAGTGAATCCCTTCTGTGTGGGCTGACAGATAGCCACTGCCCCATCCTACCACAGAGATCCCCAAGACCTCTGCAACTGAAGGGGTACCACCTGGCATGGCAACCCTCCATCCCAGTGTGGTACCACAGACAGCTGTGCCATTGGGAAGGCTCTGCGCACGCCTGTGCATGCTGCTTGCTAAATATCTTCCATTTTACTCTGTGGAAGTCTCCCCTTAAGCAGCAGTGATTTTGAAAGGATAATATCTCAAGTAGGGGAAAACCTGGTCTAACTTTCCCCTAATTTCTCATGTCTAAGTTGCAAAGGAATTTTGCCAAATCAAAACATTTCCTAGTGGTATTCTGCCATCTCCACTGGGTGGACTGCCCCTCTGTGGGGCCACGTGGGGCTCATCTATGCTCTAGAGTTTTCATCCTGTGTGACTCTGGAATGTGGAGTAACAGGCACGTGTCCAGATAATTAAAAAAGAAATCAAAATGCAGCTGCTTTAATTACAGCCAGAAGGACATAATTTAGAAGGCATTTCCTGAGTTTGTAAAACCCTGAATCTAAGAATAGGGAGGATTCCGTGGAATTTCCCTTTCTAGATATCTCTCCCTGCCTGAGAAGAAGAGTGTTTAAACGTTTTGAGTAGGAAAGGGGCCAGATGACCTGGAATGTTCCATCAGTCTTATTGTTCCAAGATTCTAAGACAAGACTTCTAATACGGCATCTCAGTTTATTGTTCTTTGGGGTTTGTTTTCAGATCCTCATGTCAGAACCAGGCAAACTCAGCCAGAAAATCAAAGTTTGGCTTCAGGAGTACTGGAACATCACAGATCTCGTGGCCATTTCCACATTCATGATTGGAGCAATTCTTCGCCTACAGAACCAGCCCTACATGGGCTATGGCCGGGTGATCTACTGTGTGGATATCATCTTCTGGTACATCCGTGTCCTGGACATCTTTGGTGTCAACAAGTATCTGGGGCCATACGTGATGATGATTGGAAAGATGGTTAGTAGTGGCATCCTGTGGGTATCCAGAGAGACTTTGGCTGTAGTTAGGACATAAGAACAGGCCTTGGGCATGGCTTCCTTCAATTTCATTTGGTTTTTCTTTTGCAGTTGGCTTTTTAAAGGAAATATTCTTTGCTTTAAGATACACAGTTCTCCTACATGTTGATAACTTAATAAAATCCAATAGAAAAACATGAGTTGAGGGCCTACTGTGTATATATACATAACATATATACATATATAGTGTATATACATTCACTGTATATATGTGTGTATACATACACACGTACACATGTATATCTCTCTCAATATATATCAGGTACTCAATATATACTGTCTCCCTTCTTCCATACCATATCTCAACTGTAGGGTGACTAATTACGTTTGTTTTTTATTCCTTCTGATTTATTATTAATGAGTCTATTTTGACAGCAATATAAAAGAAAATAGCCTCGTTTTTTTGTAAGAGCTTACTTCACTTTCCCAGGACATAAGAGAACATCAATTTTTGATGCAATAGGAATTCAGTAGCAAAATAGATGTCTCAAAATATTTACTTCTTGATGGCTGGAAACATATTTTCAGCATTCTTTAGTACAGGGACATGGATTTGATGTTCTATGAGACTACATCCACTTCAGAATGTATATATATATGGCCAAAAAAAAAAAAAAAAAACCCCGCCTGATTTATAACCTCCTAACATGTGGTAGAAGCCGGAGACAAAGGGAGCCCAGGGCCAATCCCCAACCTGTACTCCAGATGATCTTCAGCTCATTTACTCTGGCCTGGAGTGAACACAGGAAGTCCATGTGATTAGACCATGATGACTTATACTCCAGAACAGGCCAGAGAATATGAAACTGAAAATGAACCAGCAGGTCATCCTTACATTACCTAAAAGAGCTTCAGTGTTAGGACTGGTACAAGAAGAAAGCAAGCCTCCTACATTTAGGAAGGACTCTTTATAGGGCAAGTGGTTTTGAGCTAAGGGAAGTATGCTTTAGTAAATTCCAGCAAGGGCCTCCATCTTCAGGGATGTTCAAAATTAGGAATTATACCAGTTTAGTATCCACAGTAACCAGGGCATTGCTCAGCACTTGTGTAGTGAATGAATAAATGTTGGTCTATACTCTCAATTCATTATCGTTTTATTTCCTTAGGTATCTGCTCCTCTTCCTCCTTAGCATCCCTTACAAACTCCCATCTTTTCTTGTAATTCTTCCCTTTCTCCATTTGCAGTTGTAGTTACTAAGGGACATGTGTTTATGGGCAACAACAGAGAAGAAGCAAGAAGGATGAAGAGCAGATGAAGATAGCAATGTTCTAGAAGACATTCTAGGCATAAAGCATTGCATGGAGTAGGAAAAAGCCTTCCCAGGGATGGGAAGAAAGGAAGGGAAAGAGGCTTTCTTCGTCCTAATTAAGCACTCGTGAAGTGCTTAATTGGAGACAGCAATATAATGAGCCAGGGTGAACTTGGCCCACAAGCCAAGACAGTGAGAGACAAATGTTCTCCTTACTCAGATGATCGACATGCTGTACTTTGTGGTCATCATGCTGGTCGTGCTCATGAGTTTCGGAGTAGCCCGTCAAGCCATTCTGCATCCAGAGGAGAAGCCCTCTTGGAAACTGGCCCGAAACATCTTCTACATGCCCTACTGGATGATCTATGGAGAGGTGTTTGCAGACCAGATAGACCGTAAGAGTAGAATTCATAGTAAGATTCTCTTCCCTGCTTCTGAGGCAGATGATCAGTTCCAAATTAATGGAAGAACATGTATTAATTTGGAAATAAAAAATATTTGTCACTCCACCATAGGCATCAAATTATTTTACAAAGAAATAAGAACAAATTATGGAACATGGATTTTCAGACATCAGTCATTTCTTTTATTCTAAAAATAATTCACTAGAATTCCCTTGAGCTGGACCTGATGGACATCGTGTCACATGAATGCAGTTCTAATGCCAATAGCCTAGTTTTTCTTCAACCCAGTATCTCCCCACCCCAGGATAAGGCTGGTAGTGTTTTCCAGTAGAATGAACTAGTGAACAGAGCAGAGTAACTGACACTTCCCACCATCCTCTTCTTAAAGCCATCAGAGCCCATTTTCCACATAGCTACCCATTTCATACCCATTTCATCTTCACTACTAGAGTGCTATTTTGTATTATCAAAAATAATCTGGATGTTAGTAGAGGAAATGGGCTATGATCCTGCACAGATTTCTGGGGAATGTAGGCCCAGCTCCTCTGCAGGCTGAGCTGGTGTCTTCTGGATTGAAGGAATGTAAAGCTCAAATGTTCTTGTACACTATTTCACCAGGACAGTTGAATAAATGTTCCACCAGTGAAGGAGGCACTTTTAGTCCCATTTCCATTTCAGGACCAACATTTTCATTTGCATGTTGTGATTTATCATAAAGCATCAGCTATAATAGCATGTCTGCTGCTTCCAGAGCTCTGCTATTTGGGAATAGAAAGTTTTTATCATCTTCCTCTCATATGGAATGTAGGGCTGTCAGTGTATATCTACTGCCTCTAGGTTAGACAATAACCAGCTCATGCAGTAGCTTCTTTCTAACTTTTATAATGTCATTCTGACCATATCATTATTGCAAGTATCACAAAGTCAACTATTGAAGTGTGTTAGTAGCTTGGTAAGCCAGAACATAAAAATCTAATTTGATTTCAAAAGAATATTAGTTTAGGTAGATATACATACACGTTAAAAGTTCCTGAATTCCAGGCATAAACTGTAGTATTTTTATTGTTGAGCTCTTTTTTTTTTAAATTAAATTGGGTTATGAGAGAAGGTAAAGAGGTAAACTTTAGGCTGTGCTATTCTCAGTAACATAATTAAATGTAGGTTTTTGATTCTTGATCTATTAACTAATAATTTTGTAGTTATTTGTGCTTATGAGGTGTTTGTGTTGGAATATAGGGAGCGCGTGATTGGTTAACCTGATCATCTGCCAGTAACATCATGTCTTTTTCACAGTATTTTTAACTAGTGAGCTTTTGCTCTCGCTTATGACACAGGGTAAAATAAATATCCATGATATATATTTTCTAGAATGATTAATGTATGTAATTCTTCTAAACAGATCACTGTTTCTAAGTGTGAATCAATATTTCCCAAGCTTAAAATATTTGCATTTCTTCACAGCAAAACAGTTATGTTGTTAAACCACTTGTTTTACTTTTCTCTCAACCATCATCTTATTTTCTTTCCTCCCCTCCTGTCAAAACAAAACAAAACAAAAATCCTGCTTTCCAATCGTCATGTAGTCTACGCCATGGAAATTAATCGTAAGTTTACATGGAATTGATTATTCTAGTCTATGGAATGTGTTTTTCAATTACCTTTTCCTTAGCTGATTACTAGTAGTCTTAAACTGTTTTCAAATACTTCTCTTGTTTTTTGGTGCCAGTACTTTTTAAGCTGTCAGTAAAAAGTAAAGAGAACCACAAATTCACTGTTGGGATCACCCTATTTTTTTAGGGGAGAAATAGACCCCCTATGATAAAAAGTTGCATTTCAAATGAGCAGAGGGAGAAAAGATTATTTTTCAAACATGGCACCAAAACAGTTGATTAAACAATTTGGGAAGTAGAGGAAATCCCTAACCCATACAACATAACAAAAATATTTTCAAATTTAATGTATCAGTGAAACCAAGAAAACAACCAGAAGACAACATAAGCTGATGTTAAATAATTAGAAGCCACAATGACTTTCAAATGGATAACGATAAAGGGAAAAAACATAAAGATACATTTGTCTGCTTAAAAATGAAGACTTTTATATTTGAAAGCCACAATAAAGAAATGGGAAAATGTTTAGAAATATGACAAATAATGACTATCTCTGAGCGCAGATATGAGTTTCTGACTTTTTTCTTTGTGTGAGTTGTTTTTTTTTTGAGACAACTGGGAGTCTCGCTCAGTCACCCAGGCTGGAGTACAGTGGCTCGATCTCGGCTCACTGCAAGCTCTGCCTCCCGGGTTCACGCCATTCTCCTGCCTCAGACTCCCGAGTAGCTGGGGCTACAGAGTTTATTTTTTCCCATGGAAAAAATATTGCTTATGAAATAAGAAAGAATCATATTAAAAAAGAAATAGGTATTGAAAAACATATGTAAGAGATATTTATCCTTTTCATTATATGTAAAAAGCAAAGACAAAACTATTTTTTTCTTTCAGCTCCTTGTGGTGAGAACCTATATGATGAGGAGGGCAAGCGGCTTCCTCCCTGTATCCCCGGCGCCTGGCTCACTCCAGCACTCATGGCGTGCTATCTACTGGTCGCCAACATCCTGCTGGTGAACCTGCTGATTGCTGTGTTCAAGTACGTGTCACAGCCGATGACCACATGCTTATTATTTATTACTGTACAGATTTTCCATTTAATCTCAGAACGCTCCCAAGATACCAATATATTTGCAGATAATTTCATTAGGGTTTTTAAGTAGATCCAATTTTTGCAGTCTCTTTGTTCAAACTTAATCAGTCTTAATGTATTCATAAATCAAGAGTTGACACTTAAATACATTTAAATTTAATCTTGGTTAGTATTTTAACACTTTAGCATGTATTTTAATCTAATGAAAATATTTTCTTAGATGAAAGTCTCCTGGGGTACAGAATATTTGATTAAGTCATGCTTTTTATTCATCAGCAGAGGTGGAAAAGGCAATATGAGTTTCATAAGCTGTTACAATTACTGTAATACTAGTAAAGCATTTTTTCTGATCATTTATAGAATACAAGATAAAATGGCCTAAGAAAAAAATGGCTTAAAGGGTTAAATCGAGTTTCTTATAAAACCTGCCTATTTGGCATGTTGTGTTGAGTATGTTGACCATGCTCAATAAATATTGAAAAAAATGATTTTAGCTTCTAAGATGAAAAATATAGAGGGAAAAATCCTTCACAGAAATATGCAATCTTAGAATTGAACAGGGCATTGGAGAAAACCTGGTCCAAACTTCTGGCTTGAGAGATGAGAAAACTAAGGTCAGGGAAGGTAACTGGTTTTCCTAAGGTCCCAGTATTGGTAGACAATGAAATCATGCACTTACTGCTTCCTGTTGGAAGCTAAAATAAGACAAAGATTGTACCTACCCCATGTCCAAAATAACGAACCTTCAATCAAATAAGTTCAATAACTAATTAATTCAGTTGAAAAAAAAGTAGTCATCTACTTGTTAGACAGAATTGAAAGTTTAAACATGTGAAAGCATTTAGTTAAATGGCTTATACCGCTACACATAGGAAATTAAATTTCCTGAGTATATGAGTAGATTGTGGTGTGGTTTTTCAAGAAAGCAGTACATAGCAATTTATTACACTTAGCTATTTATGAATACAATGTCCTTAAGCACAGATAATCCACATTGATGGATAAACCAAAAGATTGGATAATCAAGGAATCAGTACTAAAGGGCACTAAAAGGCCATCTCATTGAGTATTTTCACTTAAATGTGAGTAACTTTGACTGCTCTGGGAAATCACTATAAAAAGTAATATAACTAACTGTAAAAATGTCTTCTTTTTAAAGCAATACCTTCTTTGAAGTAAAATCAATATCCAACCAGGTGTGGAAGTTCCAGCGATATCAGCTGATTATGACATTTCATGACAGGCCAGTCCTGCCCCCACCGATGATCATTTTAAGCCACATCTACATCATCATTATGCGTCTCAGCGGCCGCTGCAGGAAAAAGAGAGAAGGGGACCAAGAGGAACGGGATCGTGGATTGAGTATGTGCAGGGCTCTTCATTTCTAAGTTGGGCTGATTTCAAAATAGTGTTCAAATTGGACATCCTCACAGAAATCTCACTCAACTACTTGCTCGTGTGAAAAGCACCACACTCAGTCCAACTGCTGTTCTTTTCAAAAGGCTTCTCATTTTGTACCCATTTTATTCTAGTTTCGTTAATTTGTTAGTAATTAATATTAGGAAAGCCAGCTCATAGAGACCAGAAGTTGAGCTAATTCTCTAAAATAACTCTACTCTGTAAATTTCTATATAAATTCAATGCTCCTTTCAAAACGTCTTAATTTGTTGCATCTAAAGAAAATGAGAAAATAATGCTATACGTTTGACTCTATTCATAAAAATAAGTGCAAAAAGTTTTCCAGGAAATATTACTTGGCTTTACTTTCCCAGTAAATGTAATTTTGTTTTTTATGTTTAAAAGCGGGCCGTTTGGCTCCAACTGATAGAGGGTTGGGGCGTATGACAACCCCTTTTTAGATAAAAATCAATTGGAGTAGTGGCGAACTGCCTTAGGAGTGGCGGAGAAGAGAGCTTAATTAAAGTGGGGCTGTGAAATTCTCATTGACGCCACGAAACTGATTCTTCTTGTTTTTCACGTGGCCGACACTTCTCCCTTCACACAGAGCTCTTCCTTAGCGACGAGGAGCTAAAGAGGCTGCATGAGTTCGAGGAGCAGTGCGTGCAGGAGCACTTCCGGGAGAAGGAGGATGAGCAGCAGTCGTCCAGCGACGAGCGCATCCGGGTCACTTCTGAAAGGTACGTGTAGCGTCCCCACCGCGGGCCCGTGAGCCAAGGGTTTGCTGACTCGGGCGCCCCACTCTATGGGGGATGCCAGAGTTCATTTAAACATGCACTCCGAGTTCTCCTGTTTTATTTAAACTTTAGGTTTTAACGTGGTTCCCACGAAATAGTGAGAAAGTTACTAGGTAATAACTGTGCATTGGATATAGAAGGGAATGACATTTATTTATCCTGGGCCGAAAGAAAACCTAACAGTTGACTACCTTCACCCCCTACCCCAAACTGGGGGTGTTTCCGCAAGGTTAATGGAAGCTACAGAAAGCCATCCTTCTCCCAGCTCTTGTTCCTAACTTCCCTTTGCGAGCATGGTCCTCCCCAGGGGACTGCCCTCCTCATCCGGCCTAGCTGCTTGCTGCACCTTGGCAACACCTTTCCCAGCCTCACAGGGCAGAGGAAAAGGCTCCCTCCTGGGGCTCCCCTGAGAGTGGGAACTGGGAGGGGTGGGGTGCAGGGTGGGGGGTGAGGTGTCTGGCCCCATGAGGGTGGGATCCGCTAAACTAGGGCAGGGTGTGTCTTTCAGACACCTTCACATCCGCAGTACCCAGCAAGGTCAGCCTAATCTCCGCGGTGATGCTTAATAAATGCAGAGTGAATGAATGCAGGATGTGTGAACCAGTGAATGAGTAAATGAAGTCAGGTCGCGAGGTACAGAAATGGTGACATTTTCCAAACTTCGTAGTATTGCTCTACCCTAAGCTAGGAAAGAGCAACTGGCAAAGGGTAGACAGGAGCAATGGACCTTCACTGTCTGCACTTTTTATCACGTAAGTTTTGAGAGCCTTTATCATTTACTAAAAGCATTTTCAGCCTGCTAAAGATCTTGGTGACTGATAACACACTGTTCCAAAGGGTTTCACTAACAACGTGGCCAGAAGGATGAGCTCAGAGGAGCCATGCCTAGCTCTGCTTTCTATCCTTGAGTACACAGAATTAAAGTTTCCTAATAGACACATTGAGAGCCATAAAAACAGGGTGGGACTTCAAAAAGATATTGCAGCTGACAGTTCCCAAACAATTACAACAGAATTCACAGATGCACCTTAGGTCTCCCTGGTGCATGTTGAGGCCAGTGAACTCTGCCCCAGCCCACAGGAGGGGAGATGGCAACTGTGGGTCCCTGGCCTCGGTTCCCTCCTAGACCCAGTCACCTTGTGACCCAACCAAATCCAACCAGCTAAACTCTAGGGTTACCTGCACCACCTTTCTTCCTTACCAAGGTGAATTTTTAATAAAACTTTGAAATGTTTCTTTGATGCTTTAACAGTAATTGCTAAACTTTCAAGGTATAAAAATTATTTCTTCATGAGAAAGTTAAGGTACCCCATGTAATCAAATTTCCACTTTTTAGTTAGACATTAACTTGAACGTAATTTTAACCAGTCATTTACAATGGAGATTGTGTTTTGTTTTGCTCTGCCTCCCCCTCTCCCTTCCCCGGCATTCCTTGGATTTTTACCATTCTTGGACCAAAGCTGCAAGAGTGTGGTTATCAGGTCACTACCAAATTGCATTTTTCTCTGGGGGCTCTGTGCACACGTAATAGGGATGAAAGTGTGTAGGGCAGAGAAAACATGCTGCTTCCTGTTTCCCTCGGCTGAGATCCCAGGAGCGATGGGAGCACATTCTTGCCCCTCCATTTCCCTTGGCCTTGTCAGGCTGACTCACAGGTGAATGCCCAAGACAGAAAGAGGAGAAGGCTTGAGGAGAAGGGAGTTTTCCTTCCCTCTTAGCCAAGCCAGCTGAGAAGCAAGGGATAAGGTGGGAGGATGGAAATAAAAGTAGCTATTTGGGCACCTGTGACTACTTTAAAAATCACACTTGAAGTACTCAAGCATTTCTGCCATTTCTTTAATATTCTTTCTATATAAAATTAGTTTTATTTTCTGCATCACCATTTCCCATTTGATGATTTTCCTGCTCTTCTCTCGGTCGTGTCTTCGCCAGCACTATTCAGTCTGTAGGGTCTGGTTAGGAGCATGTCAGCCCCTGCCTTGTCTCCCTGTTGTCTTGGTAGCTTTCAGAGCTGAGCTACCAATTCTCATGACTCAGTTTTACAGGCGTGTTCACACAGGATGGGTACCCATTAATCATTCTCCTCCACGCAGGGTGCTTTTAGTGCTTCTGTGCAGAAACCAAATTCATGGTTCTCTCCTAATGTTTGGAAATTTACCTATAAAATGCTAACAATTTAACCATTTATTTTTTCTCAAAAAGTTCCAACATTTTGTAAGATCCAACATTCAGTCCTGCAATGAGATTTGCAATACGATTCAGCATTGATCGACACAACACTGGGTCAGTCCTACCAACCACGCCCACTTAGATGTCATAGGGGCCCTGCTCTCAGGGTTCTCCTCCCAAACTTGCACTCCAGTCTCTGTGAATGGCATCGCCATTAAGCTCAGTTAGCAAACTGGCAAATCATTGTGGCACCTCCCTCTTCTTCACTAACAATCATCAAGTTCTGTTTACTTCCCCTCGTGAATACATCCTGATCCACTTATTTTTTTCATCCCTACCCCAACGCACCTAGTACAGGCTTCCATCATTTTCCACTTCCATTCCTGTAGCTGCCCCTACCTGAGCTCTCCATATTTGTTTCTGCTGTTTCAATCCATGTTGCACTGTCAGCTCTCATGGGGTCCTGTTCCCTCCTGCACTGGCTTTCCTGAAAAACCCTCTGTGGCCCCCACTGTCCTCAGGCCTGCAAGGCCCTGCCCTCTCTCCGGCTTTGCCATGCACTATCTTCTCCTTCATGCTCTGTATTCCATTTCTCTTTCATTTCCTCAAAGCACTGCTTCCTTCCTGCCACAGGGGCTCTGCATGGGCTGTGCCCTCTGTCTGATGCACCTCACCCTCCTTCCCTGCTCCTCTTCCTTGGATCTCTGCCCAAATGCCAATTCCTTATGGAAAACTTCACCACCTCACACCTTAGACTAGGTCAGGACCCTCAGGCCTTAAGCTGCATGAAGGCAGGGCCATGTCTGGGTTTGGTCCACCATGATATACCTAGAGCCTGCACATATCCACATAGTAGGAGCCAGACTTTTGTTTCTGTTTTTGTTTTTGTTTTTGTTTTTGAGACAAGGTCTCGCTCTGTGCCCAGTGCAGTGGCACAATCAGGTCTCACCACAGCCTCAACCTCCTGGACTCAAGCGAGCCTTCTGCATCAGCCTCTGAAGTAGCTGGGAATACATGTATGTGCCACCACGCCCAGCTAATTTTTTTTATTTTTTATTTTAGTAGAGAGGAAGTCTCACTGTGTTGCCCAGGCAGGTCTCAAACTCCTGGCCTCAGCAATCCTGCCTCAGCCTCGAGATTTTTTTGAATGAATGGATGACTTAAAAGCTTTTCTCCTGATTCGAATATAAATTTCTATCCCATCCTTAATGAGTTCCCTCATGGAATATCGAAAAGGAAACCAGCTATGCTCCCTCCAGGTTCAAGACACTGGTTTTACTATAAGGAAGTAGGAGCAGACTCAAGAGCCAAAGGATTGTGCCACAGGAAGGATAACAAGTGTTGGTGTTGGCACCATCTTTTTGCTCAAAGGGATAACATCAAAGAGCCATGAGGGCTGGTGGGATAAGAACATTTTATAAACAACTCCTTTTTTATTATTATTTGTAGAAACAGGGTCTCACTATGTTGCCCAGGCTGATCTCAAACTCCTGGGCTCAAGCTATCCTCCTGCCTCAGCCTTCCAAAATGCTGGGATTACAGGCATGGGCCACCATGTCTGGTCAACTTCTGGCAGCATGGCCAAAGTAGACCTCGTCAACCCATGTGTTCTGTCCTCATTGCTCCAGGAGAATATTTGGCAACATGAGTCCTTATCATTGGGAGATTTGAGGCTATCTGTGTCTTCTGCACATCCACTACGGAGCACACTGTTCTCTTTGTGGTTCAGCATCCCTTATCACAGGTTCACAGGTTCAAGAGCAATTGGGCTAGAAAGAATCTTTCCTGACAAAATTTTGTCAGAGACCCAACTTCCTTTTCTCAATGAGAATTATGTTATCCAGTGTGTTTTCCTTTTTTCCATGGCTTCAAGGAAGCTTAACACCAAACTTAATATTAAATTATCAAATATATTACTATAGGATTTTGAAATATGTGGGGTACGTTGCCTCTTCTCTGCTTTTTTTATATCGTCTACCTCCATTTACATACATTTTATTAATGTCTGACATTTCACAATATGCAGGATATAACTCATAAATTATACATTTTAAGTGTAGTTGGCCTTGTGCTTAAGAAGCTATGGGTCTTAGATGAGCTAAACCTATAATAGCATTTTCTGATTCCCCCAAAACTTTCTGGATTAAGTGGTTTCTTGTCAGATTTGTGGATATGGATTAAAGTGTTTTGTCTTTTTTTTTTTTTTTTTTAATTCTAGAGACAGGGTACTGCTTTGTTGCCCAGGCTGGAGTACAGTGGGATGATCATAGCTCACTACAGCCTCCAGTTCCTGGGCTCAAGTGAGTCTACTGCCTCAGCTTCCTGAGTAGCTGAGGCTACAGGCGTGCACCACCACACCCAGCTAATTTTTGCATATTTTGTAGATACAGGATCTCACTATGTTGCCCAGGCTGGTCTGGAACTCCTGGCCTCAAGCGGTCCTCCCGCCTTAGCCTCCCAAAGTGCTGGGATTACAGGCATGAGACATCATGCCCCATCCTGGATTGCCTGCAGGCTTGATGGGAAATCAGCAATTTGTGGCTTTGAAATCTTTTTATTTGGCATCCTCTTCCCATGTGACCAGAAAGAGAAATGGCTGGTAATGGAGACCTACCTAGAAGAAACAAGATAGTAACTAGAGGAACTGAAAGAGAGATCAGTCTTAGGAAGGAGGTGGGGGATTCTTTGCATGTAGAGAAGGTTGTAGAACGGCAAATGCGCAGTGATGGGGAAGACATTTGGGGATGATCCTGTCTGAATACCTTAATCTTCTAAATTCATAGGGTTCAAGGTTGCTTGGATAATAGGAAGGAGATGGCTTAAATGTTGAAATTTTGATGTGCCAGTGGATGACACCCTTGTTCCTGATCTGACTTTGAAAGCCAATTCAGAGACAGATGCAGACTTCAGGAGGATAGAGAAAAAAAAATCAGTTTTATTAGTAATAAAAGTTGTACTGGAGGGTGTGGCTTCGTTCTTGCCTACTACTCACCCAGAATTAGGAATACCCACTTAGCCACAGGCAGCACCAGCCACCACAGGCCTCGCTTCCCACAGGCAGAGTTTAGCCTGCGCGCTAAGCCTACCAGAAGACCAAGACAGAGAGACAAGCATGCAGTATCCTGGTCCCCAATCTCCAACCAAATGAGCCGTCCTCCTCCAAAATAAATAAAGGCCTGGAATGAGGTCAGAGCATTACTAATGAAAAGTCCACATACATAGAAAGAAAAACTAGGCATGGGCAAAGTGTACCTCTCCAACAATCAACATCACTGACTTAAAGCCAGTAGGAAGGATTCAAGTCAAGTGAGTTCACTTTTAGGGGGAATATGGCAGGAAAGGAGATAACCAGGATTGCTTGGCAGGAATAACGAAGATGCAAGTTAAATTAGATAACATGGCTTTGTACTGGGCCAGGTCAGTGTGGTTCCCATGACCTTCATCGGTGACACCGTACAGCCGAAAGGCAGGGATACAGAAAGACAACTGTACATACGGCATGGATGCTGAAGGAGGCCATGCGCCCAAAAACCAGTCTGTGGAGAGACCTCAAAGATGCTAGTGTTTGCAAATGGCAGCATAAACATACGACATTGCCTCCAGGCACCAAATATCCTTGCTTAGTCCTGGAGTCCTGGTAGCAATAGGTTGGGGGTTAGGGATTGGCACTAACGTGTTGCAAGTAAGGGAGAAAGAACATAGGTTATTAATGAGGGCTTCACTTCGTGGCCAACCACAGAATCTGGCCTGAATAGAAAACAGAACATAACCAGAAAAGGCTAATGATTAGATGACTTGAATTCTATAAACCCAGGAAGTCTGGGGTATGTTTAAATGAGGCAGCATACAGCTAGAATCCCAGAAAGCTTAATGTTCTTTTAGTAACTATTCAGTATACTGTTTATTACAGAGAATGAAAAAGCCAGAAGAAAGACATGAGTCTTGGCCGGGAGCAGTGGCTCACACCTGTAATCCTAGCACTTTGGGAGGCGGAGGTGGGCGGATCACTTGAGGTCAGGAGTTCAAGACCAACCTGGTCAACATGGTGCAACCCCTTTTCTACTAAAAATGCAAAAATTAGCCAGGCGTGGCGGCGAAAGGCCTGTAATCCCAGCACTTTGGGAGGCCAAGGTGGATCACTTGAGGTCAGGCGTTCAAGACCAACCTGGTCAACATGGTGAAACCCCGTTTCTACTAAAAATACAAAAATTAGCCAGGCATGGTGGCGAAAGCCTGTAATCCCAGCACTTTGGGAGGCCGAGGTGGGCAGATCACTTGAGGTCAGGAGTTCAAGACCAACCTGACCAATATGGTGAAATCCTGTCTCTACTAAAAATACAAAAATTAGCTGGGAGTGGTGGTAAGCATCTGTAATCCCAGCCACTCGGGAGGCTGAGGCAGGAGAATCTCTTGAACCCGAGAGGCGAAGGTTGCACTGAGCCGAGATAGTGCCACTGATTGCACTCCAGCCTGCGTGACAGAGACTCCCTCTCAAAAACAAACAAAAAAAAGAAAGACGTGAGTCTTGTTCTTTTATGATTAGTCTTCATTTAGTCTTTCACACATAAAAACTCTGTAAGTAAGCACAACAAGGTTCTATCCTGGTGTTCTTCCTATAACTACTAAATGTAAAAGGCAGCCCTGTATGAAGAAGTGGATGGAAATTAAAATAGCTGGATGTAAAATTTAGAGTGGATAAGACAACTTTATGATCAGTAGTTCTGGAATTAAATTATAGGGTAGGAATAGTTTTAGAACTCAAGTATAGAATACCATGGGATCTTGAAACAGGGGTTTCTTCAAGTATGAACTGGACCTAGCTCCACTAACATCATGTCTTTATGTTAACATTTAACTCTATCATTAAGGAAATGTTCCCATATAATTTATGAGATTCCTTGCAGGTGAAGGGCAACTGTTTCCCATGAAAAGATAACTGCATATAAAACAAGTTTTAGGCTGGGCACAGTGGCTCACGCCTGTAATCTCAGCACTTTGGGAGGCCAAGGTGGGCTGATTGCTTGGGGCCAGGAGTTCGAGATCAGCTTGGCCAACATGGCAAAACTCCATCTCTACTAAAATTACAAAATTAGCCGGGTGTAGTGGCACATGCCAGTAATCCCAGCTACTGAGGCACGAGAATCACTTGAACCGGAGAGGCGGAGTTTGCAGTGAGCCAAGATTGCACCCCTGCACTCCAGCCTGGGCAACAGAGTGAGACTCTGTCTCAAAAATTTAAAAAGGCCAGGTGTGGTGGTTCATCCCTGTAATCCAGCACTTTGGGTGCTGAGGCAGGTGGATCACCTGAGGTCAGGAGTTAGAGAGCAGCCTGACCAACATGGTGAAACCCCGTCTCTACTAAATACAAAAAATTAGCTGGGCATGGTGGCGCATGCCTGTAATCCCAGCTACTTGGGAGGCTGAGGCAGGAGAATTGTTTGAACCCAGGAGGCATAGGTTGCAGTGAACCGAGACTGCACCATTGCACTCCAGCCTGGGCAACAAAAGTGAAAGTCTGTCTCAAAAATAAAATGAAAAATAAAATAAATTTAAAATTTAAAAGGCCAAGTGTGGTGGCTCATGCCTGTAATCCCAGCACTTTGGGAGGCCGAGGCGGGCAGATCACCTGAGGTCAGGGGTTCGAAACCAGCCTGACCAACACGGTGAAACCCCATCTGTACTAAAAATTCAAAAATTGCCAGGCGTGGTGGCACATGCCTGAAATCCCAGCTGTTTGGGAGGCTGAGGCAGGAGAGTTGCTTGAACTCGAGAGGCAGAGGTTGCAGTGAGCCGAGGTCGCACCACTGCACTCCAGCCTGGGCGATAGAGCGAAACTCCATCTCAAAAATAAAATAAAATAATAAATAAATAAACAAATAAATAAAATTAAATAAAACAGGTTTTAACAACTGGCTTACTACAGAACTCCAGATGTTTCAGTCCTTCCTAGGAAAGACACACAGGGACTCTTACCACAAGGACATGAGTTTGGACCTTATGTTTAATAGACAAGAGTCTATGCAAAGTCCAATAAAGTTATGCCATACATAGGTATTCTCTTGGAAGTTAATGCAAAAGTTCCACAAATTCAGGTATTGCCATACCTATTATTTGAATGAAACAGAACACATTATGTACAACCCCTTAACAAAAAGTATGTTTTCATTTAACCACCTTCAGGCTTAGTGGCATCATGTTCAAAATCAAATATCCTTAATAATAGATATACCCCAATATAGAGAAGATTTGCAATGATATTCACACAGCCATGTCCTTTGACACTTGTGTAGCATTTACAGTTCACAGAGCACACAGTTTCATTTAATTCATTTAATTTAGTTGCTGTCATGCTGCAACTGTTGTTAATGTTTGATAAATCACTCCCCAGGGACAGAAGTACAATAAAGAGGGGCTGGTGGAGTAGCTTCATCCCGAATGCCAATGTGGATGGGCACATCTCAAAGGGAACACTGACACTGGCCATATGTTAATCAGAAACAGCTTTTGTTTTTTCTCAAAACCAAATTAAACAAAAAGAGTCATGACATGTAATATCAGTTGTTAATCTGGTACAATCTTTTACTCTATTTTATTTATGTATTTTGAGACAGAGTCTTGCTCTGTCGCTCAGGCTGGAGTGCAGTGGCGTGATCTCGGCTCACTGCAACCTCCGCCTCCCGGGTTCAAGCAACCTTTGTCCTGCCTCAGCCTCCCGAGTAGCTGGGACTACAGACGCACGCCACCATGTCCGGCTAATTTTTGTAGTTTTAGTAGAGACGGGGGTTTCACCATGTTGGTCAGGCTGGTCTCGAACTCCTGACCTCAGGTGATCTGCCCACCTTGGCCTCCCAAAGTGCTAGGATTACAGGCGTGAACCACCACAACCGGCCGACTTTCTTAATTTAAAAAACAAGTTTTTTTTTTTTGTGTGTGTGTGTGTGTGTGTACGCCAGGTTTTGAGACTGATTAGGGCATTCAGGTGTATCCTTTTAACAGAAAAGCCCAAAGATTTAATCTGTGAGTCAAAAGATGAATATGGGCGTGGAGGATCACAGCTATTATTAATCATGACTGATTAAGCACATGCGGTTCTGGGCTCCTCGTGACTTTAGTAGCAGTACACATGATGCAGTTAAGGACAGAGCAAATATTGTAATAAATCAAGTGCAGCTTAAATTTCTATTCAAAGTCAGGAGAATGATTAATTGGGGCCCAGACAGTTTATAGATTTCATTTGTTTATAGTTTCCTTTGATACAAAAGGATGGAGAGTGGCCCTCAGGAATTGCTCTTAGGCCTGCCAGTTAAGAAATCATGTATTTGGTGGTTAGAAAAATGGCCTCATTAATGACCTTTTCAAAAGTATTCATAAGTGGAATTTTTTTCTGTGAAGTCAGTGCTACCATAATGTGAAAAATAAAAACCTAGTGGAGCTATTTATAGCATCTACAAGTAAATCCAAACCCAGAAATAGTTACAGAAGCCACAAACTTCAATTAGAGGGAAAGGAAGATAATCAACCTGATCAGAAATCAGTGTCACCATGTGTAAGAAAGCACACTTTGCATCACAAAAGTACCACTATTCAAAGAAATCATTTATTAGTGCTGAATACTTGTTATACTAAAAACATAGTTATAAGTTATTTCACTATGTGATTTGAAATATTTGAGGGTATTGGCATATTTTGTAAAGTGAATATTATTTTGAAAAATTTCGCAAACCCTATAATAAGTAACACAGCCATGATAATCTAATTAAATCATGCCTAAAGCCAGGATAGTAACGTACGTTTACATGCAATGGCTGAGGTCCCTGACATCACCAAGACAGCTTTCATTTATCTAGTTCTTCCACAAACATCAGAGGTAGCTGAAAGCTCTAGGACAGGTTTTCTCACAGCTGGGGTCATCAAATGCCTTGGCATTTGGGGTTCTCAAGTTCTAAGATTATTTTATTTTTTAATTTTGATGATGACGGCATGTTTGCAAAGGGTCCTTGAGGAAATGTGGGGATGAAGAACAAGATGAGACAGGATGGGAAGATGAGGGCAGATTCTCAAGAGCTTTGAATGTATATGAGTAACAGAAATCTCTATAGGGTGTTAAGATTAAGGGCTGCCATGGATGGAAGGAAAGAGTTAAAGCTACATTTTCATAGCACTTTACATAGTATGAGGAAGTGTCAATGTCCAAATTGTAGAATAGGGTTGCCAATGGAGATTATAAGGTTTTCCTTTAATACACTCTTTGGTTTGTTCATTGCATTCAACACTGCAATGAAATTGTGTTTTTATCTTAAGTGTGATGGGAAGCTGCTATTGTTTTAAAGCAAGATTGACGTGCTTGTGTTTCTGTGTTATCTTTTTGGAGTGAGAAGACATTGGAGGCAAAGAGGCTGTTCCTTATAACTAACATTTTTTGCTTTATCAGCTTGGGGTACAATATGAGGTCATATATCTTTTTTCTTTTTCTCTTCTTTTCTTTTTTTTTTTTTTTAAGACGGAGTCTCGCTCTGTCACCCAGGCTGGAGGGCAATGGCACGATCTCGGCTCACTGCAGCCTCCGCCTCCCAGGTTCAAGCAATTCTCCTGCCTCAGCCCCCAAGTGGCTGGGATTACAGGCGCATGCCACCGTGCCCAGCTAATTTATTATTTTTATTTTTTAGTAGAGATGGGGTTTTGCCACGTTGTTCAGACTGGTCTGGAACTCCTGACCTCAGGTGATCCACCTGCCTCTGCCTCCCAAAGTGCTGGGATTACAGGCGTGAGCCACCGTGCCCAGCCAAGGTTATATATCTTTTAATATTAAATGAAATTATTCTTTGACCTCATCTCATCTGCTTATAATCTCATCTGTTTATTCCAAGAGTACCTTTTTCCCTTTCTATTGTCCCATAGCCCCACCCCCACCCCCTGCCTCAAGTCAGGTGCAGGAAATCCAGTGGTCTGGTGAAGTCCCTACCCACTGCATCAAAATTCAAGAGGGTGAAGTCAATCGTTGCTCTTTGCTTTGATTTGAGCCCCAGCTTTCTGGTTGGAGGATAGAAAACGGAAACTCTGAGGAACTGGAGATATCAGGGAGATAGTGAGAGGGGGAACTTGGAAAAGTAATGCCATAAAGTTATGAACTCCAGAGCTCACCTGCAGACTGTGTCTGTCAGGGGTGGAGGAGTCTGCTCCTTATTCACATACCAAAGGCATTGAATGGGGTGACATGAACAAAAGCAGGTAGAGTAAGGAACTCTGGAATTCTGCCCCACCATAAAAGCAACAACAAAGTTGGCAAAAACTGTCAGAGTCTATATCTTGTGGCACTCTGGAAATTAAGCAATGGCTTATTAAGCAACCTAGGGCATTCTTATTTAAACAAAATGGCTGGATCTTGATAAGAAAAGTGAGCTTTGTGACATTTTAACTTAGCCCTGTCCTATCCTCTGCTCTCCAGTTGAGTAGTCACCTTGAAAACAACAACCTGCATTCCTAGTACCAGTAGGAGCAGAAAGAATCTCATATGCAAAGAATTATAATTACTTGTTTTGTAATTACAGGGCAGCTCCTTGAAAGCCTAGCTGAAAGGTTCGTCTGTATTTCACCTGAGTTGGAACAGGCCCAGTACTAAAGCTTCTAGTTAGAAGGGGTGGAGGAAGGGTTGTCAAAAACATTTACAGGCAAAGGGTTTAGTGCTTGCTCCCTGAGGTGACGGATGACAGCTGGGGCAAACAATAGACTAACCAAAAAACTAGGGAGAAAAACTGATGTCCATAAGAGCTTTGAAAAGCTCTAACACATTCCTGGGAATTTAGAAAGCTATGTGCATGCATAGGGCTGTGTGTATACTCAGGAAGACCTGAGAAGGCTATAAGCTCATTTCTGGCTGACTTGATCTTGAGGCTCTGTGCAAGCAGGAAGTGAAAGCTAAAGCAAAGATGTAAACTGCCTGAGTGTTGAAGATGTGCCCCTATATACACATACAGCTTCTCAGAAAAGACTAGAAGATTTTGTTGTTTTTGTTCCACACATTTAAGGAAATCTCTAAGTATTAACTGACCACTAAGCTAATAAAATACAAACTTCAGTGGCCACACAACATAAAGAATATAGACTTTACAATATTATTTCAGAAAAATCACTAAACAAACAACAACTACAAAAATCACTAAACAAACAACAAACAACAACTACACTAAACAAACAACAACTACACTAAGCAATAACAACAAGCCTGAGAGGGGAGAGAATCTGATTTCTAGAATTGCCACATTATAATACTCAACATGTCCACTTTTAAATAAAAATGACAAAACATGCAAAGAAATAAGAAACTATGGTCCACACACAGGAAAAAGGACAATCTTAAAAACCATCCCTTAGGAATCCTGGATATTAGATGTTTTAGCAAAGAGTTTAACTCAACTATTTTAGCTATTTTAAATATATTTAAAGACCTAAAGGAAATCATCTCTAAAGAACTAAAGGAAAGTATGAGAAGGATTTTTCACCAAATAAGGGACTATCAATAAAGAGGTGGAAATTATATCAAGTAGTAGACGAGGTCTCAAAAAAAAAGAGGTAGAAATTATATATATTTTTAAAAAAATAGGTCAGGCACAGTGACTCATGCCTGTAATCCCAGAGCTTTGGGAGACCAAGGAGGGAGGATTGCTTGAAGCCAGGAGTTCAAGACCAGCCTGGGCAACAGAGCAAGACACCATCTACATAAAATCATTTTTAAAACTGGACAGGCATGGTGGTGCATATCATGGCAACTGGCAGAGCATGGTGGTGCCGGTAGTCCTAGCTACTTGGGAGGCTGAGGTGGGAGGATTGCTTGAGCCCAGGAATTCAAGGCTGCAGTGAGCTGTGATCTTGCCACTGCATTCCAGCCTGGACAATAGAGCAAGACAGTGTCAAAAAAAAAAAAGAAAAAAAAAAAGAAAAAGAAAGAAATGAAGGAAGGGAAGGAAATTCTGACATTGGAAAGTACAATAACTGAAATGAAAAATTCACTCTAGAGGCCCAATAGCACATTTGAGCAGGTAGATTAAAGAATCAGCAAACTGGAAGATAAATCAGTTAAAAATTACCCAGTCTAAGGAACAGGGGGAGGAAATGAAGAGAAATTGAACAGTCTGAAACCTGTAGAACACCATCCAGCAGAACAACATAGGCATCATGAGAGTTATAGAAAGAGAGAAGGGAAACTGGCAGAAACAATATTTAAAGAAATAATGGCCAAAATTTTACAAATTTAATGAAAGATACGAATCTACATATCCAAGAAGCTCAATGAACTCCAAGTAGGATAAACTCAAGGAGATCCATACCAATTAACGTTATAGTCAAACTGTTAAAAGCCAAAGGAAAAGAATCTTGAAAGCAGCAAGAGAGAAGCAACTCATCACATGGAAAGGATGCTTAATTAGATTAAAAAAGCTGACCTCTCATCAGAAGCCAGGAAGACCAGAAGACCTTGGGATGACATAGTCAATGTGCTGAAAGCAAAACAATGTCCACTAAAAATTATATATGCAGCAAAACTATCCTTTAAAAATGAAGGATAAATTAAGATATTCCCAGATAACCAAGAACTGAGAGAATTCATTACTAGCAAACCTACTATGAGGGATACTAAAGATAGTTTTTCAGGCAGAAATGAAAAGACATAAGACAATAACCTAAGATCCACATGAAGAAATAAAGAGGACCAGTAAATTTAACTACATAGGTAAATATAAAAGGCATTATAAATGTATTTTTTGTTTGTAACTACTTTTTATTTTCTACATGATTTACAAGACAACCACATAAAGCAATCATTACAAATCTATGTTGATGGGTACACAATGTACAAAGTTGTAACTTGTGATAATAACAGAATAACATGGGGGGAGGATGGAGCTTTATAAGAGTAAACTTTGTGTATATTATTGAAAATAATTGGTGTTAGGCCAGATGCAAGGGCTCACACCTCTAATCCCAGCACTTTGGGAGGCGAAGGCAGGTGGATCACCTGAGGTCGAGAGTTCAAGACCAGCCTGGCCAACATAGTGAAACCCCATCTCTATTGAAAATACAAAAATTAGCCTGTGTGGTGGCACATGCCTGTAATCCCAGCTACTCAGGAGGCTGAGGCACGAGAATCACTTGAACCTAGGAGGCAGAGGTTGCAGTGAGCTGAGATCTTGCCACTGCTCTTCAGCCTGGGCAACAGAGTGACACTCCATCTCAAAAAAAAAAAAAAAAAGTAATTGGCATTAAATTAAAGTAGACTGTTATAAATTAAGATGTTACTGATAATCCCCAGGGCAAGCACTAAGAAAATAACTGAAAAACATATGATAAAAGAAAGAACAAGAGCCAGGTGTGGTAGTGCATGCCTGTAGTCCCAGCCACTCAAGAGGTTAAGGCAGGAAGATCACTTAAGCCCAGGGGTTCAAGGCCAGCCTAGGAAACATAGCAGGGCCCCATATCTTAAAAAAGAAAAGAAATACTAAGTGAATTAAAATGATACACTAGAAAATACCTATTTAACACAGAAGAAAGCAGTAATGATGGAGTTGAGGGACAAAAAAAAAGACATAACATATAGAAAATAAATAGCAGTATGGCAGAGGTAAGTTCTTCCTTACCAGTAATTATATTAAATGTAAATAGATAAAGCTCTCTAAGACAGAGACTAGCACAATGAATATTTAAAATATGGTGTAATTACATGCTATCTGCAGAGACTCACTTCAGATTCAAAGATTTTTAAAGTTTTAAAGTAAAAGGATGGATAAAGACATTTCATGCAAACAGTAATAAAAAAATAGTTGGAGTGGCTACACCTATCAGGTAAAATAGACTCTAAGACAAATATTGTTACTAGAGACAAAGAAGGACATGATAGACATGATATAATGATTAAAAAGGTAACTATATCAAAAAGATATAACAATTATAAACATATATGCACCCAATAGCAGAGCCTCATAAGATATGAAGCAAAAACTGACAGAATTGAAGGGAGAAGCAGATAGTTCTCAAATAATAGTTGTAGGCTCTAATATTCAACTTTCACTAATATTAGAACTAGACAGAAGTTCATTAAGAAAATAGAAGCCTTAGCCAATACTATATGCCAACTCAAGGTAACAGACATCAGTAGAACACTCAATGACAGCAAAATATATATTCATTTTATAAGCATATGGAACATTTTCCAAGATACATCATCTGTTAGGCCATAAAACAAGTCTCAATAAGTTTTAAAAAGATTTAAGTTAAACAAAGTGTATTCTCAGGCCACAACAAAATAAAATGATAAATTAATAACAAATGAAAATTTGGAAAATTTACAAATATGTGACAATTAAACAATACACTCTTAAATAATCAATAGATCAAAGAAGAAATCACAAGAGAAATTAGAAAATACTTCAAGGCGAACAAAATGAAAACACAATATACCAAAATTTATGGGATACAGTAAAAGCAGTATTCAGAAGGATATTTATAACTATAAAGACCCACATGTAAAAAGAAGAAAGATCTCAAAGACAGTAAGAACTGAAGTAATGATCAGACTGCTACCAAGGTCCCAGACTGACTACTGGGCTGCACGCACATAGGTCAGATCTCAATAGCACTACAAAGACTTTGAAAACTGAACTGGCATTGGAATCACAGTCCACAGAAAGCATGTCAGAACTTGCAGCCTGAAACTAACCAGGTTGATCACCTGCTAAAACAAAACAAATCAACATTCTCCATGAAAATTAAACAAGATTCAGAGTCATGTGGTATAATATTCAAAATGTCAGGCTACAATCCAAAATCATTTGGAGTATGCAGAATATAGAAAATCTCAACTCACCTGGGGAAAAAAGACAATCAGTAAATGTCAATGTCAAGATAACACAGATGTTGAAATTATCTGACAAAGGCTTTAAAGCAGCTATTAGGAAAATGCTTTAACAAAATTGCAAAGGCTCTGGAAACTAATAGAAAACTAGAAAGTCTCAGAGAAAGAATAGAAGATATTAAGAAAATTCAAAGAAAATTTTACCAAAAAATAAAGTAAGTGCAATGAAAAATTCATTGGATAGGCTCAATAGCAAAACAGGGATTACAGAGGAGAGAGTAAACTTGAAGATATTACAACAGAAAATTACTCAATTTGAACAAGAGAGTAAATGGGCTAAAGAAAAAGCCCAAAGCCTCAGAGAAGTGTGGGGCAATAACAAAAGGTATAACATTTGTATTATAAGAGTCCCAGAAGAGAAAGAGCATGATGCAGAGAAACTACTTGAAGAAATCACTGAAAACCTCCCAAGTTTGATCAAAGACGTAAACCCACAGATTAAATAAATGTAGAGAATGCTAAACAGGACTAACTCAAATGAATCCATATCAAATGAAGGGCCACAAACTAAAGACAGAGGGAAAAAAATTGACAGCAAAGAAAAAAATTGACCAGAGAAAAATGATACATTACTTACTGGAGAACAGTGATTTGAATGATGGCAGATTTCTCATCAGAAACCTTGGAGGTCAGAAGGAAGTAGCACTATGTTTTTAATTTTAAATTTTATTTATTTTTTGAGCCGAGGTCTCCTGTGTTGCCCAGACTGAACTCAAACACCTGGGCTCAAGCAACCCTCCCACCACAACCTCCCGAGTAGCTGGGATTACAGGCACAGGTCACCATGGCCTGCATTATGTTTTTAAAGTGCTGAAAGAAAAAAATGATCAACCCAGAATTACATACTCAACAAAAACATTCTTCAAAAATGAAAGTGAAAAAAAAAATCAGACAAAGAATTCATTGCTAGCAGACCAATTCTAAAAGAATAACTATAGGAAATTCTTCAGACAGAAGGAAATGATACCAGAATTGAACTTGGAACATCAAAAATGAAAGAAGAGCATCAGAAATAATAAATATGTTGATAAACATAAAGATGAGTCTTCTCTTTCTGAGTTCTTTAAAGTATATTTGACAGTCAAAAGCAAAAATTGCCATACTGTCTGATGGCATTTTCAATATATGTGGATACAATATATGACAACTGCAGCACAAAGGGCTATGGGAAAGGGACCTGTATGGTAGTAATGTTCCTACATTCAAATTGAAGTGGTAAAATACTGATGCTATGTATACTGTGAAATGTTGCTATCTATTTGTAATCCCTAAAACAACCACTGTAAAATGTATAGTAAATGCTGTGGTCACTTCCCACCTCATTTCCTGAGGCCATCATCACCATGATACCAAAACCAGACAAAGACAATTGAAAAAAGAAAACTACAGACCAATATTCCTCATGAACATAGACACAAAAATTCACAACAAAATACTAGCAAATTGAGTCTAGCCACGATCAGGTAGTTTATCCCAGGAATAAAAGGCTAGGTCAATATTTGAAAACAATCAATGTAATCCACCATATTAATGATTTAAAGGAAAAAACCCTATATGTTTCTAGCAATCGGTGCAGAAAAAGCATTTGATGAAATTCAACATCATGATGATAAAAATACATTTTATAAAAGTCTCTCAGCAAACTAAGAACAGAAGAGAACCTCCTTAATCTGACAAATGGCATTTACATAAAATCTATAGCTAACATGGTGAAAGACAGACTGCTTTCTCCCTAAAACTGGGAACAAGGAAGGATGGCCACTCTCACCACTTCAACAGTGTACTGGAAGTCTTAGGCCATGCAATAAGGCAAGGAAAAAAAGTCTTCTGTCTTGGAGAGAAATACATAAATACATAAAACCATTCCTATTTATAGATGATTATCTATGTAGAAAATCACATAAAATCTTTAAAAAACAAAATGAAACAAATGAAAACGTCCTAGAATTAATAAGTGAATTTAACAAGGCTACAGAGTACAAAGTCAACAAAAATTAATCTTATTTCTATATACCATCAGTGTGTAATTGAACATTGGAATTTTTAAAATAATACCATTCTCACAGAGCTCCAACAAAAATGAAATACTTAGGTATAAATCTCGTAAAATACGTATGGGATCTATATGCAGAAAACTACAAAGTGCTGATGAAAGAAATCAAAGATCACTTAAATAAATGGGAGGATATACCATATTCATGTATTGGAAGACTCAACGTGGCACAGATGTCAGTTCTCCCCAAGTTTATCTGTAGATTTAACACAATACCAATCAAAATCCCAGCAGGATATTTTGTAGATATAGGTCAACTGTTGTTGTTGTTGTTGTTGTTGTTGTTGTTGTTGTTGTTGCTGCTGCTGCTGTTGTTATAGACGAAGTCTCCCTATGTTTCCCAGGCTGGTCTCAAACTCCTGAGCTCAAGCAATCCTCCTACCTCAGTCTCCCGAAGCACTGGGATTGTAGGCATGAGCCACTGTGCCCAGCTATGTCAACTTATTTTGAAAATTAAATGGAAAGGCCAAGGAACTAGACTATGTAAAACAATTTTGAAAAAGAAGAATAACATTAGAGGAATCACACTATCCAGTTTTAAGGCTTACTGTGAAGCTACAGTAATGAAGACAGTGTGGTCTTGGTGAAGGGTCCAACACATACATAAATGGAACAGAATAAAGAGTCCGGGAGTAGATCTACCCAAATAGAGATAATTGATTTCTTTCCCCAAAGGTGCAAAACTAATTCAACGACGAATGGATCATCTTTTCAACTAATGGTGTTAGGACAGTTTGACATTCTTATGCAAAAAATGATCTCAACACATACAAAAATTAACTAAAAATGGATCATAGATCTAAACATAAAACACAAAACTATAAAATGTTTGGAAGAAAACATAAGAGAAAATCTTCACAACTTGGGAATAGACAAAGGATTCTTCAATGCAACACCAAAAGCATAATCATGTCAATCATATATCTGACAAAAGACTTTTATACAAAATATCTAAAGAACTCTAAAACCCATAATATGGAAAAAATGGCCCAATAAAAAAATGAGCTAAGGATTAGACTAGACACACCAGAGAGGACATAAGGTTGTTAAATATGTACATAAAAAGATGCTCAACATCATTAGCTATCAGTGAAATGAAAATTAAAACCAGAATGAGATATATCTACACACCGAATACAAGAGCTAAAAATAAAAAAAATTAAAAATAACAATAGCCAAGAAGGATGCTGAGCAACTGGAATTTGCATACACTGCTAGTAGGAATAAAAAATTGTACAGCCACTCTGAAAAATGGTTGGGCAGTTGCTTATAAAGTTAAACATACATTTACCCTATGAATCAGCAATCTCGGCTATTTAACTCCTAGGTATTTATCCTACAGAAATGAAAACATGTTCACACAAAACCTGTACATGAATGTTTATAGCAGCTCTTTTCATACTTGCCAAATAATGGAAACAACCCAAATGTCCTTCAACAGGTGCTGTGGCACATCCATATTAGAAATATATCTTTGCCAGGCTTGGTGGCTCATGCCTGTAATCCCAGCACTTTGGGAGGCTAAGGCAGGTGGATCACCTGAGGTCAGGAGTTCGAGGCCAGCCTGGCCAACATGGCAAAACCCCGTCTCTACTAAAAATACAAAAATTAGTCAGGCATGGTGGCGGGCGCCTGTGATCCCAGCTACTTGGGAGGCTGAGGCAGGAGAATCGCTTGAACCTGGGAGACAGAGGTTGCAGTGAGCGGAAATTGCGCCACTGTACTCTAGTCTGGGCAACAGAGCAAGACTCCGTCTCAAAAAAAAAAGAAAAGAAAAGAAAAGAAATCTTTAAGAGAGCATCAACCTTAATTAAAGGGAAAGCCAAGTGAATTACTTGGATCTGGAATGCTTCTGTATTCTGTAATGTGCTGAAAAATATTTTTCACTCTGTGCTGAAAGGAAAGCTGGATTAAGACTTAGAAAGCTACACAAATAACTTCTTTGCTGATTAATCATATCTCACTATGAGCTCTATCATGCATGATGGATTCTCTTGTGTTTTTATGCCATTCAATGTGTAAATAGATGTGGGGCTCTTGTCAAATTGATTCCTAGATAGCCTTTCTCTGTCTGAAATGGAAACCACTCTTTGTGTGGGTGTCAAGGTTTGTGAAACATGTTTTAAATAATTATGGGAAGTCACCAACCATGGTTAACAAAGGAGATAGATCCTCATTTATTTGTCCTTTATGTTAATCATTTCAGATGTAAGTGAACTTAAACTCATTTTTATCTTTCTTCTTTCATACGTACTATAAAACTCAATGCAACTTCCCATCGTTTGGCATAGCTGTTTAAAATTTGCTGTATCCACGTTGTAGCTGTTCACAAGCTCCAAACAAGCAACTGACAATTTCTCTGAACCCAGGGCACATCATTAAGCATTGTTTCTTCCACAGCTTCAATGAAGGGAGCAGCAGTAGGGATGGGAGATTTGAGACACCAAAAAAGGAGCTTGGTAACTGATTCAATGCAGAGGGGAGGGGAGAGGAGAGAAGTGAGGGGAGGGAGTTAGTATAAGGGAGACCAAAGAATCCAATGACTTTGAGGTTTGTTTTTCATATATGAGTGGCTGAGAGTGCTGTTATCTGAATTAGGTAATAAAGGGGAAAATAGGTAAAACTATAAAAGATTTGAAAGGAAAGATATTCATCTTCATTTCACCAGTGTATTTATTTAGAAAAGTTTGCACAGCGGCAATATCTCTTACTGTATGTTTGTAAAGGAACTCAAGTTTGACTAGGGCAATGTGGGGTTTTTTTTGATACAAAAGGAATAATCAGGGTAATAGAACTGAACGGAGTAGGGAGCCTTTATTTATTTATTTATTTATTTATTTATTTATTTATTTTTTGAGATGGAGTCTCGCTCTGTCATCCAGGCTGGAGTGCAGTGGTGCGATCTCGGCTCACTGCAACCTCCGCCTCCTGGGTGCAAGCAATTCTCGTGCCTCAGCCTCCCAAGTAGCTGGGATTACAGGCACACACCACTGTGCCCAGCTAAGTTTTGTGTTTTCAGTAGAGACAGGGTTTCACCATATTGGCCAGGCTGGTCTTGAACTCCTGGCCTCAGGTGATCCACCCGCCTTGGCCTCCCAAAGTGCTGGGATTACAGGTGTGAGCCACTGCGTGCGGCCAGGAGCCATTATTTTTAATGAAGAACACCAAGTCTTACTCAGAAGTAATGGAAAGTTAATAGTGAAAAATTCTTCTGTTGGTCTCTGAAATGCAAGAGGAGAGAGAACCCTTAGAACCTACAGTGCCTGTGATACAGAGGCTTTAAAAAAAGGAAGCCAGGACTTCTCATACATGGTGAATTTGGTCCTCCCTGGTGGCAAACGTCCAGGAAGCCAGACCCTTCCTGCTCAAATGATGTGGTTTCCTATAGTACATATAAATAGTTCTCACCCCAAGAAAAGAGTTAAGAATAGAAGCCAAGGAACCACACATACAAACACAGACACATCAGAGCACAGTTGTCAATGTGGTCAACAGAAGAGTGGCATTAGCAAAAAAAAAACTCTGGGAGGTGGGGCAAGGTAGCCACAGAAGCAGCAGGGTGGGGGTGGAGTTCAGGAGATGCAGTCAAGCACAGAGCTGACTTAGCGATGCAAACAGTGGCAGGCAATCTGCTCAGAAGACAAAAGAGCGGGGTGGCTGACCACCGTGAAATGGATGGATAAGAGGAGAGCCAGCAGTACGAGTGAGGACATGTATAAGGATGTGCAGAGAAGGTAGCAAAGACCTTCGTAGGTCATACAGACTGCAATGCAAGCCAAGTCTCCCTATGTTTTTAAGAAAGCTGGGAGAAAATAAAAGAATAATGGAATCAGACCTAAGTGTTTGCCATCACACAGGGATGAACCAGCCAGAACACAGTAGCCAGGACTCCTAGCTCCATCCTGGGGACAAATTCAACTTTTAGAAAGCAATCCTCAATCCTGGGCATACCTTGCCTCTTAGAGTTAAATTCCTATTGAAATAATTCATACTGTATGTAGTAAAATATAAAACAAAGTCTGTACCAGTGGATTTTAGGCCAGGCAACATTATGGTTTCATAGGCTGTTGCCCGATCTTCTAAGAACTGAAAAAAAAAAAACTAATAGCAGGCATTTATAATCTCCCATGCTCTTTTTTGTGTGTAACCTTAAGGAAATACTAATTATTAAATATAAAGAATAATTTAAAGTTTTTGGTATTCTTCAGACAATTAAATCACCTACTATCCTTTAAGCAAACTATCTGATAATCTGAACTTAATTATTAACAGTTTATTTTCTGAATCCCTTGAACCTCAATAAGGATTTTAATTTTATTTATTTTGTTATAACCATTCACTGCTGACAGCCATAGTCAAAGCTCTAAAAACTAAGCACTAGTAGCTTCTGTTATTACTACAGGCAGCATGATGTACCAGCTAAGAGACAGGCACCGGAGTGAGTGCTGGAGCTAGGCTGCGTGTGCTCAAATTCCTGCTCCACTGCTTCCTACCTTTGGGGAAATTACTTATACGCTCCATGACTTAATTTCCTCACCTGTAAAATGGAGATGATAATAATAGACCTACTTCCAAGGACTGTTCTGAAGATTAAATAAGCCTAGGATTGAACCTCAGTAAGTACCTGTTAGTGAGAACATTATGCTCTTAGAACAATGACTGAGCAGTAAGTACTATATGCATTAATTATTTATTTCCATTATTTTCTGGTGGCTCCTCATGGTAATTCGAGTAGTCATGTTAGGGGATTGTGAAGCTTGTAAATATACTCAAACAGTTCCATATGTATTAAAATTCTGAAAAATCACATAGCAATGACATTATCTTTTGATTTTTAATATCCACTTAATCTCAGTTTAATAAATCTATCCCTTTATATTCACCAGAGTTGAAAATATGTCAATGAGGTTGGAAGAAATCAATGAAAGAGAAACTTTTATGAAAACTTCCCTGCAGACTGTTGACCTTCGACTTGCTCAGCTAGAAGAATTATCTAACAGAATGGTGAATGCTCTTGAAAATCTTGCGGGAATCGACAGGTCTGACCTGATCCAGGCACGGTCCCGGGCTTCTTCTGAATGTGAGGCAACGTATCTTCTCCGGCAAAGCAGCATCAATAGCGCTGATGGCTACAGCTTGTATCGATATCATTTTAACGGAGAAGAGTTATTATTTGAGGATACATCTCTCTCCACGTCACCAGGGACAGGAGTCAGGAAAAAAACCTGTTCCTTCCGTATAAAGGAAGAGAAGGACGTGAAAACGCACCTAGTCCCAGAATGTCAGAACAGTCTTCACCTTTCACTGGGCACAAGCACATCAGCAACCCCAGATGGCAGTCACCTTGCAGTAGATGACTTAAAGAACGCTGAAGAGTCAAAATTAGGTCCAGATATTGGGATTTCAAAGGAAGATGATGAAAGACAGACAGACTCTAAAAAAGAAGAAACTATTTCCCCAAGTTTAAATAAAACAGATGTGATACATGGACAGGACAAATCAGATGTTCAAAACACTCAGCTAACAGTGGAAACGACAAATATAGAAGGCACTATTTCCTATCCCCTGGAAGAAACCAAAATTACACGCTATTTCCCCGATGAAACGATCAATGCTTGTAAAACAATGAAGTCCAGAAGCTTCGTCTATTCCCGGGGAAGAAAGCTGGTCGGTGGGGTTAACCAGGATGTAGAGTACAGTTCAATCACGGACCAGCAATTGACGACGGAATGGCAATGCCAAGTTCAAAAGATCACGCGCTCTCATAGCACAGATATTCCTTACATTGTGTCGGAAGCTGCAGTGCAAGCTGAGCATAAAGAGCAGTTTGCAGATATGCAAGATGAACACCATGTCGCTGAAGCAATTCCTCGAATCCCTCGCTTGTCCCTAACCATTACTGACAGAAATGGGATGGAAAACTTACTGTCTGTGAAGCCAGATCAAACTTTGGGATTCCCATCTCTCAGGTCAAAAAGTTTACATGGACATCCTAGGAATGTGAAATCCATTCAGGGAAAGTTAGACAGATCTGGACATGCCAGTAGTGTAAGCAGCTTAGTAATTGTGTCTGGAATGACAGCAGAAGAAAAAAAGGTTAAGAAAGAGAAAGCTTCCACAGAAACTGAATGCTAGTCTGTTTTGTTTCTTTAATTTTTTTTTTTAACAGTCAGAACCACTAATGGGTGTCATCTTGGCCATCTAAACATCATCAATTTCTAAAAACATTTTCCTTAAAAAATTTTGGAAATTCAGACTTGATTTACAATTTAATGCACTAAAAGTAGTATTTTGTTAGCATATGTTAGTAGGCTTAGTTTTTTCAGTTGCAGTAGTATCAAATGAAAGTGATGATACTGTAACGAAGATAAATTGGCTAATCAGTATACAAGATTATACAATCTCTTTATTACTGAGGGCCACCAAATAGCCTAGGAAGTGCCCTCGAGCACTGAAGTCACCATTAGGTCACTTAAGAAGTAAGCAACTAGCTGGGCACAGTGGCTCATGCCTGTAATCCTAGCACTTTGGGAGGCCAAGGCAGAAAGATAGCTTGAGTCCAGGAGTTTGAGACCAGCCTGGGCAACATAGTGATACCCCATCTCTTAAAAAAAAAAAAAAAAGTAAGCAACTGTGTAAGAAAGAGAAACTAAAGAGAAAGCAAACATGAAAAAAGGGAGGGGTGGAAAGAAGAAAAATAAAATTATGAGGCACAATAAGTGGGAAGGAGCCACAAATATGTTTTTATGGGGTCTTTGTTTTCTGTTTTAATGTTTTATTTTAAACTACACAATGGGAAAAAAAGTACACAATTATATCAAACATCATACTCTAATAATTTAGGGTGACCTAGAGTTTTGTTAATGTGCAAAAATAAAGTATCCAATATGCATTTTCTTCTTGTCATAGAGTCCTTAATAGCAAATACAAATTAGTTGTACCTGTCTATGCAATGCTTTGTACAAAGCTGTAGCTAAAACCTAAAGGATATATGTTCACAAGTCACAGAGACTGCTCTTAGCTGAGAATACCAGGTGTTGTGCTTCACCTCAAAGTTCAAACAAATACCCACAAGAGTAATAGGACCCCCATGCGAGGCTTCCAAGAGGGGCCTCTGTCTAGGAACCCTGAAGGCCACCCCACCATCACCACTCTTAACTATACAAAAAGAAACAGAGGTGGCAGAAAGGGGTCTTCTCCGGCTAGAGCAGAAGTTAGAGTTAGACTCTAGCCCCTCACCATCCCCCAAGAGAACCTCAGGGTACTCAGATCTCAGGAGGTCTCTGATGCACAGAGAGAGGGCCAGCCTCGAGTTACTGGCAGCTGATACATCATGAAGCAAAGTGCCTCATACCCAGAAAGGACCACTGGGTAGAGTAACCAGGAATTGGTGGTGGTAGGGTTGGGAGATGTGTCAGACAGAAATGGGTGATGATCACAAAAAATGAGACCGCCATCCCCATTCTCATCTGAGGTGTAGATTGTAGCACTGCCAGAAACTGGCAAAGGAGTACAGAAAGAGACAGAAAGACAGAAACACACAGAGGGAGACCCAGAAACAGATAGAGGAAGATTGTAGCCTGTTCTACAACAGAGGCTCATTGCAGTTATGCCAAAGGTAGTGATCAGAGGTGACAATACCAAAATGTGATTTTGCATCTTTTTCCTCAAAATACGACTGAGATTGTAATAGTCAGATTAGAACTCTTGAACTGGGCTGAATTTATCAAAAAAGACTGATATACCATTGCCTGGGTTGTGGGGTAGGGCTTTAATATTTCAAAAGTGATAACATTTATTTAACATAAACTATTACTTATTTGCATATTGCTATATTAAGACTATTTAATCTATCCTGCCACATGTGTTTATTTGACTCAATACTTAACCTATTACATTTTATCTCACTCCTAAGTCTTTCCTTTGAGTGTCAAAAAACTTTCGGCCTTTTACCATATCCTAGAAAAGAGATTTCTCAGAATAAGCTGGGGAATCTATAACACCTCAGCAGAGCTGGTCTGCAGAAGATAAAGCCTGTCTTTGGAATTCTCCCCATATCTTCATTACACAGTCTCCCTTTACCAAGGTCCATCCCACCGTGCCTCAGGTGTGGGACTCAAGTTCCATTTCCTTAAGTCTCACTAAGATCTGTGACTCCTGTCTTATGCCAAGGTGTCAGCTGATGTAGGATTTTCTAAGCATGTTTGTCTTACGGATCCAAATGGATGAATTCTAACAGTGTGATTTCAGAACCTGTGACTGGGCTGACTATTCTTGAGACCTTTCTTGTATACCTTAAATCATACCATATAGTTGATTAGTACTTTACCAACCCAGCACAACTCAAATATTGACAGTGTTCTATGTAGGACACAATGCCAGACCGCTTGGTATTACATTATTAATGATTACATTATTATTCCCAATGTCATTACAATTTTGTCTAAATATGGACAACCAAATATTGAGAACTAATACCCAATCTAATCAAATCTAGCAGTATTTAATACATTAAAATAAGAATACTGCATATGGTCAAATCATTTAATATAGAACTATCAGTAAATGAATAAGAATTACATTTCTGTGCTATGTAAAACATAGTAACATAAGAAGGCTTTTATTATTTTATCCCCAAAACTCTGGCATACTCATAAATGAGTTCTAATATATTATTTGGTATAAATTAAGCTTGTTTTGGACTTTGATCAATGGCAATCAAGACTTGAACTATCAAAGGACCTCATAATATGTGGCTCTCTCCTTTAAGGCTGTTTGACTGCTTACATTCTGAATACATATATATGCTTCATCATCATGAGGTTCCTATAGTCTTCCATAGTTTAGGTTTTAAAATCTAAAAATCAAACTGTCAATGTTGTCATATAGTTATTCAACACCAAAAATGCATTTTTGCTAAATATATATTAGAAATAAAGTGAAATGAAATCATCTTACTACCTCCTACACACAAAAAAAGACTTTTAAAGGTTTTATCTTAAGATAAAAATGCAGAAAATCACACAAAATAAATAACTGACTTAATTAATTATTGTAAGCTGAATATCCTTGTAACCACCACTCAGATTAATAGAGTTTTCCAGCTACTCCAAAAGTCTCAGAAGTCCCTATCTCAACCACCTCTGTTCCCTGAAAAGTAACTATATTTTTATAGTAATCCTTTCCTTGCTGTTCCAGTTACTATCACTGTATTATTAATACAAGTGACTCCAAAACTGGGTGGCTTAAAATACCCATTTGATTATGCTCATGGATTCCGTGGGTCAGAAATTCAGACAGGCGCAGCAGGAATGCCCCTGATTTGCAGTGTTTGCCGATTTCCATGGTGTAAGTACTCCTACCATGGCCAACTTCAAGCTACGGCATCACTGAATATGGAGTTAGGAAGACATACTGACAATTGGTTCTTGCAAGCCAGTACAGGCTGGCTATAGCACACTACTGTCTACTCCATGATATTTGGGGCCTCAGCTGGGAAGACTCACTGTCTAGAGGGAATTCAACAGCTGGAGGCTGGGATTATCTAGATATGTCTTTATTCACATGTCTGAAAATGGATAATGGCTCTCAACTGGGATCTCAATCTCAGTATAGAGCACATACACATGCCTCTCCAAGCAGCCTGGGCTTCCTCACAGCATGGCAGCCGCAGAGAAACTGGATTTCCTATATGATGGTTCAGGGCTCCAGAAGTGAGTGTCCCATTGAGCAAGGAGGAAATATCCCTTTTTATGGCCAATCCTCAGAAGTCTTGCAGAGTCACTAAGGCCAGCTCGGATTCGAGGGTAGGGGTCATATAGAGGGGAATGTTTAAAAAATTTGCAGATATGTTTTTTGTTTTTTTTTTTTTTTTTTGAGACGGAGTCTCGTTTTGTCGCCCAGGCTGGAGTGCTGTGGCGCGATCTCCGCTGGCTGCAAGCTCCGCCTTCCGGGTTCACACCATTCTCCTGCCTCAGCCTCCCGAGTAGCTGGGACTACAGGCGCCCGCCACTGCGCCTGGCTAATTTTTTGTATTTTTAGTGGAGACGGGGTTTCATTTCACCGTGGTCTCGATCTCCTGACCTCGTGATCCACCCGCCTCGGCCTCCCAAAGTGCTGGGATTAGAGGCGTGAACCACCGCACCCGGCCTGCAGATATGTTTTAAAATCACTATACTTGTATTTCATTATAGTTGTATCACTTGAATGTTCCTTAGCACTATAGTTTAGCCTTACTCTTTTTTATTTGAAGGTCTTTTAAATCTCTTTTAATCTGGTATTACCTTTCTCTCTTTCTCTTCCTTAACAATTTCTTTGTTGAAGAACATGGGCCACTTGTCTTGCAAAGTTTCCCACAGTCTAAACTTTACTTATTGAACGCTCATAGGCAGTTTGACATATTCTGCTGTTTCTGCAGGTTGGCAAGAGGAGTCAGAGGCTTATTCAGGCTTAGGTCTGATCCCTTTGGCAAGACTCCTTAGATGGTGTAGCTTCTTTCTAAGACACAAGGAGGCACATGTGTCTACTTGTCTCTCTTTTTGTGATGTCAGCAACTGTTGATACTCAATGCCTAGATCACTTAATTTATAGAGGGTTGAAAATTGTAATACTCAAATTCTATTATTTATAAAGAGATTATTCTTTTCACCTACTACTTGATTACACAGTGGTATAGTTCATACTACACAGCAGAAATAATGACTGATTGATTTTTCCCATTTGCCAGTTTTAAAAATAATGAATTGGTTCTCTACCATCCTCCAAAGGATGAAGGTGGTCTACAGGCCAGGCAGAGAGCCCTCACCAGAACCTTTACCTTGCTGGTATCTTGGTCTTACACTTCCCAGCCTCTGGAACTGTGAGAAAGAAATTTCTGTTCTTTAAGCCAGAGTCTGTGTACTTTGTTATAGCAGCATGAGCACACTAATACAACTAGACATCTGGAAAATGTGACATTTCAGTCAATAACAAATCTGGAAATCAGAGTTTTTCCAGGTGACTGATAGTTTAGTTTATTTAAACACCATTATGACTTCATGGATTTAAATATATGTGATGTATTTTAATCCATTGTAATTTTTTGGTTTTTGGGTTTTTCTTTTTTTTTTTTTTGAGCCACAGTCTCACTCTGTTGCCCAGGCTGGAGTGCAATGTCGTGATCTCAGCTCACTCCAACCTCTGCCTCCCAGGTTCGAGTGATTCTCTTGTCTCGGCCTCCAAAGTAGCTGGGATTACAGGCATGTGCCACCACGCCTGGCTAAATTTTTGTATTTTTAGTAGAGACGGGGTTTCTCCATTTTGGCCAGGCTGGTCTCGAACTCCTGACCTCAGATGATCCACCCACCTCGGCCTCCCAAAGTGCTGGGATTACAGGCTTGAGCGCTCGGCCATAATTATTATTCTCTCACATTTTCTTTCCATGAGTACCTTAAATATGTTACTCCATTTTCTTCTGGCATAATGCATTGCTGCCAAAACGTCTGGTAATATCTAATTTCCTTTCATCTGAAAGTCACTTGCTTTTTTTGTCTAAATATCCAAAGAAATTTTCATTGTTGTTTCTTCAAGGCCCAGTAGGTTTAGAAGAATGTGTCTTAGTGCTGGTAAGCCCAGATCAATGTTCTCAGGTGCAATGTGTTCTTTCAATATGCAGTTTCAAATATTTTCTTTTAATTTCAGGTAAGTTTTCTTAAACTACAGTTTGTAGTATTTGTTCTGTTTCCTTATCTCCTCCCTCTTTTTGTTTCCCCCAGGAACTCCTATTATCTATTTGTTAGTTCTCCTTTGCCTGTTTTCAATATCTAGACTTTCTTTCTAATCTGTTTAACTTCCTTCATTGATTTTTGATTTTTTAGAATTTTTCTCCTTTTCATCTTCTCTTAAAGAATAATCAATTGTGTTTATTCATCCTTGGGTTTCTTTTATTCTTAATTTCAGATTCTGATTTCTGATTCTATTTTGAATTTATTCATTTCATTTTGAATGTTTCTAGTTCTGATTTACATAGTTCTTTTCATGTTTCATATCATTTTCTTAGTATCTTTTGGCTCATTGTGAAATAGTGGATGTTAGTTTTTATCTGTTTTGTGGGCATCCTTTCTGGTATGCTTTTATTGTGGATATGAGTGCTATTCTGTTCTTATTGTCTTTCATTACAATAATTTTCTATGTGATTTGACTTCCATACTTTCATGTGATTATTTTTATGTGAAATTGGTTTTCTTGAACTTTTTGAAGGAGGCAGTTTTAAGGATAGTTTTTCTTTTTTCTTTTTTCTTTTTTCTTTTTTTTTTTTTTGTGGTGGAGTCTTGCTCTGTCGCCCAGGCTGGAGTGCAGTGGCACTATCTCGGCTCACTGTAAGCTCCGCCTCCCGGGTTCACGCCATTCTCCTGCCTCAGCCTCCCGAGTAGCTGGGACTACAGGCGCCCACCACCATGCCTGGCTAATTTTTTGTATTTTTAGTAGAGATGGGGATTCACCGTGTTAGCCAGGATGGTCTTGATCTCCTGACTTCGTGATCAGCCTGCCTCGGCCTCCCAAAGTGCTGGGATTACAGGCGTGAGCCACCGTGCCCAGCCTAGTTTTTCTAACTTCATAGAGAACTTCCGTTTTTACTGCTTAGTGTTGTGGGTTTCGTTCTTTTTTATTTGAAAAGTTGGCTTACTTTTGGAGATTTCCTAGTTTTCCATTTTTACCTAGAACTTCTTTTTCCTTTCTCTCTATTGTCTCTATTTAGCTCAATTTTGTTTCCATGCCCAACAGTTTGCCAGCAGTGTAGGTCTCTTTCCTGCAAGGAAGCCTAGTAGATTAGTTTCAAGAGTTCCTGCAGCTACATTACTCCAGCCCCTCCAGACTTTACCAGGAGGCTCGTGCCTTCTCACGTTTTTAGAGAAGGCAAATACCCTTTCCTGTTTCTGCTGCTGTTCTCAACTTGACTGGCTGGACCTTCCAGGGAACACTTTGCAGCTATTTTGGGGTTCTCCAGATGCCTCATTGATTCTCTATGCTGATACCACAAGGGTCTTATTACTTATTATTGCCATATTATTGCTATTGGTTTGTTCCCACGCATTTATATTTTTGAGATCAAGGGGATACCATTTCATTTGGATTTGTTATAGATGTTGTCCTTGGGTTTTGGTTTTGCCATATAGTTGCTTTGTCTGTTTTTATGCAGAGATTGAAAAAGTATGCTGCTGTTGTCATCTTTCCACAATTCTCCCTCAAGAAACAGATGTCTTAAATTACTTAGTAGTCATCTTAAAAGACCACATACTCAAGCCATGGCCTCGTTTTGCAAACATTATGTATAACCACTTCTAACTACTTCCCCTGCTACCACCATCACCTTCTCTTATCTGGACTGTTATAACAGGCCCCAACTGGTCTTCCAAAGGCCACCCTGCTGCACACTACAGCAGTCAAAATGATTATTTTAAAACACAAGTCAGATCATAGCACTCTTACCTCAAAACCTTATAAAATCTTCTCAATTTTTGGGGCCTCTGTGATCTGGCCTGTGTTTCCCTCTGCCCTCCTCCCTGACTGCATTAGGCTGCTTTAGCCACACTGGCCTCAAACACCCCTCGAAGGCGCTCACCTCAAGGCATTTGCACAGCTAATCTTCTCTGTCCCAAATGCTCTTCCTCCTCATGTGTACTTGGCCTTTTCCCTTACTCCTTTTGTCTCTGCTCAAATGTCCTATACTCAGAAAGTCCTTCCCTGACCATATCCAACTCCCCACTGAAAAATGGAACCACCTTTCTCTCACTATGTTTTATTTTTCTTCACAGCACTCATTACCACCTGACATGCTATATATTAATTTTTTATCTTTCTACCGAGAATGAAAATGCCATGAAAGTAGAAACTTTGTCTTAGTGTCCGGAATAGTGCTTGGCACAATGTTAGTACTCAATACAAATTCATGAGTTCACTGAATGAGTGCTGAATGAATATATAAAGTTCCTAGCACCTGATCAGTATTCAAGAAATGTTAGCTTTATTTTTTCTTGATAGGGAAAAGGAAGTGATCTTTAGAGAATGCTACCATTCCCAATGATAGAAGATCCAATAATGGAAACAGAGGTGTAGTCAGAAAAATGGGTGATGGGAGGCCGAGTCCAGCAGTTCACCTGAGGTAAGGAGTTTGAGACCAGCCTGGCCAACATGGTGAAACCCCGTCTCTACTAAAAAAACGCAAAAATTAGCCAGGCGTGGTGGTGGACACCTGTAATCGCAGCTACTTGGGAGGCTGAGGCAGGAGACTCACTTGAACCCGGGAGGCGGAGGTTGCAATGAGCCGTGATTGCGCCACTGCAGTCCAGCCTGGGTGACAGAGCAAGACTCCGCCTCAAAAAAACCAAAACAAAACAAACAACAAACAAAAACAGAAAAATGGGTGAAGCAGGACAAAACAGTGACATTAGAGCCAAAAGCAGGGGGTAGGCAATAACACCAAACATACAGCGTAGTCAAGGGCATCAGGGTCTGAGAAGAGGTTATAAAACTAGTTCTACGGACTGAATTGTGTTCCTCCAAAATGCTAATGTTGAAACCCTAACCCCTGGTATGGCTACATTTGGAGATTTTAGGAGGTAATTAAAGTTAAATAAGGTAGTAAGAGTGGGGCTCTAATCTGATAGGATTAGCGTCCTTACAAGAAGAGACATCAAGAGATCCCAGAGAGCATGTTATATACCCTCCCCGCACTGTGTGAGGACATGGTGAGATGGCAGCCATCTGTAAATCCGGCAGAGAGCCCTCACCTGTCTGCCTGCCACAAGTTAGGCAGATCCCTACCTTGCCAACACCTGGATCTTGGACTTCCTATACTCCAGAATTGTGAGAAATTAATGTCTGCTCTTTAAGCCATCAACCTGTGGTATTTTGTTATGGCAGCCTGAGCAGACTAATACAACCAGATATCTGGGAAATGCCATAAAATTTAGTGTTAAGACAATAATAAATCTGGAAATAGAGTTTTTCCACTTTTCAGTTGTATGGTCACATATTAGAATTGCAGATCCTAAGAAAACCTGTACAGAAAAACCCAAATCACAGAGTCATTTAAGTGTAAAGAAAAAGCCAATTATTGCTTAAAGAGTATTTGTAGAAAATATCCGTTGAATATAGAGGAATAACAGCATATTCATAAAAATTTTTTAAAAAGTGTGCACGACAGTGATTTTAACACTTCTAATCCAATGGAACTAACATTTTAAAGTACAATTATGGCCAGGCACGGTGCCTCATGCCCATAGTCCCGGCTACTTGAGAGGCTAAGGCACGTGGATCACTTGAGCCCAGGAGGTGGAGGCAGCAGTGAGCCCTGATCATGCCACTGCACTTCAGCCCAGGTGATGGTGTGAGACCCTGACTCTAAAAAATACAATTATGGTTACGGTTCTTGGGCAGAGTGGAATTCAAACAGGTTAACCTGAAAGATCAGTAGGGTTCTAAATCCAGGATAAATTATTTTCAGAAAAAGAATAACTTTTTGAATCTTTATTTAAATTGTTAAATGTTCCTGTGAGTAACACTCATCAGCGTGATTGTGACTGGTATGGCTGCATGGAAGCTTCCCTGTGGCATTAATCATAAAATGCTGGATTGGGGTTTGATTCTTCAAGGTATAAGAAGGACCTAGTCTCAAGTAATAGATTCACCAAAATGTAACACCACTAGCCCCCTCCCACCAAAATCTGCTCCAGTCAGAATTACCGTAAGAGCTCAGAAGTGACCTGTGCTTGGCGGCACCGGCCCACTTTCCCAGTGCCGGTTCCTCGCATCCTGGGCGCAGACGGGGTGACCGCCTGACCCCTGGACCCGAGTCACCTTTCCCTGCCCTGAGCTCCTCCTTGAGAGCTTCAAAACAATGCTCGCCCAGGCCGGAGGGCGAAGTCGGCCCATGTGTAAGTCAAGGGAACTGTCCCAGGACTGCAGCCCGGCCAGAAGACGCCCCGCGCCGCCGTCCCAGGCAGCCACCGCTGCCGCCATGGCCCCCGCAGGCCGCCGTAGGCCCCCGCGGGCCGCCTGACCCCTGCGGGCCGCCGTAGAAGGACCCTCCAGAGGCCGCGCTCTTGAGATGGCCGTCGGGCTCCGCTCCCCGCGGCGCCCCGGCTGAGGGCCCGCCAGCGGGCACCTGGCGCCACCGCTGCGTTCCGGCACTAGCACGGGACACGGTCAGGGAGCGGCGGGCCGCGGCCTTGCGCGCGCCGTCTCTCGGGGCGGGGCACCGGGCCCCTTCCGGGGATGGGCCCCGGCGCCCGCGTCGGCCTGGCTGTGCCCGGCCCCTCCCCGCTCGGGCGGGCGCTGCGCCGTGTCCCCGCCCGTCAGTCCGCCCGGCTCGGCTGGCCGCAGAAAGGGCCTGGGCGGCCGCACTGAGAGCTTTACGCCCGGAGGCGTCGGCGCTGCCACTGGCCCGCGACGGGAACGGGGCGAAAAGGCGGCGGCACCATGTTCTCCCTCAAGCCGCCCAAACCCACCTTCAGGTCCTACCTCCTGCCACCGCCCCAGGTAAACAACCCCTCCCCGCGAGCGCCCGACTCTCCTCTGCGCTTCCGTGGAGCCTCCAGGCCGACCCCCGGGAACTGGAGGACCCCAGGAGGCTGCGCGCGTCTCCCTGCCCACAGCAGCGCGGCTGCCTGATTCCCGGCGCCGCGAAATGCGCCTTCTCGGGAGCCCCCACTGGCTCGGCGAAAACTTGTAAAACTCTTCTGCAGCCATTCTCTGCCCGAAGTTCTGTCGTCCGTAGTTTTGCGGAGTGTTGAGGCCCAGGGGAGCCTTGGGAGCTGGGGTTTTCTTTAGTTTCCAACCCATCGACCCTCCCTCCTATGACCGCCAGCATGATTGCAGCGCTTGGGGTCACTGGTCGAGGCGGTTACCCGTCTGTCATAAATGTGAACACCTGGAAGCGACACTGGCAGTTTAAACATTTTTTATTATTAGGCTTCCAAGTCGATAATGAGCAGATCTTAAAAACAGCTCAGTTAATATGCGAAAGAATTTAAATGGGGGGCTGTGTGTCTTTCGCATGTGTCATCACTTAGAAAACAACATTTGCTGTAGCATTTTACGGAGGGTGGGGGGATTGAGATTTTGATTTATTTTGCTAATGTATTTCAGACTGACGATAAGATCAATTCGGAACCGAAGATTAAAAAACTGGAGCCAGTCCTTTTGCCAGGTAAACATTAGTTAGGATTCTAACAGATACTTTAGCAACGTATTTTGGTTTAAGATTATTCTGCCGACTAGTATCATGTGGTTAACTTCCCTTCTCTCATTAAACTTTCTCCAGTTAAAAGTCTAGTGACTGAGAGGAGAAAAAGGAACTGTCAAGAATGTCATTACCTCATTTCCTTTTTTGTCTCCCGAATTTCTTTTTGAAAAGATGTATATGTTTAATTGCTTGGGTAGTAAAAGTACTCTTTGCTGACGTGTTTGCCACTTATTGCATTAATGATTAATCATTTTAATGCATTTTGATAGTATAAAAAGACGCCTTTATTATGTGTGTGTCTCTATACCAATAACAGAGCTTAGTGAACTTTGAATTACTTGCTTGGCAATTGTTTTTTGAAGTTGTCAGCTGTATTTGCAAATTTGCTTGTTTCAGTTTAGAACCAGGCTTTTCCCAGCAGAGACACTTAATTGACATTTGGGGCCAGATAATTCATAGTTGGACGGGCAGGCTGTCCTGTGTATAGCAACAAAGATGGCCTCCACCCACTAGATGCCAGTAGTAGTACCCTTATCCCCCACCACCTAGTTGCGACCTAGTTGCCACACCAAAATGCCACCAGTCATTGCCAATTTTTTTTTGTCCCCTACCTCTGGGGGACAAAAATCTCACAGTTGAGAATCACTGCTTTAGAACAAAATTTGCTATAGGTGACCTTAGAGATGGAAGTAGGGATTGGTGGTAGAAAGGGGTTTGTTTTAGAGCATACAGAATATTGGTATGGTATTTTGAATTGTATAACAATTGTATAATAATTAGGAAAAGTCAGTTGTTTAATGCGATTATTAGGGGAAGTAGCCAGATACTTAGGAAAGCCTGTTTTAAACCTGAAATCGGCCGGGCACGGTGGCTCATGCCTGTAATCCCAGCACTTTGGGAGGCCGAGGCGGGTGGATCACGTGGTCAAGAGACCGAGACCATCCTGGCTAACACGGTGAAACCCCGTCTCTACTAAAAATACAAAAAAAATTAGCCAGGCATGGTGGCGGGCGCCTGTAGTCCCAGCTACTCGGGAGGCTGAGGCAGGAGAATGGCATGAACTCGGGAGGCGGAGCTTGCAGTGAGCCGAGATCCTGCCACTGCAGTCCAGCCTGGGCGGCAGAGTGAGACACCGTCTCAAAAAAAAAAAAAAACCTGAAATCAAATACTAGTTTGTGTGGCTACTATCAGCATTGTAAAATCTGACTCATTACTTAAAGCCAAATCGGTAAAATAATTAGAATTTTGTAGGTAAAAATTGAACAAATGTGGAAACTTTAAAATTTTAAATATTATATAGGGACAAAATATTAAAAACACCAAACTTTGGTTCCATATGAAAGTTTAAAAAGTGTTTTTTAAACTTTACTATGGGAGTCATAAATATTTTCCCTTGATTTTGTTAGTGCTTTTCACTCAACAGTGTGTACTAATTAATCATTTGTACTTTTCCTCAGAGTGAACAGTAGAATTACTAAGTAACCCTTGCTCCCTGTGTGCTCTGTTTTAGTCTTAGTCACTCTGAGCATTTAAAATGCAGGGACGAGGAAACAGTACTCATCTTGAATGAGTGCCTATGAGCTATTGAACTTTGACTTCGTTTACTCTGAACAGGCCTGGTTCTTAGGCTTTGATTCCTCCACTCTGCATACTATGATTTCACACTCAGAAACAACATGGTCTTAGCTGTAAATGTCAGTGCTTGCTTTTTAATTTTTTAAAATTTTTTTTAAATTTTTTTTTTTTTTTTTTTGAGACAGAGTCTCACTCTTACTTGGGCTGGAGTGCAGTGGCGTGATCTCGGCTCACTGCAACCTCTGCCTCCCAGGTTCAAGCGATTCTCCTGCCTCTGTCTCCCAAGTAGCTGGGATTACAGGAGCCCACCACCACACCTGGCTAATTTTTCGTATTTTTAGTAGAAATGGGGTTTCTCCATGTTGGCCAGGCTGGTCTTGAACTCCTGCCCTCAGGTGATCCGCCCGCCTTGGCCTCCCAAAGTGCTGGGATTACAGGCGTGAGCCACTGCGCCTGGCCACTTTTTTAAAATTAGCTTTTAAATTTAAGATATGTGCTAAGAAAAGGTGTTACTAAGTATGCATAAACTTGAAGAACTTTCTCACTGAGGGTTATCAATTCTATAAAATGGCTAAAAGTCAGAGTTTTCTGGGGAAGTTGTAAACCAAGTTTCTGACTGTGCTTTTCTTGTCCCAGAAATGGCAGCTAAATCCGTATTATTTTTAGAGAAATTCTAAAAGAGCTGTAACACTAAGTCTGAACCTTTTAGTTGCCCATTAAGGAATTCTCTGACCTGTGTTAATTTTTATTGCATTGGCGGCCAAATCATAGCTGAAATCTGTACATGCATACATGACGGCTCTATCACCCAGCATTCTGTTTGTACCTGACTTATCCTTACCCAACATTTAGCCGGTCCTGAATTAGGATGTCTTTTGCCCCCTTCCTCTCCCCTTCTGTTCTTACCCTCTCATTCTGGCCTTCCTGCACCCATCCTGGCTGTGTTCTGTCTGGCTGCCCTGTTGTGGTCTCTGTTTCCTGCTTTACCTCGCCTGTCACATCTCTCACTGCTACCATTTGCTCTTTGTTGGCCTGTAGCCTACTGCTCTACCCATGAAATCTGGAAGACAAGTGGAAAGTTACCGAACTATTGGTGATCTAAAGACCTAGACTAGGCTAGAGCTTTTACTAAGAGGGAGTGAATAATATAGTTCTTGCCTTTGTGACTATCAGAATCAATAGAAAACCTGGCCACATCACCTGTGGCTATATACAGGGATGCAGAAGTTATTGTTCAACATGGACACCGGGAGGGGAACATCACACACCGGGGCCTGTCGGGGGTGTTGGGGGTGGGGGATGAGGGAAGGGAGAGCATTAGGACAAATACCTAATGCGTGCGGGGCTTGAAATTCCCGGCGTCATCCCTAGATGACGGGGTTGATGGGTGCAGCAAACCAGCATGGCACGTATATACCTATGTAACAAACCTGCACATTCTGCACATGTATCCCAGAACTTAAAAAAAAAAATAAAAAAAAAAAGAATTAATTGTTAGAGATATGGTATTGCATGCTTTGCTTTGGCATAATGCCTTGGGTCCAAGGGTATCCTACTTCAGTTGCCCAAAGTTTGAACTTCTAATTCAATAAGCAGATGAAAATTAGAACACAAAATGAGTTGTTTATTTGTGTGCTGTCACCATGTGCACTGTTGGAACTTAAGCCTAATTTCAAAATGATCCTCATCTTTTATTAAGTAAAGAAAACAGAAGAAAATGACTAGTAATTTAATTTAGATTGTGGTTTATGTTAGTAATTTTCAGCTTTCCTGATACATGAAACTCTGAGATGGGTATTGTGCCTACTTCAACTTTGTGGTCTTGATGTCTCACAAAGTGCCAGGAATGTGGTAGACACTGAGATGTTTACTGAGGGACTGAACGAAAGGACCTCTCAGACCACCTGGCTTAAACTGTTACCTTACCCAGGCACACACACAGACTAACTTTCAGATTTAGGAGTAAAGGGAAGACTGTGTTATTTTATGCCAGACATTTCAAGAGATTTATGTCGGAGCCTGGAATTGAAATAGAGTACTCTGTCAAAGTAGTCAGCTTTTGTGTAGGCTTTCTCTTTATCTTCCTCTCATTATGTGAATTTCATTCTTTCAGTGATTATATTGTATATGTGTAAAATCACTCCAATACTTGAAAACTGAGTTTGACTTTTAAAGTGTGTGTGTGTATATATGTTTGTGTTCCAGTATATATTTGTTAAGAGCATGTAATGCCAGACTCTGTCCTGTTTAGCTGCTGGACTGGTGGATCGGTTCGGTGAGGATGTGAGTATCTCCTGGGTGCCAGGTCTGTCCTGGATAGCGAGAATGCTGGAGGTGTCATGTGCCTGTATCGCAGAAAGGCGTGGGGTGAGCCCTAAGCTGCCTGTTGACAAGGTAGAAGACTGTGACCTGGATCACTGGTACCCAGATTCCAGCCAGGGCCTGGTATCAGATTTGGATGAAGTTTTTACCAGCCCTTGGTCAAAGTGAGAAAATTAAGAAAAGTGCAGTTTTCTTTAATAAAGATAAATTTATTTGATTTAAAAGATTGTCTTTTATTCTGAGATTATGTTCTTCTAACTTACTTGGAATAGATACTTTTTTTGTTAAATGTTGGTGATAATAGCTGTAGCTTTAAAAAAGTTTTTAAGTTAACAAAATTAAAAAGTTAAAAACTCTTTATTGGTCCTTTAAATTAGTTTTGCACTATACCTGGTTTGGAATCTAAACTAGAACCTACTAGATGAGATTATTATAATACTATAGATACAATTTTGTGAGCACTCACACAGAGAACATTAATTATTTTGTCTGCCTAGGAGTACTGCCATTTTTTTGTTTGTGTTTTGAGACAGGGTCTCGCTCTGTCACCCAGTTTGGACTGTAGTGGTGTGATCACGGCTTACTGCAGCTTCAACCTCCTGGGCTCGAGTGATCCTCACAGCTCAGCCTCCCAAGTAGCTAGGACTACAGACGTGCGCCACCACACCTGGCTAATTTTTGTATTTTTTGTGGAGATGGGGTCCAACTATATTGCCCAGGCTGGTTTCGAACTCCTGGGCTCAAGCAATTGGCTCACCTTGGCCTCCCAAAGTGTTGGGATTATAGCCGTGAGCCACCACACCCAGCCCCCTTCCACCATCCTCTGAAAAATGCATCCTCCCTCTTTTGACAAATTATCCTTTCCTGACTAACTCCACCCAACCTTGGGTTCCAGTGTGGCCAGCAAGGTTAATAACCCACCCTGGACTGCAAGCATGAACACAGGTCTGCCTCTGGATGTTGTTAGGTTGGTACTAAGGGAAGAGGTCCTCTTTGGTAATGCTGCAAGTGGCCACAGTTCCAGAAGAATCTGTTGAAAAGAGTGAAGAACCCCAAGGAAGTGCACTAATGTGTGTTGAAGTCCCTGGGTTTCATTGTCCTTGCAGGCCAGGTGACACAAAAGCCTTGTATTCTTCTTTTTGCTAAGCTATTACCAGGCATGTTTCTGAACATACTTTGAACGAGGATCCTTAACTAATATAGCTTGCAGATTAATCATCATAACAGTCTTGTCAGCTAGGATACCAGTTTATCTCCATTTGACAGATGTGAAAACTATAGTTTGCTGAGGTTAAGTAACTTGCCCAGTGTCACACAGCTAGCAAGGCAGAGCCAGAGTTCTCTGTCCAGCTCCCAGGCTGTGCCACTAACTGCTAAGTAGCACGGCCCACCTGGCTGCACTGGTGACACTAGGGTACAGATTTATGCTTTGGAACTGTTGGGGAGTAGATTGGATGTCAGCCTAGAGGGAGTTCTCTAGTGAAGTAAAAAGAGCTCTGTCCTTGTCTTTGCCCTTTTCACAACAGTGACAGATTTTGACCCAGCGTGCAGAAGAACTTTCAGAGAATTTCAGCTGCCAGAAAATGGAATGTCTTAGGGAGGTAGTGGACTTCCTGTTGCTGGCTGTGCCGAAGCACAGTCTGGTGAAATGCCAGCAGCTTTGTATTGAGGATGTAAGATTTGCAGTGAGTGGGGCTTGATGGCCTTTGCTCTCTTCTCACCCCAGGGCATGCCCTTTTTTAAGGGAGAAGAGTTGAAATGCCAAGACTAACGATAATGAATTTGTTCTGCAGGTATTGAGTGTGTGCTTGATGCAGTTTGGCAGAAGGGTAAAATGCTGAGGAGATGGGATCCTGTTCTTAGACAGTTTCAGTTCACTGGAGAGATGCTTCAGTAGAGGAGAGAAAAAGTAGTAAGAGCTCAGAGGAAGGTCACCTAAGCCAGATTTGGAGTAGGGCAGGGGTGTCAAGAAAGATCTCTGGAAACAAATGCTTGTGCTCTGAATCTTGAGTGCCCGTTGAGCCTGGGCCCCTGTGCTGAGGCTGTGCGTCAGCTCAGTTCTTTCCCTGTTCGCATCTACAGTGCTCACAGCACTTTCATTCTTGAGATTAACTATTAGATAATGAATGCAGTGATTGTCAGAGTCTTTTGTAATCGGATCAGAAAAGCATACAACCATGGGCCATCTGGGAAATGAAAATAGCCATTGTTGTATAGATGTCTTGTTTATTTTTTACAAGCTCACTGGCCCGTACTGTTCTTGTTTTCTGTCTCACCATACGTCTTATTTCCTCAGTTGGGTTGTTAATTCCTTAAAGGCAAAGACTTTATCTTTCAAGTGTTTTATGTAATTCCTTTTTGTAGGTAGGCTTCATAAATGATTGTAGACTGATTTTTGTAGTATTTTAATTTGTGAATGCATTGTTTTTGAAAGACCAAAGGACTTGTAACACACCCTCAGAACAGTGAACAGTGTAACTGTACTATCTTAGCATTAGCTTTATACCTTACCCGTAGAGCCTTAGGAATGTTTGGAGCTGTCCATTCCTTAGGCTTTTGCTGCAGTACCTTAGGCCAGCATTTTCTTACCCCTCCAAACTCCTCACTATCGTTGTCAACACCGTTCATGAACCTCCATAAATAAAATCCTACTTAAGCAGGATAAAATCCAAATTCTTTAACCTTGTAATTTGCTAACACTGTACCTCACTGACTTCATTTCTCAGTATTTCCCAATATTGATATTTGCTTCAATCATGCCGCTTCCTTGGTCTCTTCCAGATGCCTTATTCCTTATTTAGGACCTTGTTACTGTTATTATCACACATTCTCTACTATCTCAATGCTCTTCTTCCTTCAAGATTTCATTCTACAATTTTTCCTGAGATCGGCACTATACCCTTCCTCCTGCCCCATCCTATCCTGAGTGCTACTCACTGGACTTGGTACTTGCTTTTTTACATTGTGTGTTAGTACCAGCATTAAAGATTTGTGTTTATCTTCCACATAGTTTCAATTTCCTGTGATAACTTTTGAGCCACTTTAATTCCTGAATTTACCTAAAGCTAGGGTGACCAGCTTGTCCCAGTTTGCTTGAGACTGTCCTGGTTTTAGTGCTAAAAATACCACATCCCAGGGAAACCCCTCTGTCCCAGACAAACTGGGGCAGTCACCCTACTGTTAAAAGCCCAAGTTAAGTTATGCTTTTGGCCTCTACACATCCCACAGGTTAATTAGCCACGTGTGCCGTGAGACTTTGCCTTAAACTGTGTTCCAACCTAAAATGTATGGGAAACATTATTTCTGTCCATCAAACGTGATGAATTTCTAAATGTATAAGGTGTTAGGAAAGATAATACAACATGGTTTTGAGGTCCTCAGGGAGTTAAAAACTTTCCTAGCCATATCATTTGGAGGTTTATTAACTGTAATTGCATTTCCCTTCTTATTTATATTTACAGATGAAAGGGTCTTGAGAAAATAAACTTGGATTTCTTGATTTCTTCCCAGGTGTTAGTAGAAACCTTTGGCTCATCATCCTCTAATTTAGAAGGTTTTTGCTTACCGCACACTGAAGCTAATTTCCTGCTTTTTCTGGCTTCATGAGGCTTCCTTGTGGCATCCTGGGAAGTGCTTGGTGCTGTAAATGGTCCCACCGTGGCTGATGGCATAGCACAGAGCTGGGAGAGAGGAGTCTGGTGGGTTCTCACAAGCAGGCCAGCCAGCCGTCTCTAGCACACCACCCTTTTACTGCATAAAAAGCACAGGCGTATAGTCTCCCTGAAAACTTCAGATCCTCTAGAGCTTTGAAGCTTTTATTCGGAGTTTTCTCTTCAAGGTCACTTAATTTAACATGTGAACAAGAGCAGTCTCAGTACCTTCTTTTTATATATCCTATCTGGGAAGAGGCCACTTTGTGTCTTCTTTTTCTTCCCTGTGTATAAGCTAGTTTTCTGGCCCACAGTGTTTCAGTGCATGGCAGGAGCTTATGACAGCTCCTCTTCAGCATTCCTTTTTTTTAAAATTATGAACAAATGACTTACGTGAGCAGACAGCTGTGCTACATGATCCAAATATTTTAAAGACTGGTTCTGCATGAACAAAATTTAGCATTATCAAATAAAACTCATGTCACTAACTCGACACTTAATTATTGTAATAGGAAGACCCAATTGTAGCATATCCTCAGAAGTGCCCTTCTTTTCTTTCTTCTTCCCCTGTATCCCTCTGTACTTCTGTTCTTTGCTCTCTTCCAAGGGCTCATTTCCATTCTGTAAGAAAAGGCTGTGTGGCGCTTAAAAGACCCTGGCCCAGAGAGTCCTTCTTTCACTTTTTTTTTCTTTTTTCTTTTTTTTGGCTGTTGTTAATGTTGTGTCTCTTGTTTATTTTCTTCTTTAGTAGTTTTATTTTGGAATGAATTTGAATTTGTAAGAGTTGTACAAAAGAGGATAGAGTTAATGTGAACTCTTCAGCCAGCTTCCGCTAATGTTAATAGCTTATGTAACCTTGGTGAATTTAGCTCAACTGAGAAACCAACAATACTATTAGCTAAACTGCAGGTTTTATTCGTATTTCCCTAGTTTTTCCACAAATGTTCTTTACCTGTTTCAGGTTCACATCCAGGATACTACATAGCATTTAGTTGTCGTGTCTCCTTATTCTCAATGTCTCAGTCTGTGACAGCTTTTTCATCTCATCTTTCAAGACCTTGACGTGTTTTTTTCTATTGAATTTGATTTTCTTTTTTTTCTTTTTCTTTTCTTTTTTTTTTTGAGATGGAGTCTTGTTCTGTCACCCAGGCTGGAGTGCAGTGGCGTGATCTCCGCTCACCGCAACCTCCAGCTCCCGAGTTTGAGCGATTCTCCTGCCTCAGCCTGTTGAGTAGCTGGGAGTACAGGTGCGCACCACCAGGCCCAGCTAATTTTTTGTGTTTTTAGTAGAGACGGGGTTTTACCATGTTGGCCAGGCTGGTTTCGAACTCCTGACCTCAAGTGATCTGCCTGCCTCAGCCTCCCAAAGTGCTAAGATTACAGGCATGAGAATGAGATTTTTATTTTGCCTCAAATAATACATATTAAAGCTCTTTAAACATAGAAATATACTACTACAAAAGGAAAAATTTTATAATTACTAGATTTCTGTTCTAACAAACCACCCCCTAGAAACGTCATCAAATTGACTTAAAAATGTAGACGTAATTTCAGACTTAGAGAAAAGTTGCAAATAACAGAAGAATCTGTGGATACCCTTTCCTTAGATTCCCCAATAAAACCTTGACGCTTTGGAAGATTATTATTCAGGTAGTGTCTTGTAGTATGCCTCTTGGTTTGGATTTGTCCGATGTTTTCTTTTGATTAAGCAGAGGTTATGGATTTTGGGAAAGACCCACAGAGGTGGTATCCTTTGCCCTTGTGTCATGTGAGCAGGCACAAGACATCAACATCATTGGTTATTGGTGAGGTTAACCTCGATCACTTCAGGTTAAAGTGATATCTGTCAGGTTTCTCCTCTAGAAAGTGACTGTTTTTCCTTTTCTGTACTGTTTGTTAGAAACAAATCACTAAGTGCAGCCCACATTCAAGGGATTGGGAATTAAGCTCCACTTCCTGGAGAGAGGAGAATCACGAATTTATGGGCATACCTTAAAACTACCACAGTAATTAGTCAATACTTTTGGGAAGATAGCTTTGTGCTTATACAAATAACCTGTTTCTCCTTAAAGTTTGGCTCTCTGAATTTAGCATTCATCAATGCATGTTGCACACAGCAGTCATTCAGTCTATGACATTGAGTCCATGATAGTTTCTTGATCTTTACTGTAATGTTCTAATCATGATTTTGTTTCCTTATTCCTCCTACATTTATTAATTGGAATTCTTCTGTGAGGAAGATTTGTCTCTTCTCCGCCATTTATTTATTTATTATTCAGTCATCTGTTGACAACAGTATGGATTCACAGATACTTTTTAATTTACTTTCTAATCCGGCATTTTTGTTATTTCTTTTGTTGCTCAGATTGTTCCAGCTTTGGCCATTGAGAGTTATTTCATGTTGGCTCTTGTATCCTTTGGAAATGCCGTCCCCCCGCTTTTCTTCACCCCCACTTCCATATTTTCTGGTATTCTGGCATTACCAGAGGCTACAGACTCATCTTCTGTTTCCCCTGCCCCAGCCTTGGAATCAGCCATTTCTCTAAAGAGCCCTAGTTCTTTTTATTGGAAAATGGTATTTTAAAAGCAAGAGCTGGGTACTGAGTGTGTATGTTGTTGCTGGAGCGTCACTGCTTTTAGCACTTTCAGAGGGCAGAGCTAGAAAACATACACACATGTACCAACCCAGGTGTACACACATCTGTTACTGCATGTCTATTTGTATATTTATTAAGGCAAGCATAAGTTCATTCTGCTATCTCAAACTCTTAATCTAGCCCCTCGGGGTTCATTTCCAAATTCTTGCTTTTGCTTTTTGTTGATGGAGTATGGGCAGTACAGCAGTTAAACCTGGTTTCCATATTTACTTTCTGCTGAGTGCTGTAGCTCATTGGTGAGAAAGGGATCTTTTGACTTGACTTGCATGGACACATTCTAGTAGGAAGGTTGTCTGTCCTCATCACTCCTGTGAGTGGTCCTCTAGAGCTCTTTGAAATGGCTACAACATTGCAGATCAAAAACACCTGCTTTTCAGGTGCTTCACTTCTCACCTTTCAGATGGGACATGCCCAGTTGTGTCTTCTAAACCTTGTTTCAGATAATTTTAAGAGTTGTCGCTTCAGTAACTATCTCTAACACAGGGATCAGCAAACCTTTTCTGTGAAGTGCAGTAAATATTTTAGGCTTTGCGGACCATAAGGTATTTGTTTCAAGTACTCAGCTCTGTCTTTGTCCTGTGAAAGCAGCCATAGATGGCACATGAACAAATGAGTATGGCTATGTCTTACTAAAATTTCATTTACAAAAACAAGGTTTTGTATTTGGCCCGTGGGCCATGGTTTACCATCCGTTGGACCCATTAAGTATATTCTCCTCCTCTTCTTTGTCTCATTCTCACTGCGTTCATAGGCTTGATACGTTAACATTCGTGCATCAGTAAAAGAATCTGGCTTCTAGAGAAGAAGGGCTGTCCATGGGCGTTTGACTCCTAAATACAGTTTGTTTATGGTACTAGTGTGGCCACAAGGCTCTGCCACACAAGCTCTGTCTCTTCCTTCCTGTTATTACTTCTGCTTCCCTTCTCAGGAACCTGAAATCATATGGTAGTTTGTTTGTTTAAGTGATTTTTTTTTTTGAGATGGAGTCTAGCTCTGTTGCCCAGTCTGGAGTGCACTGCAACCTCCACCTCCTGGGTTCAAGCAGTTCTCCTGCCTCAGCCTCCCAAGTAGCTGGGGCTACAGGTGCGCACCACCACGCCTGGCGCACCACCACGCCTGGCTAAATTTTTTTTTTTTTAATAGAGATGGGTTTCACCATGTTGGCTCAGGTGGTCTCAAACTGACTTCAGGTGATCCACCCGCCTCAGCCAAAGTGTTGGGATTATAGATGTGAGCCACCACGCCCAGCCTTTAAGTGAATTTTTATTTGAGTATAACATGCATAACAAGTTTGTGTGGATCATAAGTCTTAGAAGTGGATGAATTTTTGTAGCAAGGTTTGAAGAGTCTGTTTTTAGATGAGTTTGCTAAGGTGGCACAGTATGTGATGATTCCGTGTAAAGAAGTCATTGTTACAGGGCTGTGTCCTCTATCTGAACTGGCATGGTTAGTTTAGTTGTTTAAATTGAGGGCCTGCTTACAATTCATATCTAAGATTTACTGGAGAGGAGAAAGGGTTGAGTATTCAGTGGCCCAGAATCTGATATGGGAATTGGTAAGGTTTATGTTCAAGGAGCCAAAGAAGATTTAAATTTTATGTATTTGAATTACTCAGTGCGTCTATATATATATATATTTGGTCATCTTAAATTTTTTTTCTCGTTAGAATTCAGTTAAGGCCAATATTTGAACTTTAATAAGTTTTGGTACTTGCTACACTGCAGTACATTTAATTGTATGTAATTATAGGGAAAGACTATGGGAATTGAAGTCAGAACACTTGGTTATAAGTGCGAAGTCCACTACTTCTTTTTAAGATCTTAGGAAAGTGATTTAACCTCTTTGGGTGCAAATCCTTTATCTGTGTATTAAGGAAACCATCTGCCTTCCTCACCTTACAGGTTGTTGAAAGAATCAGACAGGACAGATGTCCTATTTATAGCTCTTTAATGCATATGTAGACAAGCAGTGGCAGTTCTGTGACTCTTCTCTAACTTACATATCATTTACCCAAACAGCCCTTATCTTCCAGCCAGCTTGGCTGCTTAGCCATATTGAATTACTAGTTTCTCTTATCTAGAACAACTTCTGCCCAACTCATGGTGGACAGAACCAAGTGTCATGAAGTGATTTTATTCATTCTTGCATTCAGCACTCTTTTCACAGGCACCTACCCTGTGCCAGACACTGTTCTAGGCACTAACATTTCAGCAGTGAATAAAGTCAGTCCATCTTCTACCCTCATGGAGCATATAATCCTGAGGGTAATGCAGGCATTAATTTAAAAATATATAAATATAATTGTAGCTATCATGAGTGCTGGAAATACAATGCTTCGATATGTGAATGTAAACTAGATAGGAAGATTTTTTTAAAGAGGCATTCCCTAGACAGTGGTTGGACTAAGGTAGAAGAAAAGAATATTCCATGAAATGGGAAGAAGCATGGTCCCATGAGGGATTAATAGGCCACCACTGTGGGCAGAGCAGTGAGGGTGAGGAAGGCTGGTAGCTGGCTGGGTATGCAGGGCTCCCAGCCATGAGAGGGAGGCTTGTCTTCAAAGTGGAAGTTAACTCAAGCTGTTGGCACTGTGAATTTGACATGAGCAGATTTTAGGTAAATGTTAAGGGGCAGTTACTAAAACTAGCCTTGTACATTTTTAAGAACTTCGAATAAAAGTTATTGCAGCTCAAATTTGTTATAACCTATTTGTTAAAGAGAGGATTGTTTTGAGACTATAGTTCCATTCTTCATGAATTGGTAGGAGTTTGGAGTTTGTCAGCAAACATTCTATCGGGCTAAAGGTTTTTATAATGAAAGAAATAGGCAAAGTGGATCAGTACACTCACTTTTCTACCATTGACCCTGGAGACAGATGGCTTAAAATGTTCTGCGTCTAGTTGACTTTTAGATCTTGAAATTAAGGTTTAATGATGACCAAGCTTTAAATAAATTGTAGAAAAGTATTCTTTCAAAAGTACATTATAACTTTTATATTGGTTTCTTATATTTATTTCTTTTAATCTTTTCTTTTAACTCAAACTACATTTTAAGGTTTTGTTGCCTACTAAGTTATAATCTGAGTGCAGAAGGAAACTTGATTTGGCTTTATGGAATACATTTTACATTCAGTGAAGCTGAGCTCTGTTTCTCATTCCTTACAAAAGGAATCAAAGGCATTGGTTTGAGAGATCAAGTCATGTGTTAATAAAACACAAATATTCCATCAAGTAATACTCTGAAGGAGCAGGTGTAGTTTATTTCTTCTCCAGAAAGTCTTCCAGCAGATAAATAATGAGAGGTAGTATGGCATAGGAAAAAAGTACACTGAAGTCAGCCTTTCTGGTTCAACCAGCTCAGACCCCTGAGCTATTTTTGCCTCAGTTTTACGCCTTGGAGAACAATGCCTTGTCATTACTATTCACTTTATGACCATACAGTGCCTGGCACCTGGTGGGCAATTGGTGAATGTTTTCACTATCCTCATCCTTGCCCTCATGAAGCACTCCTTCTAGGTCCCACAAAGACCGTTGGTATTTTATGACAAAGTACCTTACAAATATTTTTCTTTTTTTAAAGGAGAAATTGTCGTAAATGAAGTCAATTTTGTGAGAAAATGCATTGCAACAGACACAAGCCAGTACGATTTGTGGGGAAAGCTGATATGCAGTAACTTCAAAATCTCCTTTATTACAGATGACCCAATGCCATTACAGGTGTGTTTTATTAGTACACTGTTTCATTCTATCAGGCTTTCAACTCTAAGTGGTACATATTATTATATAAAACATAGGTATGGAAAAGTTATAGTAGAAGTATTAGGTAATGCAATGTTTGGGATAAATTATATTAAGATTTAAAGTAAAGTTTAAGAAGAATGTTGGAACTTGCTAGAGGAGTATTAGTGAGAGGATTGTAAGTCACCTTGCTTTATTTATCCTCTGTGATCGTTCATTGTATGTCCTTTTCATTAAGGAAGTTATTCCCTCTGTTGCAGATCTTTTAACCTGCTTATAAAAATGACATAAAGAGAAAAGGTTGTTTGCTAAATGATTTTATAAATGCCACACATTTTAGTGATTTCATAGGTTTTTTTGTTGTTGGGTTTTTGATTTTTTTGTTTTGAGCCTGGATCTCGCTCTGTCTTGTCTCCCAGGCTGGAGTGCAGTGGCATGATGTCGGCTCACTGCAACCTCTGTCTGCTTCCTGGGCTCAAGCTATCCTGCCACCTCAGCCTCCTGAGTAGCTGGGACTACAGGTGCATGCCACCACTCCCGGCTAACTGTTGTATTTTTTTGTAGAGATGGGGTTTTGTTATGATGCCCGGATTGGTCTTGAACTTCTGAGCCCAAGCAATCTGCCTGCCTCCCCCTCCCAAAGTGCCAGAGTACAGGCCACTGCACCCAGCTACCTTTTTTTTTTTTTTTAAACTAATTAGAGTTATTTTCCTAAAAAGTTAAATTCTAATTTCTAGGAAGAGTGAAGAATAGTATCGATTTAAAAATTTTCAGTAGCCCTCTTGCTATTTTATGTTCTTACTGGAAAGTAATAGTTCCATGTAATTTTGGTTTTTAGAAGTTCAGGCATTCATTTGATTAACTTAAAAACCCTGGACTTTTCTGTCAGCCATTTTGTATTTTGTTTTATAAAGTATTATACACACTTACCCCTAGATCTTTCTTTATAGTAATTGTTCTTTAATGAAATATTGGTATATGAACTGTAAACTTTTAAATTTAAGGATCTAATAGTTTAGTGTAAGTATATTTCATGTAGTCACTCACTAATTTACCATAATTATTATACTGTACAAATATTTATTGTACTGTATATTTGTGTGTTCATTACAGTCTTATGTAGGTATATTTAGACTAAATTTAAGGCACTTAAAGATACCCACTGTGTAGGGACAGTAGCTTATTTGGATATAGGCTTGTGTGTTTCTCTTTGTTTTTAGCTTCATAATGATCATTGGCCCCAGACTTCACTGTAAATGAGAAGCAGATACCTGGAACAGCTTAAATCCAGTACCACTATTAGGAAAAAGTAAACCAGTGCCCTACTGACAGCAGGATTGATAGTGTTAACTACGTCCTTAGTTTGAACATGCAAAACCTTTTCTAATGGTTTTTATTTCTAGTAGACTTTGTGCTTTAAAAAGATAGTTATTTTGCACTTTAAAATCTTCAGTGTGAAAATCAAACATGATTTTACCCACTTAAAATCTGATGACCTAAGAGCCCTTTTTTCTTTAATATGTTGTGGCCAGCTTATCCAGATCTAGACATGCAAATGCTTGCTGGTAAGGTGATTGATGATATTCCCTATCTTAGGTATTATAATAAGATTGTTGTGTACATTTTAACCTAATTTCTATCTGTCAACATTGGAATGGCCCTAGCTACCTAGACAAAAGCTTTTTGTGCTTTTTAGAGATAACTGTCACAGTTTATCATCACAGTTTAAGGCTTATACTACCATTGTGAGATTATTGGGAAAAGAATTAATATGAACATAATTTTTTATTCCAGAAATTCCATTACAGAAACCTTCTTCTTGGTGAACACGATGTCCCTTTAACATGTATTGAGCAAATTGTCACAGGTACGTAGTATTCCGTACATACTCTAAAAGTCAATTCCACTCTGGAAGTATTATTTGAAAAGTCATACCTCTCAAAATACTTGGATTGGCGTTTTATTTCTGTAAGTTTACTTTTGCCGTTTTTTTGAGTCCCGGGAACATAAAGAGGGATATGTTAATAAATTATTTTAAAAGGAAGATATAAAATGTATAACTTTTCATAGTTTCTAGGTTTTTTGTCCTCTTTTTAATTAAAATTAATCATTAAATGTATCTAGATGGTGGTTTTATGCAAATAATCATTTAAAATATCTTCCAAAGCAAAGTTAAAACCAACCCCCAAGTTCTAGGAATTACAAGTATGAAACATTCTAGACAAGCAGAGCTCAAATGTTGGGTGACCTTCCAATTATTTTCACTAAGAATTTGTATTAAAGGGTGAGTAACAAATAACTGTTACGCATTTTATTTTCTCTATTTTTTTTTCTTTTTTAGTAAACGACCACAAGAGGAAGCAGAAAGTCCTAGGCCCCAACCAGAAACTGAAATTTAATCCAACAGAGTTAATTATTTATTGTAAAGATTTCAGAATTGTCAGATTTCGCTTTGATGAATCAGGTCCCGAAAGTGCTAAAAAGGTAATACTGTTAAGGTTTATCAAGTTCTGGGTTCTGTACTGTGTTTACTGATTTCAATTCCGTATGGCAGTTTTCATTTCTCAATTGCTCAGATGTTTTTTAGGGGAAGTTATCAGACATCTTCTTAAGTAAAGTCAAAGCCAAGAATATTAATAGAACTATTTTCTTGGATTGGTTTATGGCTGTTTTAAAGTGTTCTATATAACTTTTTATCAGCTTCTCAAATATTAAAGACTCTTACGTGGAAATTAGCATTTTTTTACATAAAGATCATTACTTGTCAGTTTCTTGGTTAAAAGGTTGAAAAGTTGGTGATATACTGTAATTAAGGTTTGGTTAGGCTTTTAATTCAGTACTGCAGAACTTTACCAACAAACTGTAAGCTAGACTTATGTTACATAAGATTTAGGTAAATATATAATTACGGGAAAGGCCTAGTAATTATTAGTGGTTTAAAGAAATATTATGAATTGAGTGACACTCAACAGGGGCAACACAAAGCTAGTAACTTTTTAACTGCCTTATTTTTCCACGGCCTTCCAGATAATGACTTATTACCCTACTTGTAAGAGTCAAGGGCATGTTTTCCATGTTTTGCTTTGCCAGAGGAGTGAAGCTGGTAGACCTAATATGGCCCCCGTTCCAGTCTGTGCTGCAGCAAATGCAGAGTCACAGACTTTCCAGTAGGAAGCTTGCGCGTGTGTATGGGAATAGGGCAACAGTATCTTAGTATAATAGGACGTGGCTTTCTCTCAGAATGGAGGCAGTCTTTGCACCACCAAGCAATGAGTGCCTTTGTTTTCCATGGTTAGTCAACTGACTGCAGTAAATCTTCTGTTGATACCAAAACAAGGCTGGCAAAAATACTGTAAGGCAGCTGTCTTCATATACTTTGGTGAAGAGGTGGTAGATTTGTTTTTAGATTGAGAACCAACAGTTTCTTCACAGGAAGGCAAGCAGGAGATGAATATATGAAAATACATCTGAAAATATGTGACTGTCTAGCAGAGTAGAGTGGTTGTAGGCTCCTCTATGGGTAAAAGTTTTCAAATGGTCTGTATAACCATCTCTCAGCAAGCTGCATTATTGAAAATTCAACTAGATAACTCTTAAAGCCTCTTTCACCTGTTCGATTGTGCTGTTTGTGATTTTGGCATTTTACTAATTTAAAGTGCCTATTATATAGAAGGACTTTAGAATTCATGATGTATTAGACTGTACATAAAATATTTCAGACAGGTTAATTCCTCAAGCTTATTTATATTTGTAATTTAATTGATCAAAGCATCAAAGACCTGCTTATGAAAACCTTAAGATGTGTAGCATCTCAAGATTAGGGACATCACAGAACTTGCTAGATTGAGTTAGGACAGCATATTCCTAAGGAAGAAATTGATGCAATTGACCGGATCTCTTTCGGAAAGTTCAATTCTCCCTCTTTTACTGTATTTTTCAGTTTACACTATTTTAATGAGTGGAAATAATAATTATTTGGCCTAGTTCTTGAACCATCTGTAGTACTTGTTGGTCATTTTTCATGTTGAGGCAGTGTGCTAAATTTTGCAAGTAGAAAGAAGGGTAAGATGCAGTTTCTTGCCCTAGAGAACTTAAATCTAGTGAAGAAGATAAAGCATGAACAAATGAAAAGTAATGGTACAAAGTGGCAGCATAAAATCAACTACACAAATAGTTGATTTCCAGATGAACAGAGCATAATAAGTGCTGTGGAAATTCAGAATATCCCCTATGTGTTGTGCTGCTGGTTCATGAAGAGGGCCTTACTAAACCGTCTGCACAAAACAAGCCAGTCCCTCATATGCCCTTTCCTAAGACCAAGTTTCAGACAAAAATCTTTTCCCCAGTATCCTAAAATATAAAAAGCATGTGAGTCTCTGTCTTTTGTATAGCCACGGGGGTTGCAGGGCAGGGGAGGGTGCAGGAAAAAAAAATAGATGCAATGAGAATATAAATAGTTTTTTTGGGATTTACGCATTTCAAACAGGGTTAAGTTGTATATGGCTACCAAAGCTTGACGGCTTTGTGAGTTAAAAACAAAAATTATGGCATATTCTTTTATTTCAAGTGAAAAGTTTTCATCTAAAATTCGGTAGCAGTTAGGAAATTATGGCTCATTTTTACCTCCTGGAAGCTTGGAATACTGTTTTCTCTGGAAAATGCTTTGCTATTTTATCAGTTGCTTTAAAATGATGAAATGCATGTTTGGAGTTCTCTGGTGGGTAAACCGTTGATTCATTTTGAAATACCTAAGCCATTTATGTTTTTGTTTTGAAAAATGAAATTCAAGAATACTAAATTGGTTCACATTTTGTTAAATGTTCTGAACCCTTCTGGTTGTCTTGTTGGTGTTGTTTCAATTGTATTATGACAAAATTAGATTGCTTTGGGCACTTGTACTCATTAATATTCATCCTCATTATCCTCGAGCTGTCACAGGAAAATAGTGATATTTGGGAAAGGTCTGTATAAAGAAAGAAGGAATTTGATGGTGCAGAATTGGACATCTAACCTCATAGCAACTTAGAACCACCATTTTCTTTTGCAGAACCTTTGCTCAAAACTGAAGGGCAAAATAATAAAGGTTGTTTTTAATGATTTATCTATATATCTGTCTGTGTAGATAAAGATAAATATATAGATACACATGAGTGACAAGTGAAATACATGCCTTTTGTCTCCACTTTGTTCTCTGATTAGTGGGTTGTGAATCACTTCTTCAGGAATACTTTATAGAAGTGAATTCCATTCATCTGATTAAGGAACAAGTTGGCCTTTTCATGAACTGTCATTTTTGACTTGAATCTGGTACTGTTTTTTGGTGGCTTTCAGGCCACAGAAATAAACCACTTTTGTTTGCAAATGAGATAGAACTTAATGAGGTTTGAGTGTTTCCTGGATTTGAGTTTCTTCAGTACTGCACCCCAGGTGATCTTAGGAAAGAAACCATCCACTGTGGGTACTTCTGGCTTCTGTCCAGAGAAGATTATCAGCTTTGGTCCAAAAATTGATTTAAAAGTAGTTTACTTCTTTTTCTCCAATAAAATATTTGCCATAATTTAATGTCTTTAATACCAACATTTTCTTCATTTCCTATGGTAGCCAGGACAAATGAAGTATTTCAGATCTTTCAAAAACTCTTAGGATGAAAGGTAGGAATTTGGACTTAGGTTTTTAAAATAGTGTGTATGTAAAAGTGCAAAGAATGGGGCCCTGGCTTTCTCTTCTCGGAGTGTTCCACAGTAACAACATGAAGACAATCCAGGTACACAAGTTTGTATGTGCCTTAGTCTGTGTGTCCAAAGAGGCCTCTTACTTAGGTCATATGAACATAAGTTATACACTTGAAATTCACTACTGAAAAACAATGTATTTAGTTCGAGTTCTGCCACCCCAAAAAAATCAACGAGTAATTCAACTGACTTGCAGTTTTACAATATTTTTATAGACTTCTTTCAGCGTAGATGCTTTTGGACATACTCATTTGTTTCCTAACCTGATGTGATATTGTGCTATTTTTAAGGGGCTTTTAAAAAATACGCTGTGTTGGGTTTTGCCTTGAAAATAGGCTTTATTTCTTTTTTGCCTCATGGCCACAAAAAAAGGATGTCCATGATCAATGATCTGTGAATTTCTTTTCTGTAAACAGAAAGAGCATGTAACTGCTTTCTAATTGTTTTGGAGAATGTGATAGACATTAGTATTATTATTATTGGCTTGGAGCATTTTCCTTAATATGTTGGTAACTACTTTTGTCAGTGAATATTAGTGTAGCCACTGTTGGACACAGAGCACCGTCAGAAAGCTACTGAAGTGGTGCTGCAAAGTGCAGACATCTTCAGATCTTTACTCAAGTCTGTGCAGAGAGGTCTTTCTTGGTCTCCTTCTCTACTTTTTAGCCTATCTCCCTCTTCTCACTATAACACTTCATATTCCCCTTCCCTGCTCTATTATTTTTCTCTTTTAGCATTCATAGTTATCTAACTTTCTGTATTTTTTCTCTTTATCTTGTTTAGTGTCTGTCTTCCCACTAGAATGTAAGCTTCATGAGGACAGGGATTAGTGTCTGTTTTGTTCACTGCATCTCTAGGGCTTACAACATTGTAGGTACTCAGTAAATATTTGTTAAATCAATGTGAAATGTGTCATTTATCCTTAAGGAATTGACCTTCATGGTAGAAGTGTAACAGAACCACCTATATCCTACTTTTCATCCACATCATAACTATTATGTGAATACCTTGGAAGTAAAGCAAAATAAGCACTTAACTAAAGAGACGCTTTATATTGAAACTGTTGTTCTGGGTTTCTGGAATTAGTACTCTGAAATTGGCTCCCTCTAGGAAGGCTTGTGAAGAGAGTAGTGTTGAACAGACATGACAGTTTCCAAGAAAGCATAGTTGGCTAAGAGGAGTAGGATTTTCCAAGCAAAGAGTGTGACAGTGGAGATGGCTGGGGCTAAGTCAGGCAGAATGTGTTCAAACCTGTTTTTCTCTGACCTGAGATTGCGGAGGGAATATTGGGAAGGTATAGTTACCTGGTGAGGAGAGCCAGTTTTGTGAAGAATCAAGAATGAGGAGATTTAATTTGTTATGCAGATGTCTGGGAACCACAGCAGATTATCAGGAGAGCAAAATTGTTAGTCAGAATTACATCGTTAGAAGGTAATCCTTAAGTTTTGTAGATTTCTAGAATGTAAGGAAGCTCTCAGAGGTGCCATAAGGTGAGTATGGCCTAAGGATGTGGCTATGGCAGTGTAGCAAAATGGACAACTATGAAAAATGTCTAGAGAAAAGTGCAACATAGCTTATCAACGGTGCCCAAACAAATAGGAAGGATGAGAACTTTTTCAAGCTACAGATTTCAGTAGTTTTGCTGCTAGAAATGCTTTAAGGAAAACTGTTAAAAAGATTAGGAATGGGAATATAGATAACCGGCTCCTAAATTTTGCAAGTGGGACCGTCATAGAAAGCTCTCCTATAGGTATTGAGAAATCGAGATACCACGTAAGTTTCAAGAAGCAGTTTTTTTTTTTCTTTTTGGTCAAAACTAATGACAAATTCTGTCCCCTTGTTTGTATATTTTAACTTAGTGAGACAGGAAACATTTATTCTATAGAAGACTTTTAAAATGTAGTTTAAACAAGTTGACACATGCTTACTGGTTAATGAAATGTGCATCAACCCACTCCAAACACCACTAATTTGACATGAACTAACAATTAACTTTTCTTACTCACTGTCAAAAGTATATCATTCTGCCTTAACTTAACGCTTTACCTTCTAAATAAAATTTAATCTTTTAAATAAGTTTTTCTGCTATGTTTTCCTTGCATATGTCTTAAATTTCTTCTTTCGTCTTTGCTCACTGAAGAGCATTTTCTCCCACATTCTAGTGACTACCAGGGTTTGTAAGCCTAGAGCACCATCCTTCATTCTATCTAGCAGCAGTTGAGAATAATAACAGCCATATTTCTATATATGGAGCTCCTCCAAAGGCCTAGCCTGCATTAAGCTTGTTAATTCTTACCACAGCCTAGGTATTACTTTTGTTTTACAAGTGAGCAAACTGAGGCTAGAAAAGAGGAAATGACTTCACACATGTTATGTAGCAAGTACTTGACAGAGCTAGGATTCAAGCCCCCTGATCTGTTTGATTCTAAAGCCCGCACGTTTTCCACCACAGGGCACACAGTCCCAAACCATTTTACTTAAACACAGTTTGTGTGTGTGTGTGTGTGTGTGTGTGTGTGTGTGTGTGTGTGTGTGTGTTGTTTTTTTGATGTACCTCTTTGAGCCACCCATGCATTTTTGGAGTTTCTTGCTAATTTTAATTTTTTGTAATTATGTTTCTCTATTTAGATGTTTAAATCCATGAGGCGTAAACTTTAAAGTTTCATGCCTTATATTAATCCTTTATAGTCCACCAAAAATGAAACTTTTTTCTTCCTTTTTTGGAGTGGACATGTAGTCACTGCCTTTTTGGAGAATGCTTCTTTAGTTTGAAGCTTTCTTTATTGGACTAAAATTACTTTCCAATTAAAATTTAACTCAGCAAATACTTACTGAATACTTGCCATGTGCTAGCTAAAGATAAACAATGTCTTGAGGGCATGAAAGTGAATGAGATACCTGGCCTTAAGGAGCTCTTTTATATTCTAGGTCAACAGAAAAACATGTAAATAGTATCTATAATCACTGCCCCAAGATGATGCTCCCAGTGCCCAAGGCCTTATTGTACATTTCATTTAACTAAGTGTGTTAAAATCAAATTCTAAATGTAGAATTTTTCCTAGGTATGCCTTGCAATAGCTCATTATTCCCAGCCAACAGACCTCCAGCTACTCTTTGCATTTGAATATGTTGGGAAAAAATACCACAATTCAGGTAAATATGAAAATATTAAATATTGTGACTAATTTTACATGTGTAAATTTTACTCTTATGTTTACCGGAAGCCTCCAAGTACATGAGCTTTAATGATTGTAGAATTACTAGCTTCATACCTTAGAGAAGTAAGCACTACATGCTAAAAGAGCCAATAGTTTGTCAGATTATTTCTTGACAAGTTACCAGGAAGAACCTTTAATGCTATGAATATGGGCTTATAAGTTATGTCAGATATTTAATCTCCAGTCATTGGCTTGTATTTTATGATGAAGAATATATAACCCACCCTTTTTAATTGATAGCTTGAGTTAAAGTAATCTTATCTTTTAAGAAAACTGGCAGAAAACTAAAAGATATATTAAAAGCATAATCTTTTCTGGCAAGGTGTGATTTCATGCAAAAGCTAAAGTGATTAAAAACTTTTTGTGGACTTCATTAAGATTCTCAGAATACTGAGTTTCTATTTCTGAGTAATACTGATGAAAGGAAGATGAGCATTTTTCCAAGGACAAGTATATTCTAGACAGCTTTTGTGAAAGTAAATAGTTTTGTCTATATATCTGACAGTCATGACATGACCAGGGAAGATTCCAGATGATCATGCAATTCTGTACATTCTGTTTCGTACAAATGTAATTTTAATAAACAATTTTTAAAAATATCTTGATAGAGAAAAACAAAGAGCCGTGTCTCCTGTTAGCCCCATTGTCAGTTAGTGACTGCAAGTCAGTTAACTGAGCGAAGCCTGTGTTCTTTTATTTAAGCAAGAAAAATAAATCAGCTGTGTATTTATAATGAAAAATCCATTCACCCAGCATGCTCTGGGCCATACAAATTATTAATTGTACTGAAATTTTATATTTTGTTACCACGAAACATGGTAGTAATTTAAATAACTGGCATAATAAAAGTATATTCCAGCAACACTATATTGTAAATACATTAAAATGTATCAGTGTACGGTATCTGAAGATGCATGTGTATAAGTAAATTTTCCTTAGTTTAAAAGATAACTACCTTTCTGTTAAGCACTGAGAGGACCAAAAAAAAAAAAAAAAGAAAATACAGTAGAGATAATATATGAAAATAATGCTTTGCAGAGCAGCTTTTATCATACAGTATTATATTTATAGAAATTGTATAACAAAAGTATTTGTAACTTAATTTTTCTTATCGATATATACATAAATTGTAACTGAGGCTTAAGCAATACAGTTATTTTTTGAAGTTTATTAATATTAAGTAAATTCACTTACTGTCTAAAAATAAAGTATACAGATCCTGCACTATTAGGTAAACACTCCTTGGGATCATCGTCAAGCTACAGAACAGTGATCAAGGTTATCTTCAATAAGATCCTCACCCAGAGTTGCAAGGGTTGTAGGAGTGAGTCTTTGATTCCTGCTCAACTGTTTATGATACAGACCAGTTCTTCATGCTGCTGTTTTTCCAATAGAAATGATTCATTTCAGTTTACAGATCCATAACTTCTACAGTAATGTAGTGACTTGGGCTCAGCAAAGACAGTAAACTTCATTATACAGTTGGTAACCTGATGCCTGCTTCAGTTACTTTCCACATTTTTCTTCATTCATACCTTGTGGGCATCTCTGGTTTACAGTACTTTAGTTTATCCACCCATAGGTCTTCTACTACTGGAATTTTAAAATCTACATCATTCAGTTCCACTATTTCTTCTTATATAGCTTATTGATAAAATTTGATGATTAATACTGAAAATATTCAGGGATGCTTTTTTATATTACATCCTTCAGACTCCTCCTTTGACAAGTACCTCATAAACATAACACTGGCCATAGTTTTGTTAAGATTCCTCGTAGGGTAACATCCTTTAATATCCTTCCATGCTGTTACAGAAGCATAAATACTGCATCTTTAAGATCAAAAGGAGCCTGAAATTTCCACACACTGCAGTCAGAATTCATTAATTTGTGAGTGAAAGATGCCCACTCATCCACTCTTGAACTTCTGGATGACACCTTGATTCATTGGCTGGATTAAAGAAGTCCTTTTTGCAGGCAGGTAGGTGACAAAGCTGTTTCCACAAATAAGATCCAAAGTTGGAGGAGCTCCCCTGCAGTTATCTGAGAAAATGATATTTTAGCTGGCCTTAGTCACTCAGGTTTTCATTCATATTCAGTATCACATGAGGAAAAGCCATCTCTGAAAGGTCCTGCAGTCATCCCAACACTTCTGTGAATATCCTGGAGTAAAGTAAGATGTGTAGCACCCAGGCTTTGGAACATCGCTTTGCACAAACACCCCAGGAGATATTACTAGCACAAACAAGAACAATGATTCTGTTTTTTCTCTTTTAACTTTAAAGAAACCATGAGGACTCTGTTTTCATCAGTCAGATTATTATTGGGCAAATAACGTCAAAAAAGTACAGATTCATCTTTCTTATAGAATTGATAAGATGTCAGATTATGCTTCTGGACCAAAAATATTGAAAGTTTCATGAAGTTATCTGCAGCCTAGTGTCAGCAACTGCTTCATGACAGACATCCTGCTTACAGATGCTGTGATGTAATCTGAAGTTGTAATGAAATTTCACATCAGAAGTTGTACATTTTCAGTGACATTTAATTTTATCCTTTTTATTAACATAGATCTTGTTATTAGATTTTCCTTAAAATGCCTATTTGAAAAACACAAGGTACACAATCCATTTGAAACAGTATAGGAATTTTTAAACTTTGTTGCTTAAGATTCTCAGAATAGCTATAAATGATTGTTGAATATTGGTGGTTCCAGCCAGCTGTATACATCAGGATTACTGGAGGAACCTTTAGAAATGCAGCCATGTTGGCTCCAGCACAGGTCAGAATCTCCCAGTTAAGAACCACTTTGTTGACTCATGCTTTTGAACTGATTAATACTCACAGTCCTCTTTTTACCTTATTCCTTTGTGACTTCTAATTTCTGCAGTATCATCAGAGTGGTGGGCTTTCTTTTCATATATTGATGACTTGTATTTTCTGTTGCTTGAAGCCATTCTAGATATCAATTGGCCAATTCAGTGGAAATTATCTAAAATAACCCCAACAGTATAGGATTAGACTTTTGTACTGTCACAGAAGATAGCCAAGGTCAGGAGCATATAATATCTATTTCACTCTTAGTCTGCTGTGGAGGCATGTCATAAAACCTCAGTCAGGTAGCGGTCAGCGGAGCCAGGTCTCCCTGAGATGACCCACCTTTCACTGTGTTGGTCCAGCCCCTCATAGCGATCCACTCATAGAGCAGGCCACTGGTATCAGGTCTTTTGAACTTTGGAAAGCATTCAAATTTCTGGACTATAAAACCAGATTGAGTATACATTACACATTCTGTAATGAGCTCTAACTGAAGATGATATAGAACATATAAAAGACCTAGTCCCAGTTGTTTAGAAAAGTACAGGATTTGAACGAGAGAAATGGCAAAAATAACAAACGATAGAGGATCTCACTTTATGCTTAGAAAATATAGATGTTCTCATTTTATGTTTAGAAAAATTTGTGTAAGTTAGATCTTGAAACAAAATTTGGCCAGAGAAACAATCTCATAAACAATAGCACATTCTTAGCCTAGCTTATTAAAGTCTGCAACCCAAAACACTAAAAAGTATTCAGTGCTGCTAGACTCAGTCACCAAACTGTTTTACATAACTGTTAAAATTTTGAGTGTGTTTTTTATAATTCTTTTTTGGTGGTGGTGGTTTTATTGTTTGGCTAGGACTGCTGGTTCAGTGTTGAATAGCAGTAATATTAGCAGGCATAATTTCACTTCCCGCTTTTAATGAAGATGCTCTTAGCTATGTCTTTTTGATAAACACCCTCTATCCAGTTAAGGAAATTCCCTTTTATTCCAAACTTGCTAACGTTGTTGGGTTTTTTTTTTTAAGTCATAAACAGGTATCTATCATATGTTTTTCTGCACTTACAGAGCTAGTCATTCATATAGCCTTTTTCGTGTTTAATGTAGTCATATGATGAATTACTTAGATTTTCTAATATTGAATAGCTTTCTTTGTTTTGGTGCACTGGAACACTGTATAGATTGGGCTTTGCCAAAAATTCCATATGCAGGTTTTGTGTTCTGGAGAGATCATAACTCCTAAGTCTTCCTTCTCACAGACACGCTTTTTAGTTGTGTTACTCCAGAGAAGGCCCTGAGATGGAGTGGGACTCTAGGATGTGGGCTTAGAATGAGCATTTTATTATCTATCTATCTATCTATCTGTCTGTCTATCTATCTGTCTGTCTATCTATCTATCTGTCTATTTATTTTTGAGACAGAGTCTCGCTGTGTCGCTCAGGCTGGAGTGCACTGGTACGATCTCGGCTCACTGCAAGCTCTGCCTGCCAGGTTCACACCATCTCCTGCCTCAGCCTCCCAAGTAGCTGGGACTACAGGCACGTGCTGCCACACCCGGCTTATTTTTTTTTTTTTAGTATTTTTAATAGAGACAGGGTTTCACCGTGTTAGCCAAGATGGTCTCGATCTCCTGACCTTGTGATCCGCCCACCTCGGCCTCCCAAAGTGTTGGGATTACAGGCATGAGCCACCGCGCCCAGCAACATTTTACTTTTTAATGAGCTTTGTTAAAATCAGAATCACTGGATAATTCTGATACCACTTAAGAGGAGTCCAAATTCCTAACATAGCCCCTCCGTAATCTAGAGCAGCACCATCCAGTGATGGAAGTAGGGCAGCCACTAGAGCCACTAGCCACATGTGGCTGTTAAGTACTTGAAATGTGGCTAGTGCAACTGATGGACTGAATTTTTAATTTTATTTAATTTTCATTTCAGTTTAAATTTAAATGGGCTTGTGTGGCTAGAAGTTACGTTTTTGGGAAACATACTAGAGTCTAGGCCCTATTTGATTTCCCGCCTCTCTTCCACCACCTGTTGAATCCCTATGCTCTAGCTGTATTTAGTTACTTGATATTATACAGTTACACCATCTTTTTAAAGTTCTTCTCTGTCTAGCATGCCTACCTCCTCCTCACCAGCTACCTGGCAACTTTTGACTTGTTCCTTAGAACTCTCTTTAGTTGTGGTCAAGTCATGAAGCTTTTCCTGCCCCGGCCTCTCTCTGCAGCGAGAGTTAGGGGCCTTCTCTTTTGCATCTTCATTGCACTCAGACATCTGGTACTCTGTGATTATCACACTTATTAATGCTCTCAAGATAGAGATAAAATCTTATTCATCTTTTTGCTCTCAGGCATTAGCACATGGGGAGTTCTCAGAAAATACCTGTCTTATACCAGGAATTAATGAATAATCAGTAGGAATGAGCATGACATGTTCATGGGACGTTGGAGGGTAGTGCATGGCTGCAGAGGAGAATGGGAAATGAAGGTCAGATAAGTTACGTGAGGGATCTCTAAGGCCAAGAGAAGCCATTTAGGTTTGATTTGGTTGGAAAATGAGCTTATTGAAAGTTTAAGGCAAGGGACTAGCATCATGAACACATCTTTTTAGGGAAGTGTGTCTTGTGGTAAGCTGCTGGCTGGTTTAAATGCAGCAGAATATTCTATTGGGGATGCCAGCTGGGAGACTTGCCACAGTTGCAGCCTGCAGCAGAAAGACCCTGGGCCAGAATGGGTTGTGCCATCTGTCACCAGATATTGCCAAGGTAGATCTGGCTGACTTTGTGGGACAGCTTGTTTCTCAATAATCACTTTGCAGGCACTCTTGAGGCTGTGAGCATGCTCCCAGAAGATAGCATTACTTCTCTCTCAGAGCAGGCTCCTTTCTAAGGAAATGCAAGTCTAGGCCTGCCCTGCTGTAATCTTCATGTGGAAACAGCACTCTAGCAAAGAACAAGGAACCTGATGAGCTTTTCAAAGGAAAATCGAGTAGATACAGGAAACCAAGAATTTTCTAATGAGCAGATAGAAAAGAGCAGGTAGGTGAGAAGTTGGTATTAGAAAAATTAAAGATTTGAAGGGCTTGAGGACAGAGATGATTGTTGGATGTTTCATTTTTCCAGGCAAAATATGTGGAGCAAATAATCAAATGACATGGACTTACCCCACAATTAGGGACGGAGATGAGGAAGGGTTAGGAATAGTTTCTGTTAGAATGGTAGGGATGGAAGACAATTGAAAATTAAAGAGAAAATAAATGGAGAGGAAACCTAGGCAGCAGCCATTCTTCATTCTGGGGGAAGGTGGTCAGGAAAAGGAAGGAAGAAAAATGTATAGCATAGTAGCTAGAGTGGTCCGGCGTGATCAAAGTGTTTTCAATATCATGTTGACTGACCTGTTTACGTTTGAAGGCAGAGAAGATAGAGCCAGTAGAAGGAGAGAAAAATCAAAGCTGTTTTACGGAGTTGTGAAAGAGCTGGATAAGGACAAGACTAAATGAGTTATTTTTAGGCCAGGCGTGGTGGCTCATGCCTGTAATCCCAGCACTTTGGGAGGCCAAGGCAGGTGGGGCACCTGAGGTCAGGAGTTCAAGAGCAGCCTGGCCAACATGGTGAAACCCTGTCTCTATTAAAAATACAAAAATTAGCTGGACATGGTGCATGGTGGCAGGTGCCTGTAATCCCAGCTACTCAAGAGGCTGAGGCAGGAGAATAGCTTGAACCCGGGGGGCGGAGGTTGCAGTCAGCCGAGATCATGCCAGTGCATTCCAGCCTGGGCGACAGAACGAGACTCCGTCAAAAAAAAAAAAAGGAGTTATTTTTAAATGGAAAGGGCAAGACAGTTCTCGGAGAGACTTGGAAGGTGAAGCAGGTTAGAGACAGCACATCAGAGTATGCATGTGACAGGAGGCTCAGAGAAGAGGGAATGCTGGGGAAAATGTGACTGTTAAAATTCATAATGTTGCTTTTTCCTACAGCAAACAAAATTAATGGAATTCCCTCAGGAGATGGAGGAGGAGGAGGAGGAGGAGGTAATGGAGCTGGTGGTGGCAGCAGCCAGAAAACTCCACTCTTTGAAACTTACTCGGATTGGGACAGAGAAATCAAGAGGACAGGTGCTTCCGGGTGGAGAGTTTGTTCTATTAACGAGGGTTACATGATATCCACTTGGTAAGTACAATTTTAGCAATGTTATATATGGCTGGAAGTCACTTCCCTATGAATAATCATCAAACTCTGTTGTCATTGATGACTTTCAAGTTGTGGTTAATGGAATATTTGTTTTTAATAATGTTTTAATAAATATTTTATTTTAAAGATCAAGGCTTATTAATATAAATTACGGTATCCCTTAAAAGAAGTTGATAGTAATTCCTTACTGTCATCAGTAGTCAGTGTTTATTGCATTATATCTTGTAACTGGTGTTTTACAGTTGGTTTGTTCATATCAGGATCTAAAGTCTTCACATTGAATTTGCTTAATATGTCTCTTAGGCCTTTTAATCTACAACAGTCTCCTCCCACCTCTTTTTTACCTACTATTTGTTGACAAACCAGGTCATTTGTTCCCTAGAATTTTCCACATTGTAGATATTGCTTGTTTTATCCCCAGGGTGTCCCGTAATGTGTTCCTCTGTCTCTAATATTTCCTTTAAAATGTTAGCAACAGAGGCTTAATCGGATTCAGGTTCAGTACTTTTGGCAAGAATGTTTCATTAGGTGGTTCTGTGTTCTCCTGTGGAGTCACATCCCATCTCAGGCTGGCTGGCTGTGTCTCTCTCATTGTAATCCTGACGACCAGTGGGCTTAGAGGGTGTCAACCTGATCCACCCAGTAAAAGTTCCCCTCTTATATCATGGTTTGAGCTCCCAAAAATAGTTTTGCACTGGGAGGGAGGATCATTGCTCAGATCGTTATTTCACTAAGGATTGCTATTGTTCACCTTCTAATTCTATCATCTTTCTGCTTTTATCGAACTTTTCTCTCACCAGCTCTTTAGTGCCCTGTAACACAGTTCGTACAAGAAAAGCAATATAAATATCTACATTTTCTCCTTTACTTAACATTTTTCCAAATAGTGAGCTGGTTCCCTAGGGGATCTTCTAGAAGTGACTAGGAATTTGTTTTTTTAATTTGTTTAATGTCATTTAGTTATTATGAATTTTTTGGAATGCCTTATTTTAAGGTCATTGAAGTCCTCATTAGTTCACGCACATAAGCAGCTTTTTAGAAAAAGGAAGAAAAGCACTACTGTGTTATTACTGGTTAATCCAGTACCAGGAACTTCTAGTACAGTTCTAGAAAGGTGCTTTGCAGCATGTAGCTTGTATCTTTTGCTTCCCCTGGAATTTAAGCTTCAAGGCCAGCACACTCTGGTATATGTGCTGAGAAACATGTGATGGGGCTGCCCAGCCACGTCGGGGAAAGAAGGAAGATGTCTTGAGGTGCAGTGAGCTTGCCCACTAGTAATTATTGTCTGATCAGTGTCCTAGAGTCTGACTGTGCCTTTTAGGCATGGGGAAAGGTAGAAGAGGGACTTAAGAAGAGAGCTAAAGCTCCTGGTAGATTTGTGGGGTTTTCTTTTGTTTGCCTGGTGTCCTTAACCATAGCCTGTCAAGAGAACAAAGGTGGATATATTTTTCAGTGAACACATACATGTTTAATAGTCATTCTGGAAAATATTTCTAATACCTTCTTTGGAATTTTCTCATGCTATAAATTTAGATTTTTAAGAATTGGTCATATCGCACCAATTTTAGACTAAGAGGTGTAGGATCGTCACTGCCCCCCCATGGTGCCCACCATGTGGCTACTAAGTGGGGTGCACATTAAATGCGGACAACTTGCTTAATTATTTATAGGGTCTGCAGGAGCACACTATTCCTGCTTTTAGCACAGCACTCATATAATTTTTTTTTTCCCCTCCAGCCTTCCAGAATACATTGTAGTGCCAAGTTCTTTAGCAGACCAAGATCTAAAGATCTTTTCCCATTCTTTTGTTGGGAGAAGGATGCCAGTAAGTGATTTCTGTTGGATTTTATGAATGCTGACGTCCATTGTTTCTACACAGTGAAGTAAGGATTCTACCTCTCCCCTAGCTCTGGTGCTGGAGCCACTCTAACGGCAGTGCTCTTGTGCGAATGGCCCTCATCAAAGACGTGCTGCAGCAGAGGAAGATTGACCAGAGGTAATTGAGAAATGGTCATTGTCACTTTAGATAGTTTTACTTGTTGTGTAACTACAGTGAGTTCCCTACTAATTGAAAATAACAAAATGCATAGTCTTACTAATTAGTTAGCACCATGTTTTATATAAGAATTGCCATTTTGAAAAGAATGTGATAATATTAAAATTAACTGACATTGGAGTTACACTAAATATAATTTAATTATTTGGTTTGTAAGACACTTGTGGATCTTACATTGCTGACATCTTGCTATAGCATTTCCTATAACATACTTTCAAAGTGCAGTGATATCCAGTTGAGACACTTCAGGATAAATCAAACTTTTCTTGTAGTTTGATGTGTCTTATTTAGGTCTACACATTTGCAATAGCTAGAACAGTGGTTTTAATTAGCCACCACAGACGAGTCTGGCATCATCTGCTGTGGTCATTAGTAACCTCCACGTCATTAAAGTAGGAGGCCTTTCTCAGTTGTGCTCATAGCAGTGAGCAATACTATTGATCACTCTCTCCTTAAACCCGCCTGGGCCCTCAGCCTCTGCTCCTCTCCACTCTCCTGAAGCTCCTCTTCCTCACTGGCACTCCGTGCCTTCTGCAGACCCATCCTCTTCTCTCCAGACATTACACAGATTCTAAGGCCGCTTCCTCATGTTCTGTATTCTTTTCCTAAAGAAGTTTCCCCAAGAATGTGGCTTTAGTGACCAACACATTTATATCTTCAGTCTACCTTGACTTCTACATGGAGGTCTCAAAGACCCCTTAAACTCATTATGTCCAAAACCAAACTCAAGGATATGGCCTCCATGCCCTCCCCCAGCCTGCTCTCAGAAACCGGGGGGTCATCCTGGATGCCTTCCTCTTTCTTTCCCTTCCCCATCACCAATCCCTCCTCAGGTTTTCTCACTTCACTTTTCAGACACCTTGCAAACCCATGTGCTTCCACAAACCCAGCTCCACCTCTGCCTGTGTGTTATAAGTGCTATCATTTCCTCCTTCCATGTCTCCTCCACCCCTGGGCTCCAGCCCCCTGGACTTTCCCTGGTGTTTTCAACCTCCTGACATTGTCCAGCGCTCTTCCCTTCTGGACTGCCTTCTTTGCACTCATCTGGGAACACTCTCCACGCTTACCCACTTGGCACTCCTTGTTTCTTTTTTTTTGAGACAGAGTCTCACTCTGTCACCCATGCTGGAGTGCAGTGGTACGATCTCGGCTCCCGGGTTCAAGTGATTATCATGCCTCAGCCTCCTGAGTAGCTGGGATTACAGGCACCCACCACCACATCCAGCTGATTTTTGTATTTTTAATAGAGACAAGATTTCACCATGTCGGCCAGGCTGGTCTCGAACTCCTGACCTCAGGTGATCCACCCGCCTCGGCCTACCAAAGTGCTGGGATTACAGGCGTGAGCCACTGCACCCGGCTCACTCATTCTTTATATCTCAATTCAAACATCATTTCCTCAAGATAAGCCTTCTCTCCCCTCTAAAGTTTGATCAGACCTCAAAAGTCTATGTTCTTAGAGCTCCTGAGTTTTTAACATTTATTTCAGTTTTTAATTATATATGTGTGTGTTACAGTTTGATTACCGCCTGTCGTTTTTACTCCATGAGATGAGGGACTATGTCTGTTTTGCACACCGTTATATATTTAGCACCCAGGAAGCATATATGATATTTATTCAATACTTGTTGAATAAATGAGGAGTAAATGAACAGATCTTATAAAACAGGCTTATGGAGCCTCAGAAATTGTGTATCACAGTCCTTTTTGGTACAGCCAGAGTGTAGGGTTTTTCCACTGTACCGTAACTGACAGAGCCATATTCACTGAAGCAAATAACCATCAAGTGACCCTCAAATGACCTTCAGTTTTCTGGAAAGGAAGGTGACTATAGTTCACACGAGTCCGTATTCTCTGTGGATTTTGATTTACCTGAACTCCATTTGGAATTAACTGTCTGCTGTGTCATACTCCAAGCCTTGTTTTCATTAGCATACATGCTGATGAAGTGCACAGTTAGGAATTTTGCTGTTAAAGGGACAATTGTAGCATTGTTGGGTGAGAGTTAGTTATAAAACCTTATAATCAGTGGCAGTTTCAGTGATTTATTAAGCTGAAAATTACTTTAATGCCTTTTGTGTTTTCAGCTATCCTATTCTTCATAAGTAGAACAGATCCTCTTTTTTGTCCAACCTCGTCTCCTAACCTTTTTCCCTCAGGTGTGTCATCTAGCCCCACTGGCCTTCTTTAGGTTTCTCAGCAGCCATGCTTGTTACCTGCCACAGGGCCCTTGCACTAGCTGCCCTCTGCCTAGAACATTTTCACCCCACATCTTTACATTGCTTCTCTATTCATTTAGGTTTCGGCTTCAGTACCATCTTCACAGAGCAGCTGTTTTTCACCATGTGACCTAAAGTAGCCTGTAATCTCATGATTACATCATCCATGGCATTCACCACAGCCCATTTATCTTATCATCTACCCCACCCCACGAAGAATGTCAACCCCCCACTTGCTTGGGCAACACCAGTAGTAAAATTGGAATGATACAGGGAAGGTTAGCATAGCCCTTGCACAAAGATGACATGCAGGTTCATGACACATTACATATTTTAATGAAATGGGAGCATATTCTTGTTATTTAATTTTTAAAAATCAGTTTATCAAGCAAATGTACAGCGCCATTTTATTTTTCATGCCTACATTAAATTCCATACACATAAAGGTGCATAGAGGAAACCTAGAAAGATTGCACCAAAATTTTAGAATTCTGAGTGATTTTGTTTTTCTTATCTTTTCTAGGTGTTTTTAAACATTCCACACTAATTTATATTACTTTTTCTATTCAGGAAAAAAAAAAAACAACAGCAGGGTTTTGTTTTTTTTTTTAAAGTGGTGTGGAAGTTACCCATTGAATATAGATGGGAATCCCAGTCCTGGCTGTTTCCTTTGAAAAGATCTAGAGACCCCATGGCACATATTTATAGTAGCCCATTCTCTCCTAAGAATAGAGGAAGGGTGGGAGGAATTTTGGTGAATGTCTGTACTTGCAGTTCATCCTACAGCAAATCGTTAAGACTGTGGGAATAGGTGCTTTGCATTCTCTAGAGCTGGAGAATGTGCATCTGGTTTGCCATCCTTCTGTCTACATCATGTGGAAAGATGTGGGAGTGTAGGGTCTCCTTAATCTAAATGCAGTGCTGCCCCGCCCCCCCCTTGGCAGTGTTTCTGTTTCCCAGGCAAGTGTTCCAATGGATGTGCTTTATTTTCTCCCATCAGAAATAAGGGAATGAGCCCGGGCGCGGTGGCTCACGCCTGTAATCCCAGCACTTTGGGAGGCCAAGGGGGGTGAATCACAAGGTCAGGAGTTTGAGACCAGCCTGGCCAACATGGTGAAACCCCGCCTCTACTAAAAATACAGAAATTTAGCCAGGTGTGGTGGCGGGTGCCTGTAATCCCAACTACTCGGGAGGGTGAGGCAGGAGAATCGCTTGAACCCGGGAGGGGGAGGTTGCAGTGAGCCGAGATGGTGCCACTGCACTCCAGCCTGGGCGACAGTATGAGACTCCGTCTCAAAAAGAAAAAGAAGGAAATGATCTAATTTGTTCTGTGCACTGCACGTGGGGGTGGCAGTGAGGTGAATGGCAGCATTCTGCAGTAGTCAAAGCCAGATGGGTGGGAGAAGTTGGGTGCTAAGAGGGAAACAAAGTTTACCTGTCTTCTCCTTGATTTCACTCTCAGTTTTATGAGAATACAGAAAAATCATGCAGAGAAACCTGATGGAATAGTCTCTAAAACTAAAAAATAAGATAAGCAATGGTTCTGTCTTAAAAAAAAAAAAGTAAACTCCATGAAGGCAGAGACCTTACCTGTCTCATTCCTCTCTCTATCCCCTGGTCTATAGTAAGGGTTAAATAAATATATGCTGAAATGAATGAGTAATGACTAAAGTATTTTTGTCTTTATTAGGATTTGTAATGCAATAACTAAAAGTCACCCACAGAGAAGTGATGTTTACAAATCAGATTTGGATAAGACCTTGCCTAATATTCAAGAAGTACAGGCAGCATTTGTAAAACTGAAGCAGCTATGCGTTAATGGTAATTTCATTCTTATTTCATATATATAATGAACACAGGATACAGAGTTGCATGAGATGTCAGGAAAAGTGATGTTCTTAAAAATGTAGAAATAGATATATTTAAGGAGTCTATGGAACTATTTGCACAAATTATATATTATTGTATGAGAACTTCAGAACCTCCTAAGGAATTAAGTTTAAACTACTTTTTGTTTTAGAGGGGGAAAAATGAGTGTATTAAATTTCCTTCAGATGATGAAAGGTATAGGAGAATACTTTTATAAAAGCATTTGCTGAGTAGAACACTGTATTACCTTACAGACAAACTTATTAAGATTGTAATACATACAGTTATACTTTGAGATAGGTGACTTGACATGGGTATCAAACAGCTGTGTTATATCTGTAGCATCAGAATTCTGATATATCTGAGCAAACGTACCAGGTGGCTTTCATGTGTCCTGCGGGATGAGTCACATGAAAGCATCTTTGGTGTAATGTGGGTCCTCCTCAAGAGATCCTCTAAGTCACCAGGGAGTCAGCAAAGGCAGCCTTGCAGCAGATCTTGAGCAATGAGTAAGCACTTCCCTGGGGGAGGGCCTTGCAGGGGCGGGGCAGGGGCAAGTTGTTGAAAAAACTAGTGTCCTGAATGATTATGTGCACTCTGGGCAGGGCAGTGAGGATGCCTGTCCTCATGCAGTGGCTAGCCCTCGGCCACGTGAGCCATGCACAGAGGCACCACTGGCAGCAGGGGTGGGGCAGGGAAGCAGGAGGGCAAGGCTTGCAGTGAGAAAGCCAAGGGCTAGGGCCTGGGCAGCTGACCTCACAGGTCAGGAGGGCCAGGATCAAGGCATAGGCTGAGCAGGGACGGCTGGAATTCTTAGCTGTTGGGAGTCAGAGTTGGTTGGACTCCAAGATTTCCCTGAAAGAGCGAGAGAGAAGATGATGGAGCCCCAGGGGAATGCTTTGTTTTGCTTTGTTACAGAATTGTAATGTCTTCTTAAATGCTTATTCCATGTTATTAAAGTGAAAATGCATGATATTTACTTAAAGCTAACTTTTAAATATTAGAAACTGATGTATCTCTTTACTCTGATAGGGATCATATAAAATAAAAAGTAAAAATGTGTATGTATATAATTTATTACAGAGCCTTTTGAAGAAACTGAAGAGAAATGGTTATCTTCACTGGAAAATACTCGATGGTTAGAATATGTAAGGTTTGTACTTCTTTACTTTCTTTTCCTTTAACTTTTTATTTTGAGATAACTACAGACTCACTGGAGGTACAAAAATAGCACAGAGGGCCATGTACTTACTCTTCATCCAACTTCCCCCAATAGTAACATCTCGTAACTAGAGTACAGCATCCAAACCAGGAAGCTGACACTGGGACACTGGATAGCTCTTACTCACCAGTTCATACATGCTGTCGTCTGTGTGCATGCCCTTAACACAGCTGTGTGATTTTATCACGTGTGTAGGTTCACGTAACCACCACCACAGGGAGATACAGACCTGTTCCATGACAAGGCTCCCCTGTGCTAGCCTTCTTATAGGTGCACCCTCATCGCCATCTGTGTCTGTTGACTACCACTAATCTCTTCTCAATCTCTATAGTTTTGTCATAAGTCAACCCCTTCCTTTTCATAAAGGGTTTATGAATTTCCCTGATGAAAAAGTACAAAATGAGGCCAGGCGTGGTGGCTCATGCCTGTAATCCCAGCACTTTGGGAGGCCAAGGCGGGTGGCTCACCTGAGGTCAGGAGTTCAAGACCAGCCTGGCCAACATGGTGAAACCTTGTCTCTACTAAAAATACAAAAATTAGCCAAGCATGGTGGCACGCACCTGTAGTCCCAGCTACTCAGGAGGCTGAGGCAGGAGAATCACTTGAACCTGGGAGGCAGAGGTTGCATTGAGTCAAGATCACGCCACTGCACTGCAGCCTGGGTGATAGAGCAAGTCTCCATCTCAAAAAAAAAAATTTACAAAGTGGGGCCGGTTGTGGTAGCTCATGCCAGTAATTCCAAAGCTCTGGGGAGGAAGATCACTTGAGGCCAGTAGTTCACAACCAGCCTGAGCAACACAGTGAGACCCCATCTCCACAAAAAAGTTGGAAACTAGCCAGGCATGGTGGCATGTGCCTGCTGTCCTAGGGAGCCTGAGGCAGGAGGATCACTTGAGGCCAGGAGTTCACAACCAGCCGAGGAACATAGTGAGATGCCCATCTCCACAAAAAAATTTTAAAACTAGGCAGGCATGGTGGCTCGTGCCTGTGGTCCTAGCTGCTCAGGAGGTGGAGGCAGGAGGATCACTTGAGGCCAGGAGTTCAGGGTTACAATGAGCTGTGATATGCCACTGCACTCTAGTGTGGGTGACAAAATGAGAGCCTGTCTCTTAAAAAGAAAACAAAAATTACAAAATATACTCCTTTGAGAAATCGTATAAGTAACTAAAGAAACTTTACGGTAATGCGAAAGCTATGTGCCTTCAGTAGAAAGCAGTCAATCCTCTCTTGTGATGCTGAGTAGCAGCAGGGAGCCACAGCTGCCAGTCAGCCACACAGTCTCAGTTTAGGGTATTTTCAGCTTACAGTGGGTTATCATGGGTCATGAGTTATGGGAATATCATGATCAGAGAGCATCTGTAAAGTGAGAAATTAGATTTGCTTGATTTCAAGTACTTTATGTATTTGTAGTGGAAATTTGATTTTTAACACTACTTTTCCTTTTCTCTCTTCAGGGCATTCCTTAAGCATTCAGCAGAACTTGTATACATGCTAGAAAGCAAACATCTCTCTGTAGTCCTACAAGGTAACTAAAGTAACTCCTGAAAGCACCATGACCACCATACCAGCCAGCCTTGGTTTACTGCTTGTCCCCATTCAAGTAAATCACATCAGTTTTAGCTATTTCTTATTTACTACAGTACCATCAAATACATTACAGATTTTGCACATCATTTGAGTAAAACAGTGGCACAGGCTGGGCGCAGTGGCTGAAGCCTGTAATCCCAGACTTTGGGAGGTCGAGGCGGGCGGATCACTTGAGGTCAGAAGTTTGAGATCAGCCTGGCCAACGTGGTGAAACCTTGTCTCTACTAAAAATACAAAAATTAGTCAGGAGTGGTGGTGTGCGCCTGTAGTCTCAGCTACTCGGGAGGCTGAGGCAGGAGTATCACTTGAACCTAGGCGGCGGAGGTTGCAGTGAGCAGAGATCGCACCACTGCACTCCAGCCTGGGCAACACAGCAAGACTCAAAAAAAAATAAATAAAAACCAGTGGCACAAGGACTGCAAATAGAAGAATAGAAAGTAGTCCAGTTTTTACCCTTTATTAAATTATCCTTCCTATTTTATGGGAAGGGTGGGTCCCATCCCCTAATGGATTAATACTTAGTGTTAATTTTGACAGGGCATTCTCTCTCTCTAATTTTGCTGTCTAATTTGTACAAATTTGTTTTAGTTTAAATACCTTCTGGCTCATGCTAGATTATGACTCTAAGGAAGCAGTTTGAGATGAAGAAATTTAGACTGAACTGCTGAATAGCTAGTAATGTAATATTTGGTAGGAATAAACGGTGATGTAAAAATCTTTCAGTTAAGCAAAGGATAATTACATATTAAATAACTTACAGCTAATAGAATTTGTAAGTTTGCAGATAAAGTTCAATAGACTAAAAACTACCTTCGTATAATACAGTAGTGGGCCCTTTGTACCCATGGCTTCCCCATCTGTGGTCAACCAACCCAGGACTGAAAATATTGGCGGGGGAAAGCTTTGGCCATAATGAACATGAACAGACTTTTTTGTTGTTGTCATTATTCTCTAAACAGTATAGTATAACAACTGTTTACATAGCATTTACATTGTATTAGGTGTTATAAGTAATCTAGAGGTAACTTAAAGTGTACAGGAGGATGTGCATAGGTTATATGCAAATATTAACATCATTTTATATCCAGGACTTAAGCATTTGTGGATCTTGGTATCCAAAGGAGGCCCTGGAATGAGTTCCCCATGGATACTGAGGGAAGACTATATACTCATGTTGCATAGTATATGAATACAAAATGTTGCTTAAGCTTGCAGAAGTACTTTTTTTTTTTTTGAGATGGAGTTTCGCTCCTGTCACCTAGGCTGGAGTGCAGTGGAACGATCTCAGCTCACTGCAACCTCCACCTCCTGGGTTCAAGCGATTCTCCTGCTTCAGCCTCCCAAGTAGCTGGGATTACAAGCATGCACCACCACGCCCGGCTAATTTTTGTATTTTTACTAGAGATGGGGTTTCACCTTGTTGGCCAGGCTGCTCTCGAACTCCTGCCCTCAGGTGGTCTGCCCACCTCAGCCTCCCAAAGTGCTAGGATTATAGGCGTGAGCCACCGTGCCTGGCCAGGCTTGCAGAAGTACATTTAACAACTGCCAAACTTGATTGACTTTAACAAGGCAAAAATCTTTAAGACTCTTAGAAAAAAATCAAATAGTAATGTGTCATATAAAGTAATCCTGAACTGATAGAGTGTGTGTTTAACTCACAAATGCATGCAGAGCCTAATAATCACAATTTCTCTCATCCAGTGGGTGTTCTCATCGTATTGGAGAACCCTACTCATCCTCCATTTCTCCATGCATTTGTAATAGAAAAGGCCTCAGAAGTAGCACTGAACCTTCATTTTACTAGCATTTTTATATACGTTTATTTTTAAACAGTTTGTTTAGTTAAAAATTTACATACTATGGAATTCACCCATTTTTAATTTGTAATTCAGTAAATTTTAGTAAATATACAGAGTCTAGTTTTGGAAATTTTTCATCACCCCAAAAGTCCCAGCTCCAGGCAGCCACTAATCTTTCTGTCTCTAGATTTTCCCTTTCTGGGCATTTCATATAAATGGAATCATACAATATGTGGCCTTTTGCCGCTGGCTTCTTTCATTCAACATACATGTTTTTGAGGTTCATTCATGTAGTGTGTATCAGCAATCTTTTCCTTTTTATTTCTGAATTGTATTCCACTGTTTGTAAATGCATTTTGCTTACCCATTTACCTGTTGATGGACATTTGGGTTGTTTCCACTTTGTGGCTGTTATGAATTATGCTGCTTCATTTATTTAGATCTTTCATTTTATCAGCAGTGTTTTATTATGTAAGTCTTATATTTATTTTGTTAAATCTCTTAAGTATTTTATTTTTATGTCACTGTGAATATAATTGTTAATTTCATTTTCAGGTTTACTATGTACTCAGATTGTTGTGTACAGAATTTCTGTAACCTTACTGACCTCATTTATTAATTCTAGTAGTTATTTTGTGGATTCCGTAGGAGTTTTTACATACAGGATCATATTGTCTTCAAAGACAGTTTTTACCTTTTTCTTTCTGATCTGAATGCCTTTTATTTTCTTTTTCTTGCCTAATTGCTCTGGCTAGATTCTCCAGTTCAATGAGATGGAGAAGTGTAGAGAACAGACATCCTTATCATCTTCCTGATCTTAGGGAGAGAGTATCCAGTCTTTCACCAGTGAAATGGGAATAACATTAATTGTAGGTTTTTGTGGATGTCTCTGATCAGTTTAAATATGTTTACTTTTATTCCTAATCAGGAATGAAGGTAGAATTGTATCAGATGCTTTTTCCGCATCTAATGAGATAATCGTGTTGGTTTTGTCCTTTATTACTGTGGTACGTTACTACAATTGACAGATGTTAAACCAACTTTGCATTCCTGGATAATTTGGTTTACTCATATTTTTATTGATTTTTACATCTGTAATCATAAGGGATATTGGTCAATAGTTGTCTTCTGATTTCCCTGGCTGACTTTGATAGCGTGGCAATTCTGGCCTTATTGGAAAGGACAACAACTATAAAAGACAGGAGGGAATCGTTTGCCACAGCTTCAGTTGGTAGTGAACAGTCCCACTCTCCCCATTCACTTCTCAGTATTGCCATGTGGCCTGTCAGTAGAAAGATTACCTTATACTTAATACCTTGACAAAAGAGCAGTAGAATGGAGTCTAGACGGGTTTTCTACCACAAACCATTCGAATGTAAAAAGTATGAGTGATGAGCTTCTATTATCTGGCAAATATCCATGTATAAAAGACCATCTCCTATTAAATGCTAATTTAGTTTATCTACAAGTCTGTAATATTTTAGAGTTGCTGGAATCCAGTAAAATTTCCTTATACAGATTTGGAAGGCAGCCTAGGTGTGCAGAATACTAAATTATCTAGTTTACCTTTCCTTCCCTTTCTCTCTCAGCATTTTTCTATGTTGTAATCATTTTCTTTCCATTTTATTAACAGAGGAGGAAGGAAGAGACTTGAGCTGTTGTGTAGCTTCTCTTGTTCAAGTGATGCTGGATCCCTATTTTAGGACAATTACTGGATTTCAGAGTCTGATACAGAAGGAGTGGGTCATGGCAGGATATCAGTTTCTAGACAGATGCAACCATCTAAAGAGATCAGAGAAAGAGGTAACAAAATCTTGATGCCTTTTTATCAGTCTTTAAGGATACACAAAATAAAATTTGTGTCATTAAAAGATGAAGGGGCTTTTAAAAAATACTGTATTTAGTACAACTTAATTTCCTTAGTCCAAAGCTAACTAATGGATTAGAGTTCAAATTGATGTACTTATTATAAAGATTATCGTAACTATGAAGGTGAAATTTTTAAAAGTTGTCTATTGAATTTGTCTAAGTGGAAAACTACTGAAAAAATTCTGAATAAAATACTGAAAAACAGATAACAAGCACATTGGCTATTTTGAAAAATCACTTTTGGAATATCATATTTTCTTAAAATGGGATACATAGGTTAAGATGAAAAGTTTGAGAGGGCCACCTTTGCAACAGCTGTGGAGTTAGTGGCTGCCTCGGATCTCTAGTTAGGCTGCGGAAGGCCTTACAAATATCTTACCGGCCAGGCAGGTCAGTCAGATCAGTTTTTAGAAGGTTGTTTCAGAGAGCGCCATTTGACTTGTGGTGTCTCATAAAAAATAGTGGTCACCCGCTACTGCACTTGGGGACACACCACGTGACCTAGGCTCATCCCAAAGTGTTTTCTGAAATATGGGGATGTTTTCTGGATGCTGAGCCTACAGGATCAACCAAACATTAGAGAAGTTTGGTTGATGGTTTTGTTTTGTTATATAATCTAAAGAATTGTTTCTAAGACATGCTTAAACACATATTTTGCTCTTCCCCCTTCATATAGTGGCAACCCGCTCAACTGTGTGCTTTGCTGTTTCAACTTGTTACATGTACTGGGCAAATAAGGGTTGTGATGTTTATCACGGTTGAATGTTACTTCTTGGGTTTGATAGATGTGTATAGCTCAGCTTAGAAGGCAAGTGTTTTAGGCTTCGATGTTTTCTCATTCATCTCTTCTTTAACATCAGCAGTACATTTTGAAGTAAATGTGAACGGCTGAAGGATAACATTGAATGATCCCATTGTCTCTTTGTATTTGCCAGTCTCCTTTATTTTTGCTATTCTTGGATGCCACCTGGCAGCTGTTAGAACAATATCCTGCAGCTTTTGAGTTCTCCGAAACCTACCTGGCAGTGTTGTATGACAGCACCCGGATCTCACTGTTTGGCACCTTCCTGTTCAACTCCCCTCACCAGCGAGTGAAGCAAAGCACGGTAAGCAACCCTGTGGCTGTGGCTACGTTTTCCCTGTTTTTACAACTTTATCGAGGCATAATTGAAGTATAATTCACTGCCTATTTAAAATCTTATGATTTAAAATTCTTACTGCCATTTTCAGCTGAAATTTCTGAATGGATTATTTTGAAGACACAAAAATCTAGGAAATTATTTTTATGAATGAACATTTTTTGTTTTACTCTAATGTAAATGTTTTGTAGTAAACCCCTTTAAAGATGTAAATTACTTTAACCACCTTAAATGTCATGCTTTTGTATTTATATTTCACATTTGGGCTATTGGGTAGTAAAAAACAAAAGCCCTGTTACACGACATTTATTTCCTAGGTCAGTAGGATAAAAAGTTGTACAAAACAAGATTATTTTCCTTCACGAGTTTGAAGTTTCTGGTCACAATTCATTGATGTAGAGGATTTATGACTAAGCAGGGTCTCAAGCCAAACTTGAAACCATTCTGAACCAAAGTGCCATTTCACCCACCTCGAACCAACAACAGAAGCTGACAAATGCCGTGGAGACCATTGAGGGAAACAGAAAGGGGCAGCTCTTGTGGACCTTCAGGAAGCCTTTCTAGGAAGAGGATTGCCCTCATAGTGAGCTCCGGGGTCTTCAGCCTCAGCCGTAAGGCCCTGGGCTAGGCAGTGTGACCTAGGGAGCGGGAAACCTGAGTTCTGGCCCTGGTCTGGGAAAAGTGCTAGGCCCATGTTCCACTCAGGCTTCAGCCTGAGAGTCCAGGTTGCTAACCTGTAAAATGGATCTGTCAAACTAACACTTATGCCTTTAGTCTCATTGTATGAGGTGAAACATTTTGTAAACTGTGAATCATTATGCAAATTTTCCTAAAGACATATGAATTATTCTGGATTTGTTGGTATAAAAGACAAAATACACTGGTCAGTTAAGGAGCTGATTTTATTTAGGCTATTGCAGGAGGGAGAACTTAATTAATGGGCATCCCAAAGAAAAGGACAAGGCCTGGGATTTTATAGTCAGAAGACAGGGGAATCAGGAGGGAGGGCAGTCTCAGTCCACAGGAGCGAGTTCTCAGGACACAAAAGGCAGGAGAGATTGTCCAGCATTGCCACTTTTGGGGAACCCAGGGCTCAAAGAAACTCAACACCGTCAGCCTGTCTCTACAAAAAATACAAAAATTAGCCAGACATGGTGGTGCGCACCTGTGGTCCCAGCTACTGGGGAGGCTGAGGTGGGAGGATGGCTTAAGCCCAGGAGGCAGAGATTGCAGTGAGCTGAGACTGTGCCACTGCACTCCAGCCTGGGTGATAGAGCCAGAGTCTGTCCCCTGCCCACCCCACCAGGAAAGTTTGACCTTTCCAGATACTGTGCTGAGAACCAGTGATACAGGCTTAGAGGCTCCTGAGGCATGGAACGCTCATTTGTTCCTAAAATACATGCTCTCCCAGTTGCTTGTTTTTATTTTTCGTCACCATAATCATTCTTGGGGCCCCTCTCTGCCTCGAGCTAGGCTTTCCCCCTGGCCTTGTTTGCCTCCTTCAGCTCTTCCCCATTGTCTCCTGTCACTACCCCGTGCGCACACAGACAGTGTGAGCCTGCAAAAGGTGCGTGAGGCGAGGACAAAGACTTTGGGGTCTGGGGACTGGGCAGTGCATGGGTGGGTATCTGCGTGGAGGACTCCCAGCCCCCAGACACCACTGCCTCTGCTGCTTGGCTGATGCTGTGTGTGCGGACAGACTTCTCACCAGGAATGAACATTACTGAATTGTATTGAGGGAGCTGTAAAAAATACTTTCTACAAGTATTTCCTCTGCTTTCCCTGTTCATGTTCTAGTGCTCTTTTTAATTTGGCTCTTTCAAAAGCCTTTTCTGACAAATACTAACATGAATCCCCCTCTCCCTTCCTCCCTAGCAGGAACTGGTCATTGTCTAAGGGTCGTGATTCTTAACCGTTCTCAGCCCCTTCCACACAGGCAAAAGCCCAAAGCATTTCTTCCTTTTTTTTCCATTCTGAGGCCACCTTAGGTGCTAGTGGCCAGGTAGTGTTTATAGAAAATCTGGTCTCTCTTGGGATAAATATTTTTAATTTTTACCTTTTAAAAAAGAGAACATCTTTTTTTTTTTTTTTAAGACAGTTTGGCTCTGTCACCCAGGCTGGAGTACAGTGGTACAATATCAGCTCACTGCAACCTCTGCCTCCTGGGTCCAAGCACTGCTCTCGCCTCAACCACCTGAGTAGCTAGGACTGCAGGCGCATGCCACCACGCCTAGCTAATTTTTGTATTTTTTTGTAGAGTCAGGGTTTCGCCATGTTGCCCAGTCTGGTCTTGAACTCCTGGACTCAAGCAATCCGCCCACCTCAGCTTCCCAAAGTACTGGGATTACAGGCGTGAGCCACCGTGCTTGGCCAAGAGGACATTTTCTATATACTTACTGAAGGGCCATTAAAACACGTTTGGGTTCATGTTTTACTAGATTTCAGCTCTTAACAGTGTTTGAAGCAAATGGATTGTTTTTAATCCATGTACATGATGAAATGTCAAGTAACTAAATTTTTTTTTTTTTTTTTTTTGAGACAGAGTCTTGCTCTATCACCCAGGCTGGAGCGCAGTGGCATGATCTCGGCTCACTGCAACCTCTGCCTTCCAGGTTCAGGTGATTCTCCTGCCACAGCCTCCCGAGTAGCTGGGACTACAGGTGCACGCCACCACGCCTGGCTAATTTTTGTATTTTTAGTAGAGACGGGGTTTCACCATATTGGCCAGGCTGGTCTTGAACTCCTGACCTCGTGATCCGCCTGCCTTCGGCCTCCCAAAGTGCTGGGATTACAGGCATGAGTCACCACTGCGCCTGGCCAAAACTGTTAAGAGTATGTGTATTTGGTGCTTAATGAATTTTTACTTATTTGAAATAGAAAATTTTGTAAAACTTTACAAAATGCCCTGTGCTGTTACACAGCTTAGCCATTTCTTGATGATTCAAGCCGCCACTGTGCCAGGGAATGCCACCTGGCTGTGATGTAGTCATGGCCTCCTGACTGCTATATTCTTGTCCTAATAACATTCATTGTTTGCCTTTTTAATAATTTCCAAATAAATTCTTGGGGGTTTTTTTTTGGTAGAAAATTTGGAGAGTACTGAAAGGTACAGAACAAAGAATCAGACATTTCCCATCATCCAGCGACTTTGTGTCTGGGGTTATTTCCTCCAGCGAACTGTTGTGTATACACTGCTGTGGTAGCCTGCTGCCATCAATCAGCTGAGATGAGAGTCCTTTCTCCACATTGCTAAATGTGACTGTGCTTCATAGAAATGGTCTGGGCTGCCTTCCAGAGGAGCTCCATGTCTTCCTCACAATGCGGTGGTTGGCTGTCACCCTGTAGCCTTGTGTTGCCTCAGTTTACTGTGGTGGGAAGCCAGATAACTAGGCTGCACCCGCCCAGAGTCCGGGCTAGAGGTGGACTCCTGTGAAGGAGGGGTCTCCTGTGTACATGGTCTCCATGGTTTTAGCCACATGCTAGGACCACAGGGAGTTGATCCCTTCCTTCCTACCCTGAGTCTGTGGTCTGTGATTTGAGATCACTGGCTCAGTGAAGTGTAGCTCCCCACTTACGAAGTAAGTTATAAAATTGGTGGCAGTGATTTCCATCCAAAGATTTTGTTAATCCACTTACCAACAGGTAACTACTTAAATGTACTGACCGTGTGCTCATAAAAGTAAAATACTGTAATTATAGAAATAAATTCAACATGTTTAAGACTTTCTCGTATCATGTTAGTGAAACTTCTCTTAATAACATTCTTATTGCCCAAAGGGCACGGCTTCCTTGGGGTCCTAAGGCAGAGGGCACCTGAAAAGCACACTCCTTGTTCATGGGGACTGTGGGGCTCTCTGAGCTCAAAGGCCAGGAGCGTCTCCTCTCTTGAAGTGAAAGTGCCACTCTGGTGGGTTTTGAGGGCTGCAGTACAGAACATTTAACCTGTATAATGATGAGTGGCTCATCTGAAAAAAGGCATTCATGAGAGAATCTTTAGTTTTGCAAATATTTATTTATTTATTTTGCAGGAATTTGCTATAAGCAAAAACATCCAATTGGGTGATGAGAAGGGCTTAAAATTCCCCTCTGTTTGGGACTGGTCTCTCCAGTTTACAGCAAAGGATCGCACCCTTTTCCATAACCCCTTCTACATTGGAAAGAGCACACCTTGTATACAGAATGGCTCCGTGAAGTCTTTTAAACGGACAAAGGTAAATCACAGCTAACAAAACGTGATGTTGGCTCACACGTAACCAAACACCTCTTTTTCAGAACAGAGAGCGTTAAAAGTAAAGGCAGTTCCAAGAGTAACACTGCTAATGTGGGTTTCTGAGGGGTCATTCCCTTTTTAACTCAAATGACTGTATCCCAACTTTCTTCCTGGTGTCTGAGGCCCACAAAGTCTCAGTACCTGAGAGTGGGCAGATTGCAGCTTTGAGCCTGCAAGCCTGATTTACTAAAGCCCCATTTATCCATTTCTTGATGATTCAAGCCGCCACTGTGGCAGGGAATGCCGCCTGGCTGTGATGTAGTCATGGCCTCCTGACTGCTATATTCTTGTCCTAATAACATTCATTGTTTGCCTTTTTAATAATTCCCAAATAAATTCTTGGGATTTTTTTTGGTAGAAAATTTGCAGACTACTGAAAGGTACAGAACAAAGAATCAGACATTTGGCCTCCTGACTGCCTCTGTTCAGTTTGCCATTGTTCTTGATAGAATCGACCAGGTCTAGTGTTTTTTCTAGCCCGTCTTAGAACTTATCCTTAAGCAAATTAGTGGATAGGAGGTACTCTCATCCCGCCCCCATTCAGGCTGATAGTAACAGCCTAGGTAGAGTCAACACATAAAAAAGTGTAATTCCAGGGGAGGAGGATTAGAATAAGGACACAAAGGAAGGGAGGAAAATGTTCTTTGAGGCTGAAATTCCATTAATTTTTCATAGTATTGAGTTTATATTTGCCATTGCATCCTTCAATCTTTCTAAAAAGGGAATCCCCGGAACATAATAAAATCTCTTCTGTATAGAAAAGCTACAGCTCCACACTAAGAGGAATGCCGTCTGCCTTAAAGAATGGAATCATCAGTGACCAAGAATTACTTCCAAGGAGAAATTCATTGATATTAAAACCAAAGCCAGATCCAGCTCAGCAAACCGACAGCCAGAACAGTGATACGGAGCAGTATTTTAGAGAATGGTTTTCCAAACCCGCCAACCTGCACGGTGTTATTCTGCCACGTGTCTCTGGAACACACATAAAACTGTGGAAACTGTGCTACTTCCGCTGGGTTCCCGAGGCCCAGATCAGCCTGGGTGGCTCCATCACAGCCTTTCACAAGCTCTCCCTCCTGGCTGATGAAGTCGACGTACTGAGCAGGATGCTGCGGCAACAGCGCAGTGGCCCCCTGGAGGCCTGCTATGGGGAGCTGGGCCAGAGCAGGATGTACTTCAACGCCAGCGGCCCTCACCACACCGACACCTCGGGGACACCGGAGTTTCTCTCCTCCTCATTTCCATTTTCTCCTGTAGGGAATCTGTGCAGACGAAGCATTTTAGGAACACCATTAAGCAAATTTTTAAGTGGGGCCAAAATATGGTTGTCTACTGAGACATTAGCAAATGAAGACTAAAATAGGGTGTTTTCTGAACATTTTGAGGGAAGCTGTCAACTTTTTTCCTCTGAATTAACATTGCTAACCTAGGCGTTTGAATCTCTAATAACTTTATATGTAAGAATAATAGTTGGAATTTGCACTAATATTTAAAAACATGTTGAATCATGCTTCTTTCACACTTATTTTAAGAGAGATGTAAATTTTGTTCCTGTCCTCTTTCTGTCATTACAGGTCTGGCTCTTGTAACCGTGATCAAACTGTTCATGTTGTCTGCTACATTTTTGTCTCCATCCATTTTTCCTACCACCTCCTGAAGGCTATCTGATAGTCACATTAGCAGCCCCAGGCAGCAGACAACAGGAAAGTTAGGAAATTTGTGTTTCGTGTCATTTTTAGGAGCATCTGATAAAACCTCCAGCAGGTTTTAGGAAGTATTCATGTATTTTTCTGGTTACTTTCTGTCATCTCTAATTGAACTCACCTGATGAAGGTTCAGTGTTCTGGGGCCAGAATTTATGATTTTAGATCACCTTCTTTGGAACCTTAGATCACTGTGTTTTGAAATCATGAGTTTGCTTTTAACTTCATAGGGTCAACTTTAAAATGATATGCACTGTTAATTTTAAAGCATTTGCTGCAGATAATTAAACTTAGAAGTGCCTTTGACTTTAGGATACAAATATTACAGAAGAAAATATAATTTCACTTTTTAAAATTGGGGTGGGAAAATCCCATTGCATATTTGAAATAGGCTTTTCATACTAAGCTTCATAGCCAGGAGTCCCCAGAGTCTTGTTCCTCTGAAAGCCACTGGGGAGTGGCCTCTGGGGTGCTGATTCCACAGAGGTGTATGCTGTAGACAGGAGAGTGCCATCTATGCCAAAACTCGCCCTCAAAAACAAACAAGGCTTGCTGGGAGGCGTGCTGGGCTTGGCCATCAGTATTTCCAGTGTGGTAAACTATTGCTGGCACTTCCCCCTGGAAATAACTAATGAGGTTACGAGTTGGGCACCTGCACAGATGTCCTTCTCTCATAGTTCCTAATGCTTAGGAATAGAGGAGAAATAAAAAAATGGATTCTCTCAAAACACTGCCATTTGAAGAGCGACAGAAGTGCTCCCCCAGCCCCCAACTTTGGACAGCAAAGTTGAGGAGAATGAGCAGACACAGTTGTTTGCTTGATCTGAATCTCTCTAAAGTATTTCCAAACTGTGTGACAAGAGCCTACCTACCACTGTAGCGGTCAAAGCTGAAGCTTCTTACAGCAGTGAAACGGGGCACCACCTCCCCCACACTCCTCATTCCCCGCTTAAAACATGGATACTTTCAAATTTGACTGTTTCTTAAACTGCCATCCTAAGATATGGAAAATTTTTATAGTAAAGTGTCTAGTTAGCTTATTTCCTTTTCTAAAACAAGTGTTTTCAAGATAACTGTATTTTACCTTTATATGTACTGAATAGCTGTTTCTTTTTGAATTATTTGCCTTTTAAAATTTGATAATGTCTCTGGATATAACAGGACAGGAGTTCTTAAAAAATATCTTAAGAAATTCACTTTATGGGTAAACCCAAGGTTTTTGCCAACTTGTTGCCTAGAAAATAAGGGCTAGTTTCAGTTTATACAAATAGAATTATTAAACATTTTACAGTCCTTGATTAGAAACCAGACCCAATCTCCTTATAACACCACAGCGTATCCTGCCATTGACAGTGTAATCACAATTCTCCCTTTTTCATTTAGCTGCTTTTTTATTATTACTAAATGTTTTGGATTGAGCATTTTTCCCTCTGTAATTTTCTTCCTTCACGTTTATTTTATTTTAACTCTTGTAGTATTTTATTGTTGTTAATTTACAAGTTTAAAAATATTAGGTACTATTAATAATGGTTAAAAATAGAAAAATGCATATTTTTGTATGATAATCAAATGTAAAATACTTTTATTTTTGCTGGACAGTTGTTATATCATGATTATTGTGCTACAGTTTATTGTGCATAATATGAAAAACAACTATGACAGCCTTCAGTCGGGCCAGGGTGAAGCTGCTTATACCACCTCTGCCGTCAGAGGGACATGTGGTGACAGCAGTGGTGTGGCTGCACAGGGCGCACTAGAGAGAGCTCAGCACCCCTGCTGCCCGCCAGCAGAGCCCGTGCTGAGGGAATGCCGCACAGATGCTGATGCACTGGGTGAAATTTCTAGTATTGAACGTAAAGGTGTACAGTGTCTTGCTGTTATTTTATGATGGAAACTGATTTTGAAACCAAAAATAGCTAACTAACTTTATTTAAGGAAAGGATATTAATTTGTACTAACAGAGGGTGAAAGCTGTTCACATTTGTCAACAAAATCTGCTTGCTGCAGTAGTAACCTCAAGTGGTTAAAACTTGATTTCCCGAGAAAACTAAAACCTTTGTGCCTAAAATTGATGACTTGAGTTCAAGTGGGATGAGCAAGAAGATGTGTTATCTTGTTGTTCAACAGTATTGAGTGTGAAGGAAATTTTGATGGCTTAATAAAATTCCACAGCGACTGTTTGTTGTTGTCAGTATGAAATCATCTACTGGAACACAGTGATTGATAGAAGAGGTGAAGGCATCTTCTCCTACCCATACTTCTGTGTCATCCATGGGATGTTTCTGCTTGCCCTCTAAAGCCAGGTAGTGATCAGTAACTTTTTTTAACAGCAATTCGGAAGTGGCTAAAGTTAAAGCCATGTGGATATTGATAGATCATGCCCTAACTGGTCCTTCCATTCAATAAATAAATATAAAAACTGGGGAGTAATATTCCCCCAAGAAGGCTTCAAAGAAGTCAAGAGACAGACTGGGGTTCCAGTCCCTGACTCCCGGGCCTGGCGCATGGATAAATCACCTTTCTACCACACCCCCTTGCCCAGCCTGAGACCCTCCCACAATGGTGATGAGCAGCCGATTTGACTGTACTGTCAACAGAGAAAATACCCCTATCTAGTTATTAGGGATGGTCCCAGGGAGATGGACAATGAAGGACAACTGCCTCTGATAAAGACTTCATTCCTTTCATGATCCGGGCCCAATCAGTAGAACAGGCATTTACATGTTATAAATCAACACAACTTCATGAGAATGTTTTGATTCCTAAAGAAATTGGAATTTCAACTGTTTCAGCCCTTCTTAGATAATCATAAAAGTTTAACAGCTAAATGTGTATAGGGCAGTAAAGAAAAACTTAATTCAAGAATCTCGGTTTCCCATATAATTAATTACTTGAAGGAAACACTGGTTATGCTAGTTTTTAAATTTTTTTTTTTTTGAGACAGAGTCTCGCTCTGTCTCCCAGGCTGGAGTGCAGTGGTGCAATCTCGGCTCACTGCAAGCTCCACCTCCCGGGTTCACGCCATCCTCCTGCCTCAGCCTCCTGAGTAGCTGGGACCACAGGCGTGTGCCACCAAGCCCACCCAATTTTTTGTATTTTTAGTAGAGATGGGTTTCACCATGTTGGCCAGGATGGTCTCGATCTCTTGACCTCATGATGCGCCTGCCTCGCTCAGCCTCCCAAAGTGCTGGGATTACAGGCATGAGCCACTGTGCCCAGCCACTACTTTTTTATAAAAAAAACCTAAAGATGAATCATCACTTGTTTTTGAGTTTTCCAGCTTTTTGCACATCTAATCATATAGATGCATCCAGCTCCAATAATGGTCAACAAAATTTTTCTCTTTTAAAAAAGTTCATTATGAGCTGGGTACAGTGGCTCAATGCCTGTAATCCCCAGCACTTTGGGAGGCCAAGGTGAGTAGGTCAGTTGAGGTCAGAAGTTCCAGACCAACCTGGCCAACCAACATGGTGAAACCCCGTCTCTACTAAAAATACAAAATTTAGCCAGGCGTGGTGGCGCACACCTGTAGTCCCAGCTACTGGGGACCCTGAGGCAGGAGAATCACTTGAACCTAGCAGGCGGAGGTTGCAGTGAGCCGAGATCACACCACTGCACTCCAGCCTGGGTGACAGAGCGAGACTCTGTCTCAAAAAAAAAAAAAAAAAAAAAGTTTATTACCCACTGTGTGGAATCAATGAGTGTATTCAAGCAAACACTGTTTTGTGATATGCAGACACTGTAAAATGACAAGTCAAACTATCAGGTTTATAATGCACGATAACAAAATTAAATAAAACATGTTTTATACTCTTGAAAATCTTACATTAATGTATGACCAAATATCCCCAATTCCATACCTTTTAGCTAAGGCTTTGGCTCTTAGCTCCAACTGCAACCACATGGCAGACTTCTACTTCAGCCCCCAGCTTCTGCAGTTCAGCCAGCCAGATCATCTGCTTATGTGAAAGACGATCATTGGGGCCTTTAACTTCCACCAGCTGGAAAAGAAATTTTTAAAAGTTGTTATTAGTATCTTACTGAATGAAAAGCCATTCAAGTAAGTTGTAGTTGTCACTGACAACTATTTAAATGGCTCTTCTGCTCTCTCACTGTATTTGTAAGTGTAACACAAATATACGGATGGTCCTTCACTTACAATGGTTCACCTTAGGATTTTTTGACTTAAAAATGGTGCAAAAGTGATATACATTCAACAGAAACCATACTCTGAGTGTTGATCTTTTCCCAGTATGATACTCCATGCTGGGCAGCAGCAGTGAGCCACAGCTCCCAGTCAGCCACATGATCATGAGGATAACCAGTACTCTACGGTTTGCAGTGAACTACATGATCTGCCCAACTGTAGGCTAATGCACACATTCTGAGCACATTTAAGGTAGGCTAAGCTAAGCTATGAGGTTTGGTGGGATAAATATGTTAAATGCATTTTCAACTTAACAATATTTTCAGTTGATGTGTAGGATTTATCAGGACATAAGGCCATCATAAGTTGAGAAGCGTCTGTATGTAGCTAAGAAATTTATTCAGAAATTCTTCTATTCTGTAGAAACTAGACAGTTCTTCACAGAGGATGAGTAAACTGATTCTTAGTATAGCAAATGAAAAATTGTTTTAAAGCATGCACTGGATTTTACTTCCTTGCTTAAAACCCTCCGATTACTCTGTTACATTTTCAATTAAATCTAACCTTCTTGCCATGACCAGTCTCTTCCCTACCCCAAGGCCCTCACTTCCACTTGCTACTTGCTGTTCCCGCTGCCTGGGACATTTCTCCCTGTTCTTGACATGCCTGACTTCTTACCTTTCAATGCTCAGCTTAAACTGATCTGGAGAGGTCACAGCTCTAAGTATATCCTCCCTATGCACTTCTTTCATGGCATTCATAAGATAAAAATATATACTACATGTCATCTTCATGAAGGCAAGAATTGTGTGTTTTGTTCACTACACATCACTAGACTTGAAGACACAGCAATAAAAACTATAGGTAAAATATAGAAAAAAATTGTTTAAATACAGCATTTAGCAGCCTAAGGGACATTTAATTAGAGTCCCCAAAGGAACGAGAAAAAAAAATACTTAAAGAAAAAATGGCCAAAAATTTTCCAAATTTGATGAAAACAGTAAACCCAAAGATTGAAGAAAATCAATGAATCCCAGGCACACAAATGTAACGGCACCCTAGGAAATATCACAACTGTATAATCAGGGGATATAGTCAAAGCAGCCAGAATTTTTAAAGCCAGAGGAAAAAAAAAGATTCTCTGATTGGAAACCATGCTAGTTAGAAGACAGTAGACTAATATTTTTAAAGTATTGAAAAATAACTGTCAACATAAAATTCATTGCACGGAGAAAATATCTTTCAAAAACAAAGGTGAAATAAAGGCTAAGACATACAAAACCTAAATACAGCCATCCCTCAGTATCCATGGGGGACTGATTCAAGGACCCCCTCTGTTACCAAAATCCATGGATGCTCAAAGTCCCTGATATAAAATGGCATCGCATCTGCATATTCTAGCACATCTTCTCATATACTTTAAATCATCTCTACTTATAATACCTAATATAAATGCTATGAAAATAGTTGTTATGCTGTATTTTTATTTGATTTGTTTATTGTTGTAGTTACTTTTTATTGTTTTTCTTTTTTCCAAATACTTTCAGTCCATGGTTGCATCTACAGAAGCAGAAACCATGGATACAGAGGGCTAACTACTGTAATTCATTACTAGCAGAACTTCTAGACATGGAAATTTTTTCTTTTTCTTTTTTTCTTTTTTTTTGAGACAAGGTCTCACTCTGTTGCCCAGGCTGGTATACAGTGGTATGATCTCAGCACACTGCAGCCTTGACCTCCCAGCCTCAAGCAGTTCTCTCACCTCAGCCTCCCAAGCAGCTGGGACTACAAGTGCACACCACCACACCCAGCTAATTTGTTTATCGTTTTGTAGAGATGAGGTCTCACTGTGTTTGCCCAAGCTGGTCTCCAACTCCTGAGCCCAAGCAATCCGCCCACCTCAGCCTCCCAAAGTGCTGGAATTACAGGCGTGAAAGGAAATTCTTCAAGCAGGAGAATGAGACTACACAGAAACCTGGATCTACACAAAAGAATAGCAAGCACTGGAAATGCTATGTACATGAGTAAATACAGACTCATTAATCAACTGTAGAAAGCAAAAATAATATGTTATAGAACATATAACACGTAGAAGTAAAATATATGAAAACACCACAAAGGCTGGAAGGGAAGATATATATTATTGAAAGGTTCTTTTTACTCTAAAGTGTGTATCACCTGAAGGTGGATAAGTTTAAGATATATAATATACTAACGCAACCACTTCAACACAATGAACAGTTACAGCTAACAAGCCAGCAAAGCTATCAAATGCAATCTTTAAAAATAAGACAGGGCCAGGCACTGTGGCTCATGCCTGCAATCCCAACACTAAGAGACCACGGCAGGTGAACTGCTTGAGCCTGGGGATTTGAGATCAGCCTGGGCAACATGGTGGAACCCCATCTCTAAAAAATACAAAAACCACAAAAATTAGCCAGGCATGGTGGCGTGCACCTGTGGTTCCAGCTACTCAGGAAAAAGACAAGGGACAAAAGAGTTCTGAGACAAAGAGAAAATAAGTATCAGGATTTAAAGCTAAGGATATCAATAATCAAATTAAATGTAAATGTTCCAAACACCCCATTAAAAGACAGAGGTTAAGTTGGATTCAAAAGTAAGACCCAACTATATGATGCCTACAGGAAATCCACATTAAAAATAAGATAAAACAGGTCAAAAGTAAAAGAATGGAAAAATGTATCATGTTAACATTAAAAAAAAGAAGGCTGAAGTGGCTACATGTTGACAATATCGGACAAAGTTGATTTCAGAGCAAAGATTACCAGGTGTAAAGGGGGGGTCACTGCATAATGATAAAAGGGTAGACTCATGAAGAGGACATGACAGTCCTAAAAGTCTATGCGTCTTATAACAGACCTTCAAAATACATGAAGCAAATAGTGATAGAAACGCAAGAAGAAATACACAAATTGGCTGGGCACGGTATACTCTCAGCATTTTGGGAGGCCAACGTGGAGCCCAGGAGTTTGAGACCAGCCTGGGCAACATGGTGGAACCCCATCTCTACAAAAAATAAAAAAAATCAGCTGGGCATGATGGTGCATGCCTATAGTTCGGGCTACTCAACAGGCTGAGGCAGAAGAATTGCTTGAGCCTGGGAGATCAAGGCTGCAGCGATCCAGGATCGCACTGCCACTACACTCCAGCCTAGGTGATAGTGAGAGTCTGTCTCAAAAAACAAAAACAAAAAAAAAAAGAAAAGAAATACCACAATTATAATCAGAGATATCAATATTCTCTCAATAATTTATAGAACAAGTAAATAAGAAATCAGTAAGGACACAGACAACTTAAACAACACTATCAACCAACTTGACCTAATTGACATTTAAAAATACTGCCCACAACAAATGCTAAACACACATTCTTTTCAAGTACAAACAGAATATTCACCAGGGAATACCATATTCTGGACCATAAAACAAGTCTCAACAAATTTAGTGGGATTCAAATCATACAAAATATGTCCTCTGAATACAATGGAGTTAAATTACAAATCAATAGCAGAAAGATACCTGAAAATCTCTCAAGTGTTTGGAAATGTAAATGACTCACTTCTAAATAAGCCAAGGATCAAAGAAGAGTCAAAAGGGAAATCAGAAAGTATTGTGAACTGAATGAAAATGAAAACAACTACTAAATTTGTGAGGTTCAGATAAAGCAGCACTGAGAAGGAAATTTGGAGCACTACCTAACTCTATTAGAAAAGAAGTTCTCAAAGCAATCACCATAGCTTCCACCTTGAGAAACTAGGAAATAAAAAAACAAATGAAACCAAAAGCTGATTCTTCGAGAAAATCAGTAAATTGATAAACCTCCTGCCAGACTCATTAGGGAAAAAAGAGAAAAGACACAAATTACCAATATCAAGAATAAGAGCATGACAGAGATAAAGATTCTACAGATATTAAAATACAGTAAGAAATACATGGCCGTGTGCGGTGGCTCACACCTGTAATCCCAGCACTTTGGGAGGCCAAGGTGGGCAGATCTGAAGCCAGGAGTTCAAGACCAGCCTGGCCAACATGGCAAAACCTCATCTCTACTAAAAATACAAAAAAAAAAAAAAATTATCCAGGCATGGTGGTGCACAGCTGTAATCCCAGCTACTAGGGAGGCTGAGGCACGAGAATCACTTGAACCCAGGAGGCGGAAGTTGCAGTGAGCTAACTCACGCTACTACACTCCAGTCTGGGCGACAGAGCGAGACTCCATCTCAAAAAAAAAAAAAAAGAAAAGAAACAAATATAAACAACTTTAAGACAATACTTAAATGAAATGGACAAATTCCTTGAAAGACACAAACTAGCAAAGCGCAATCAAGAAGAAACAGATAATATGAACAGCCTTATGTTGTTTAAAAATAAATTTAATTTATAGCTTTAAATTTTCCTCCCCCCAAAATCTCCAGGCCCATACTGCTTCACTGGGGGAATTCTATCAAATGTTTAGGGAATAATACTAATTCTACACCAACTATTCCATCCCACTCTGATGCTGGTATGACTCTGAAACCAAAACCCAACAAAGAGATAATAAGAAAAGAAAAGTACAGCTCAATATCCTTCATGAACATATATGCAAAAATTCTTAATATTTTACAAAATCAACTCCCATTTTTGCTGATCAAAATAATGCTGTTAAGATACCAATTCCTCTCAGATTGGTCTACAGATTCAAAGGAATTCCAATTAAAATCTCAGCTGGCTTTTTTTTTTTTTTTTTTTTTGAGATGGAGTCTCGCTCTGTTGCCCAGGCTGGAGTGCAGTGGCGCAATCTCGGCTCACTGCAAGCTCCACCTCCTGAGTTCAAGCGATTCTCCTGCCTCAGCCTCCCAAGTAGCTGGGACTACAGGCGCCCGCCACCACACCCGGCTAATTTTTTGTATTTTTAGTAGAGACGGGGTTTCACCATGTTAGCCAGGATGGTCTCAATCTCCTGACCTCGTGATCCGCCCACCTCTGTCTCCCAAAGTGCTGGGATTACAGGTGTGAGCCACCGTACCCGGCCTCAGCTGGCTTTTTTTTTTCTTGGAAACTTAAAATTTGATGTTATAATTCAAATAAAAATGCAAAAGAGCCAGAACAACTTTGAAAAACAAGTCATTATAGGACTTACACTACCTGACTCCAAGATGTATCTAAAGCTACAATAATCAAGAAATACAGACAAACAGATCAATGGAACCGAAGAGTATATAGAAACAGACCCACATATATATGGGTTACTGATTTTTGACAAAGATACAGAGGGAATTCAGTGGAGGAAGCATGGTCTTCTTGACACATGGAGCTGGAACAAGTGGATATCCACACACCACAAATGAATTCCAGTGCATGCCCCACACTGTATACAAATGGCGTCTCAAATGATCATAAAACTGAATGTAAAACCTAAAACTATAACACTTCTAGAAGAAAACAAAGGAGAAACTCTTTGTGACCTTGGATTAGGCAAGTATTTCTGACATGTGACACCAAAAGCATGATCCACTAGAGAACAAATAAGTTGGATTTTGTCAAACTTTGAAACCTCTGCTCTTCAAAAGACACTATTAAGAAAATGAAAAGACAAGCCATAGACTGGGATGAAATGTCACTGATAAAGGACTTGTATCCAGGATATATAATTTTTTAATCTCAAAACTCAATAATGAGAAAACAAATCACCAGTGATGGGCAGCAGGGCTGGGCTAGTGGACAGCGTTCAAGGAAGTGTTCACTCTCTGAGCTTTTTAAAAAATTTTTTGTGGGTACATAGTAGATGTATATATTTATGGGGTACATGAGATGTTTTGATACAGGCATGCAATGTGAACTAAGCACATCAAGGGGAATGGGGTATCTGTCCCCTCAAGCATTTATCCTTTGAGTTACAAACCATTATACTCTTTAAGTCATTTTAAAATGTACAATTATCGGTAAGCTTCTAAAATAGCTCCTGGTGTCCACACCCGTTGTGACCCCCTCCCTTTGAGTGTCAGCTGGACTAGAGACTCGTTCCTAACCACAGAATACAGCAGGAGTGATGGAACATCATGTCCACATCAAGTCATAAGAGATGGAGCTCTGTCTTGCTCACACTCTGGGGCTCCTCTCACCCGCCTGCTCTGATGAAGCCAGTCGCAGGGGACAGGCCCACAGGAACCCAGGCCCTCGGCCCAAAAGCTCTCAAGGAATTCAATCTTGCCAACAGCCACTCAAGAAATGCCTACTTGTGGCCTCTGATTCAGTTGCTAATAAGGTTACCAACAGGACTTTCCATTCTGCCTCAACTGACCTTAAAGTGACGGCTCTGGGAGTTCCACACCACCAGGTCGGGGAGGCCCCCTCGACAGTGTCGAAAGTCAGCAGCCAGGTGCCTGCACACACCACTGAGCACAGGGCCCCCCAGGCAGGAGACAAGATCCTGAACACAAAACACAGGACAGTTAGCCACTTCCCTCGTGACAGAGAATGGAAATAGGCTCCAGGGATCACGAGACGGAGAAAAGCTCAGTGTATATGTAATTCAGTGCACATGGACCCCAGGCCCACCATGCGCTGTTCTGCTGCTTGTACCAGAGCTGCAGAGCCATGGCTGGAATCCCACTGGCAAGTGGTGGGAGACTGGTCCTCCTGTGGTCAGTTTCCAGGCTTCTGCCAGCGTGGCCATGCTGGGGAGCGCTGAGGAAGAGGGATGTGGAGGATGCACTCAGGAACGCGACAGCATGGCCTCATAGAGGGCAGCAGTTGAAGGAACACAGAAGGTATCCTCCCTGCCTCAGCCACAGGGCAAGCAAAAGAAAGCTGTCAACTCAGGGGTGGCAAAGGCACAGCTGGGGCTTTTCTAACACCCTAGTATGTTTCCATCACTAACAGTGGCATTGGGGCCAGGGGGATAGGGTATTCTCATATATATAATTTATATAATATTAATATATATATTATTATATATTTTATACATTATATTATATATGATATCTTATATATTATATATTTTATATATTATATGATATATATTATATTATATATTTTATATATTATATATGATATATATTATATATTTTATATATTATATATGATATATATTATATATTTTATATATATTATATATGATATATATTTTATATATTATATTATATATGATATAATATATTATATATTTTATATATTATATTATATATGATATAATATATTATATATTTTATATATTATATTATATATGATATAATATATTATATATTTTATATATATTATATATGATATAATATATATTTTATATATATTATATGATATAATATATATTTCATATATTATATTATATATTGTATATTGTATAATATATAATATATATTATATATGTAATATGTAATATATAATATATAATATAATAAATATAATAAAGATATAATATATATTTTATATATGATATATACTATATATCATATATATGCACACACATACATGTATTTACATATACACACATGTGTATTTTGATAAAGTTGCTGAAAAGACAGCACTGGGGCGGTGTTAACTTTCTGAGCAAATCCTGCCATGCAGGTGAACCATTACCTGAGCTTGCTGAAGAGACGTGAAGCGATCCCAGCTGACAAGGGAAGCCACTCTGCCTTCCTGCTCATGCCACGTGGCTGCCACCCAGGCCCGCAGGCTCTCCTCGGGGGCATCATGAATCAGCTGCAGCCTGGCCTCAAGGGCTGGGCGTCTGCTTGTGAAGAAGCTGTCTGTGCACAAGTCCAGGGGGAATGCCTGTGTCACAGGGAAAGCAAGCTGTCATACTGTGCCTGCAGAGAGCCGTGTTCACCAGAGGACTAGTCAGTACATACAAAACTTGGAAACCGGCCAACCGATACATTCTTTCTCTCAAAAGATAAGTAAAAGTTAATTGATATAAAAGCAATTTATTAAACTTGTTTTTTAGAGTAATAATTTGCAAAAACAGCTTTTCGCTTAGCTGGGTGGACCTCTGAACAGGCAGATGTGCCCATGTCTGTGAGCTCCTTGGCACAGTGCCTGCGACACGGCAGGTGCTCGGGAGGGCTGATGCTGATGGTACTTTATACGAAAGGTCTAAATGTAAGGTGGAGGCTAAATTAAAGTTTAAAACTTCACATACTTACATCTTAAATTCTATTACTCAGATTTTTAAAATAAGTTATCATCTTGACCTGTGGATGACCCAAAGGACCGTAACAGAGATGGTTTCTGCTGGCTGTGGACACACGGTGCCCAGGTGGGCGTGAGCCACGGATGTGTGCAGAAGGACCTACTCGTGGGGCAGGGGCACTGGAGTACCTGACAGGCGTTTCTGAAGACATCCGGAATCCCATCCATGAAGATGATGTCCCACAGGAGGAGGCCATACAGGGTGCTGAAGGTGGACCCTTCGCCATGAATCCCTAAGACAAGGTCACACACACACACACACACACACACACACACACAAAATCTGTTTTATCTGTTTCTTCCAAAACACCACCATAACCTACTGCACACTCAATTTCAAGAAAATAATAGAAATATTTTAGATTCAGAAGCAAATGCTGTTTTCACGCCATTCCCAGTTTATTTTATACAGTATGTTGTTTATATACAGAGCCTTAAGGGCAAAAATCTTAGTAATCATAGAAAAATTCAAATGAACATTTCAAAGCCACAAAGCAGTGGTTCTCAAACTTTAGTGAATAACCTAAGAAACATGTTTAAAAGAAAAATAGGCAGATACCCTCCTCAGGTTCCCAAGGCTGGGACTTAGCAGGGCTGGGCTGGCACAGAATCCCCATGCAGGCCCTGATGCCGGAGGTCCCTGGGCCACCCCTGAAGAAATGCTTCCCTAAGGGGACCTCCCGGAGGCCGGCAGCAGCCACCTCCGTTCTTGGCCTCAGCAGGTGCTGCTCTGATGCACCTCATCCCCCTGGGTACTACACTGCCCTAGCCCAGTGCTTCCGATAGTCAAGGCTTTTACAGAGACATCTGGCCTTAAAGATCACCCACTTCAGTGCCCCTCCTCACGTCACACAAATGTTTTACTGACTGGGAGATGACCTGAGAGACAGAAGTCAGGTGCTGAGGTCACAGAGTCAGAGGCAGGGTCTGGTGTGGGATGAGGGGGTCAGCCTTGGCACAACACACAGACCTGTGTCCCTGAGCAAGCCCCAGCTCATCCAGCTGCCCTCCAAGTCCGTACTTCTCTGCACATCAGCCCTCCCGACAGAGGAGGAGGCCACATGGATGCCTCTCCCCACAAGACCACTGGCCAGAGGAGGTGCTGACCACCAGACCCCCATCCTGACATGCCAGTACTGGCAGCAAAGCTCCTCTGGCTGGTCCCACCTGACATTTACAGGCCCCAACCCATCTGCGTGGTACCACAGTGAGTGGGATCAGGGGTGCTGTGAGAGCAGAGGGCAGGAAGCCACAGCCCGTCATGCCTGCCTGGGTCACCTCTGTCCTGCACTTCTGAGGCTGTGCTGCTCTCTGTCCTGTCTTCCTGTCAGTTCTAGCCCCTCATCCCTGCAGCCCGTCTCAGGGATTCAAAAGGACAGCGGTTCACTCAGGACTCCTGGCTGTTGCCAAGTCTTCCAGGAGGACTTTTCTTCCTAGAACACTTCATGCTCTTTCCCAGCCAGGAGTGGAGCTAGGACCTGATTTCCAGTCAGTGTTCCGTCCTGGTGAATACACTGACGATCAGGCAGGAATATAAAGGCCAGATCATTTCTGAACTCCTTTGTTTGTTTTGTTTTGAGACAGGGTCTCACTCTGTCACCCAGACTGGAGTGCAGTGGCACAATCTTGGCTCACTGCAGCCTTGACCTCCTGGGGTCAAGAGATCCTCCCACCTCCGTCTTCAGAGTTCAAGTGATCCTCCTGTCTCAGCCTCCCCAAGTGCTGGGATTACAAGTGTAAGCTACCGTGCCTGGTTCGTTCCTTAACTCCTAAGTGGTCCATGCTGTGCATTTGTGTTATAAGTGAAATCATTTTTGGTGCAGTACTTCAGAAATCACCTCCCAGAAGAGGTTGAGATCGCTCTGACACAAAATTCCCTGTGGCATAAAGCCTGGCAGCCAGAGTTCAGCCCAGTTTCACGGCATCGATTTTAATCAGGGAAAAATAGTTTCTACTCTGGGAAAGGAATCGTGTGTTTTTCAGGCTCATGGCTCAACTGAAAGCATTTCAGCGCTCCCACGTCCCAGCCTGCTTCCTCCTCCAGCGAGTGTCCAGTTTCCACGTCTCTCGGGGCCTTGAATGTGCATTCTATTCTTCTATTTCTAACCATTTCAGGCCTACTGTATCTCTCTGTCTTCACTGGCATTTGCACGTCTTCCCCAATAACATCACCCTTCCCTGTAAGTAATAAAGATATTATGTAGATGAATCTCAACACTCATCAGAAAGAACCTGGGCTTTGTAAACTCCTATCTTGTGGTTGTCTTTCTATAGTACTTGTTAATCTTCCGAACACTCGGGGAATACTGAAATCATGTCCTGATTTTCACACATCTGAAAATATCAGTGTTTTTAACACTGGTAACCCTGCAGCCCGGGCACAGGGAGAGTCCTGCCAGGCCCAAGGGCGGAAGGCTCAGTGGCTGTTCCCGAAAGCGACTAGCATGGGCCGCAGGGCCCCTGAGAGGATATCTGGGGCCAGCTTCTAAAATCCCAGGGAAGGGGCAGGAGAGAACAGAAGGAACACTGAATGGAAGTGGGTGTCCGTGGGGTTGAGCACACTGTCCCCCTGACTTCTGTACAAAGGCTTGTGCAGTACCTTCCATAACTTTTATAAGTTTTTATAAAAGAAAAAAGATCAGAGCCAGGCCCTGTGGGACAACTACCCCTGACCTACTCCTTATCATTGATAAGGGGAAGAATAGGAAGACATCCCCCAGCCCACAGCATCTTCCACTGTGAGCAGAGGACAGAGAGAGGACAGCAGCCCACTGCTGACAGCCCATCCAGTGCTGCTGCTCGTCCACCCGGGGCTGGGTGCCACAAGAGAAAGCCTGCTCAGTTACCCTGGTCAAAACCGCTGCGTCTGTAATGGGCCAGTGCCAGCTCCTCCACAGAGCACAGGACCGTGGTGGGGTCAGCGGCCTCCCCGGCCTCCATCACAAACACAGACTTGCACATCCCACGCTGTGGGCACAGCCTGCCTGTGATGGTCACCTGAAACAGCAGCAGAATAACATCTATTAGCCTCAGGTCAGCAAAAGTCCCTGAAAACCTGCCTGTAGCATCGTGAGGATTGACCTCCCTTACCACAAAGTCAGTCACTTAGTAGAGCACACAGCGTGGGGCTCACACACGCAGAACTGCGGGGATGTGACAGTTCGCTGGTCCGGCCCTGGGAGAGCCTCAACCACCAGAACTGCTCTACAGGTCCCCAGTGAGTAAATGAAACCGGGGCAGATGCTGAGAGGCCCCATTCAGGAGATCTGTCACTCAACCCAGGGTGTGACCACACCAAGCAACCCAGTCTCCTCAGGGAGGAGGGCGTTAGGGGGAGACTGGGAGCAATGGCCACACAGCCGTCCAAAACGAGTTTTAGATTATTCCGAGTCTAAAAGAAAACACACACTCAAAACAGCTCTTAGGATGCTTCTGATCCAAAAAAACCAGGTACACGCGCCTAAGTCCAAAGCACCCACAGGCTCTTTCCTCACGTGTTTCACATCTTGCACAGCCATTTCTGGGAGCTGCTGGAAGAGGTGCTTGAACTTTTTACAGCTCGGAGACTCTCGCAGGCGCACGGCTCGCTGATACAGTGAAAGGCGGTGTCCCGTTCTGACTTCCGGATCCGCCAGCCCCTCTGTGATGCACTTGATAGTCTGGCAGAGAGCATGGTCACACATCAGGCTCCTAAAAAAACCCATGGCGGCTTCCATGCATTTAGTTTGACAGAAAAGCCCACTGTTTATTATTGAATTTTGCTGATTAGCAAATGAGCAAACAGCACTTCTAGAGATTTAGGCTGTTTCCTTAGATCTTATTCTGAGGATTTCAATGCATCTGGCAACCAGAGCCTTCACAGTCAACGTGCTGGAGCGTGACCGGGCTGTAATCCAGGTGGACAGTGGATCCCAGCAGCTGCCCCTCACAAAGGGTGTGAACCTCAGGGGTACCTGACTTTACAGGAAAACTTAGCTCAGTGGTTCTCAGGACATCACCTAGGCAGCTTTGTAGGAAAACATGTGTCCCACCCCGGATCCACACAATGAGAACCTCCAGAGCAGGAGCCCACGCATGGGGGCCACATCAAAGCGCCAGGTCAATCTCATATGCAGTCAAGAACCATGGAGCTGCTTCAGATTCCTTATTTACAGGGACAGGAGCCAAAGGTTTGGAGGAATTACAAGTATTTCCCAAGGCGATTCAGAGTCAGACAAATAAACAAACACAGAAAGCCACAAGGAGATACCACTTCACACTAGGATGGCTATAATCAGAAACATGGAAAATAAGCATTGACAAGGAGGTAGAGAAACCAGAAACCTCACGCATTGCTGGTGGGAATGTGACACTGGTGTAAACACTGTGAAAAACAGTTCAGCCACTCCTCAAAAAGCTCAACACAGAATCACCACAGGACCCAGCAGTTCCACTCTCAGGTATTCCCAAAAGAATTGAAACCAGGGACTGAAACAGAGGTTCATGCAGCATTCTTCAAAATGGCCGAAAAGGTGGAAGGAACCCAGTGTCCATCAACCAATGAGTGGCTAGAAAAATGTGGTATCAGATGCTACAGTGGAAGTGTGTTCAGCCTGGAGAAGGAACGGAGTCCTGACATGTGCCACGATGCGGGTGAAGCTCAGAAACATGATGCTGAGCAAAATACACCAGACATAAAACCACAAATATCGTAGGATTCCACTTCAATGAAATGAATGAAATGAACAGGCACATTTACAGACACAAAAAGTAGATGAGACGTCGTCGCCAGGGCTTGGGGAAGGGAAAGCGGGGCGTAGTTGCCTAATGGCTGCAGTGTTTCTGTTTGGAGTGGTAAGTGGAGAGGCAATGGTCACACAACACTATGAGTACCATGAATGCCACTGAACTGTACACCTAAAAATGGCTAAAATGCTGTATTTTAGGGATGTTAAATTTATTTTACCACAATAGAAACATAAAAAGTGAAAGAAAAAATAAAAACCAAGAAATTGAAAATCAGTGAAGGCTCAGGCCATCCAGAGTTGAGTGGCTGAAGGAAATGAAGATGGGAGAATGAGACTCTGAAGGGCACCCTGTTCGCTGGCAGAAGACGGTGCCGGGCAGCGGCAGCCTGGCCTCGGAGAGGGAGGGCCCAGCTGGCTCCACCTCTGCCCTGGCCAGGCCGGGGCTGGCTGCAGAGCACTTTGCAGGAATTAGCACTCAGCTAGGCGATCCCTTCCCTGGAGACTGAGGTAAAGATCAAAGAACACTAATGAAATAACAAGAGCTATGGCCAGTAAGACCTCTGGAAACAGAGGTTAGGAGGAACTAGGCTTAGCTCAAATCTCAAAAATAAGCTCAGTGGCTTGTCTACCCCCTAGCAGAACTGTGAACAGAGGGGAAATCTGTACTCTCTTGAACTTTTATTTCATTGAAAGAAAGGCGACAGAAACACAAGCTTTCTCCTTCTGTATTTGGTTCTAGGCTACCAGATGCTTTCTCTTGCTATTTCAGCCTCAGTAAACACCGAGTGGTAAGGAAGCCCCACACCCTCCTCCATGAGAGGAAATAGCTTTACTGGCTCTTTCCCTGATACGTGAGGTAACAAGGCACTTTTTCAGTTTACGGCAATAAAAACAAGATGTCATATTTCCTAACCAGTGGTCGTTTTTTTCCACCCCTACATCACCCTGATTCACTTAATGGGCCACTGAAAAAATCAAAAGCTCCCAGAGGCACAGTCCCCTCCATTCAACTCAAATGCAGGGCTGGAATAGAGACAGGGAGGGGCCTGCTGGCGGCCACACAAAGAACCACTGTTGCTGCCTAGCCCACAGGCACAGGCTCTGCGGCCTCACCCGCCTGGCTGTGGTGGCCACAGAATCCCTGTGCTTCCAAGTGCCCCTAGATCGCCACCACAGGGAGCACTGGTGCCTGCTCAAGGTCAAACAACGCTTCCAAATGGCAGAGCAAAACACCTCACAGAAGTACAGAGTCACGCATAAAGGACCTGCAATAAGATAGGGAAAGGAACGCTTTCTCGCCAATCTTTCTACCTAGAGACCCTGTGCTACAAATCAACAAAGTCACCATTTCCAAAACAAACACCTTCCTTGAAGGCACTTGCTGACTTGCTGACGGCTGAGTCATCTGACTCTCCCTTTCCCTTAATTCCTAGATCCTGATTCCTAAATGCCAGCACAGAGTCCACAGTAAGCCCATCTCGCCAATCAGCAAAGAGAAGACAAAAGCTTCCAGTCTCTATGCTCATGCTGTGCTGGCATCCCTGGTATTCTTTTGGGGTTGGAAGAACACAGACAAAAGAAGAATGTTAACAAAAGAAATACATGTTCTAATTACATGTAAATTTTAAGGCATTAAGTTTGCCATATTTTAAAAGTTGATTCTAAAATGAAAAGGTGTTTCAGATATGTTTTGTTACTGAGTACCGGTTCCAGGCGCTTCAAGTGCTGGTGTAAATTAAGGGCCAGTCGATCCCACCATCGGCCTCTGCTGTCAGGACAATAAATTCTCTGAGACAAAAGGCTTTCAAGTTCTCTGACGGCTTCCTATTGCAACAATAACAAAGAAACCTCATTAGATTCACAAAAAATCCAGCTGCAATGATATTTACAAGCCCATAGGATTGGTAAAGCCTATTTATAATGCGTATCTTTCCATTCTACAATGAGGCCAAGGACCCCGAACTGACAGGACAGGGACTTTGAGGTGCCTTCTGGAGTGGGCATGAGTTCCCTAAGGCATCCTCACTCTTCACCCGGTCCCTGCCAGCTGGCACTGGGGTACAGACATCTGTGAGTGCTGCAGAGTGTTATCTGCAAACCAGTCAACCAGTGCAGAGTCGCACAGGGTCAAGTTCCAGGCAGCTGAGCACTGGTCACAGTTGGCAAACCCACATACTTCTGGGAACACAGCAGGTCACAGGACCAACTGCAAGAGGGATTTGGGGTGGGCAGGAAAGTAATGAGGGGTGTCCTCATACAAACACCCTACCTCAACAGGAACATTCTCTGGTCTAGATTATGTACAGACTGTTCGGTCATTCTGTTTGTTAATCTTCTGTGGCTCATGGATGTCTTTGTAATATGGAATGATTTACCCCAGAAAAATGCATAAATCCCCATACACATGCAAGTTTGAGATTCACAGATTTCCCCAAAGCCCACCCATCACTCCCCTGGGATTCACAGACCCCAGGCCAAGAAACCAGCTTAGCACATCCTCTTTGTAAGATCCCATTTTCTTTTCTTCTTGTTTTGTATATATATATTTTTGACCATGCCTGGTCTGGAGATAACATTTTCAATATAGAAATATCAAACACAACAAAAGTGAAATCTAGCAATTTCACAAAGTTTAGGATACGACAAATTTCTGATTTGTGATTATAAATTGTCTCCAGACAATCCATGACAGCTGACAGGGAAGCAAAAGGAAGCAAAAGGTCCCTCAGAGATTTCTGGGGACCTGCCAAGTCTCACAAGGAGTTCTGAAAGAGACTCAGGCTCAGGCTGCAGACCTGTGGGGCACCCTCCAGGATGGTGGCCGCCACCCCCAGGCCATCCTGGGACACAGATTCATCAACACACAGGCAAACAGAACAGCTGTCCATCTTCACCTATCTTCTCTCTACTAATCCAAGAGACAGCGGGCTGCCTACATTAACTATGCCCTCGTTGGCCAGGCACAGTGGCTCACACCTGTAATCCCAACACTTTAGGCCCCCACTGTCAAAGCATCAGAGGCCAAGGTGGGCAAATCACTTGAGCCCAGGAGTTCGAGATCAGCCTGAGCAACATGGTGAAATCTCACCTCTACTAAAAATACAAAAATTAGCTAGGCATGGTGGCGCACGCCTGTAGTCCCAGCTACTCAGGAGGCTGAGGTGAGAGGATGACTTGAGCCCGGGAGGCAGAGGCTGCAGTAAGCTGAACCCTGCCACTGCACCCCAGCCTAGGTGATGGAGTGAGACCCTGTCTCAAAAAGACAAAACAAAACAAATATGCCTCCATTATATTACTGTGTGCTAACCAAATAAGCAGGAAATGCTGAGAGCCCGACAGCTGTCCCTTCACATGTTTAACGCCATCACATCAGTAATGGTGGGGGGCAGGGACCTGTGCTCTAACCTCATACATGTGAAGTCTCTGCAGTATTTCCACAAACCGAGACAAAATCCTTGTATAAATCCACCCAACAGTGAAACACCGCAGGAAGAGTGGTAAATCTTCGTGGCATCTAAAATGAAGACATATACCAGTAGTTTAATAATTTGGTTAATTTATTATAAGACAATAATAACAAGTGACAAAGCAGACTGAATTCCTATCTTTTAAAAAGGTATATTCTAAATACTTTCAGTTGTGTACAATTTTCTACACCACAAACCTACATTCTCACAGCCAGCTACCACGTCCTAGGTCACTCAGACAGTGGAGTAAGATGAGAACTCATCATTCTAAACCAAGGTCAGCAAACTCCGGCCCACAGCCAAACCCAGGGTCTGCCACCTGATTTTCTATGTCCTGCAAACTAAGAATGGTTTTTATGTTTTTAAATTGTTAATAAATAAAGAGAATAATACACTTTGGTATGCGAAAATTGTATGAAACTGAAATTTCAATGTCCACAAATGAAGTTAACTGGAACACAGCCAGGCTCATTCATTTGCATACGTACTTCTTGTGGCTGCTTTTGCACTAAAACAGCAGAGTAAAGTTGGTGCCACAGAAACCATATGGCCTGCAAAGCCTAAAATATTCACTATGTGACCTTTTACAGAAGTTTATCAACCTCTGTTTATAGTAATCTAACTTCTTGTGATTTTTAAGTCAATATTATTTCTCTATAAATATACAGCTGACCCCTGGACAACATGGGTTTAAACTGCACACGTCCACTTATATGTGGATTTTCTTCTGCTTCTGCCACCCCTGAGACAGCAAGACCAAGCCCTCCTCTCTCTCCTCGTCCTCAGCCTATTTGCTGTAAAGACAACAAGGATGAAGACCTTCATGATGATCCACTTCCACTTAACGAACAGTAAATATGTTTTCTCTTCCTTATGATTTTCTTTTTTTTTTTTTTTTTCCCCGAGACAGAGTCTCGCTCTGTCACCCAGGCTGGAGTACAGTGGTGCGATCTCAGCTCATTACAACCTCTGTCTCCCAGGTTCATGTGATTCTCCTGCCTCAGCCTTCCGAGGCTGGGATTACAGACACTCGTCACAACACCCACCTAATTTTTGTATTTTTAGTAGAGACGAGGTTTCACCATGTTGGCCAGGCTAGTCTCGAACTCCTGACCTCAAGTGATCCACTCACCTCTGCCTCCCAAAGTGCTGGGATTACAGGCATGAGCCACCACGCCCAGCCCCTTATGATTTTTTTTTTTTTTTTTTTTTTGAGACGGAGTTTTGCTCGTGGCCCAGGCTGGAGTGCAATGGCGTGATCTCAGCTCACCACAACCTCCACCTCCTGGGTTCAAGTGATTCTCCTGCCTCAGCCTCCCGAGTAGCTGGGATTACAGGCAGGCACCACCAGGCCTGGCTAATTTTGTATTTTTAGTAGAGACGAGGTTTCTCCATGTTGGTCAGGCTGGTCTCAGACTCCCGACCTCAGGTGATCTGCCAGCCTCGGCCTCCCAAAGTGCCGGGATTACAGGCGTGAGCCACCGTACCAGCCCCCTTATGATTTTCCTTAATAACATATTCTTTTCCCTAGCTTACTTTATTGTAAGAATACAGCATATAATGCATATAACATATCCAATGTGTGTTAATTGACTATGTAATCGGTAGGGCTTCCAGTCAACAGTAAGCTATTAATTAAGTAGTGGGGAAGTCAGATGTTACACACAGATTCTTGACTGTCTGAGGGGTCGGTACCCCAACCCCTGCATCATTCAAGGGTCAACTGTATATCCTAAATGATTTTTTCAAAGTGGCATCTGAAAATACTAATTTTTCTCATCACTATGTAACAACAAAGGAAAAAATGTCTTAATAAATATTGAAGATGTTTACCATTTTCAACAAAATAAAAGATCATGTGCTGTGTACCTGGAAAGTTCGCTTGAGCTGTCTTTTGCAGAGTTTTTAACACCTACTTGAATTTCCCTCAGAGGAACCCACCTACCATGCTTCCCACATCCGTCCTGCTGCTGGCTTCCCTCACGTTTCAGTTCAGCTCACCAGTACTCAGGGAGGCCAACACTCCTACAGTTGGCATGCGACAAGTCAAGTATGGGGTTGGCATGTGTGTTGCCCAGGGATCTGAGTTATATCAAATTCACTTTAAACCTTCAGACATTTCCTTCTATTTCACACAGCACTTTCATTCTAGGCAAAGCACGCACAAAATTCAATTCCACAGCTGGTTTAACCACAGAGAAAAAGGAGTATATTCTTCATGAAGAAAATTACTGTAAGTGTTGGGAACAACTTGGTCAATGTATAAATTTTGGCAGGTACCTAGAAAAACTCTCACCTCAGAGAAGGGTGGTTTTTCAGTCTGTTCCAATCCCTTTTTGCACACTGAGCGAGCTCCTTAGCTTCTTCCCAGTTCCCATTGGCCATTGCGGAAGAAATGTCACTCAGCATGTGCGTGGCTGCTGCATATCTGGAGGAAAATGCCATCCAAGTTCCAAATAAGAATGAGCATTCCCATAGAATGACCACATCCTAGCCACTAGATCTCACTCTGAAAGGTAAAAGTGTGTTTTTTAAAATATGAGGGCCACTTAAATTTTATTCTAATAATAATTTATCTTAACCAAATCACTGGAGTGGCCCAGAACTGATAAGAAAGCCCAACTAGAAAGATAAAAACATTTATGCTGTATTATCACATAACATGTTCCATTCTATAAATGTGATATGGATCAGCTCATCATTCCTGATTTTGGCACTCATCCATTCATTCATCCATTCACTCATTCAACAATATGACAGCAAACATGTAAGTGACATCAGAATTATAGTCAGATGTAGATCTGATAATTTAATCATTTACAATCAGAGCTAGCCAGAGGGATGCTGCCCAAGCTAAGAAGATTACCTGGAATATTTCAAAATAACTAAGGGATGCTCTTTGGGAGATGGCAACGCTGAAATGTTACAACACAACTTAGCTTAAGAAAGACAATTTTTCATCGCTCCTTTAGCTACCAAAAAACAAAGACATTTGACCAACAAATTCTGTTAACACTTTGAGTACATGTTCATTGTATTTTGGTCTCACATCTAAAAGAAAAGCATGAAGTACATAATATCATTATGTACAAACACTGTAAAGTAAGAGTAAAGAAATTGCCTCCAAATGTAAAAGTTTGCTCACAAATTCTTAGATCTCATTCTTTTATAATATGCTGCTCATTCAGTTCCATGGCTTCAAACATTGTCCATATGCCAGTGACTCTCAAAATGTTGACTTTTTCCAGGCCAGACCCATTCCCTGAGCTCCTGACCGCAAGTCCAATGCCACACACAACAGCTTCAACCAAACGGCTGAAGAGCACCCCACACACTGACGCCTCCAGCACCAACACCTCTCCCAATCCCCTTCACTGGATGGCGCCCCACCCCAAGGCAAAACACCAGAGCCATCCTTGATCCACTCCTCACCTTCTCGCCCACATCAGAATCAAGTCTTGTCTTTACTGCTTCCAAACTGCCTCATACACATTCACTTCTCTCCACTGCCGCTACCAACAACCCAGTCCTGTCCACCCCCACATCTTAGCCAGGGGTCTCCTGAGTTCCTCCAACTCAGCAAGCTCTTTCCTGCCTCAGGGCCTGTGCACATGCTATCTCGCGGCCGGGACGCAGGCACCCAGACCCTGACACAGCTACCTCATTCTCATCCTCAAGTCCCACTTCAAATGTCACCTCTCCAGGGCCACTCTGTCTATAAAGAACTTATCCAGCCTGTCCCTCAATTATCACAGCACTTCTCACACACTTTAAATAGTGGTTAATTTCTATCTCCCCAGGAAACATAGCCCCATGATGGCTGAGGCCCTCTCTTGTTCACTGCTACAACCCCTAACCAAGTCACATAAAAGGTACTCAACACTCATTTGTACTGAATGAATAAGAAACATTTTAAAAGGATAAATTATCTCAAGTACAGAGGTAGACAACAAGGGTTTCCTGGCCAGGTATCACATTACCAGATATTGAATACTATTACCTTTCCAGAAGTCAATTAAATCCAGTTTCATTTACATCTTAAGGCTCTCTGCTTAACCAAGGGAGTTCTCATTATTTTTATTATTTACAGCACACTTACTTTCTAGAAAGAATATGAGATGCCTTTTGAACTTGTCAACCATGGTTTTGTCATAGAACTTGGGTATAACAGTAAGAATGACAATTAAAATAATAATGAACATGTAGTAGGCATTCCCCATAGCCCAGGCTTTAAGCACTTCCCATGCACCCCACACATGTCTGTAAGAATATACTATTATTCTCCCCATTTGACAGATGAGGAAACTGAGGCACAGGGTGGGTTCACAGTTCATTGGTATAGAAACTGGAACTTGGCTTCAGAGTATACATTCTCACAAGCCAGAAAAGCGTAAAGCCAGTAAAAACAAAAAAGGTAAAAAAGATATGAGACAACTGAAAACAGGGTAAGAATAAACAGTCTTATTAGAGATTTTAACTAAAAAAGTTATTCCCATTGAATACAAATAAGATACTGAGCTTCCTGACAGCTAAGGTAAAATGGGCCAAAATCAGATTATACTGACACTGCTGTGATTCAAAAATTTCAATAACTTACTTCTTAAAGCACCTGGCTTTCCTAGAAACACAGGACTTTCCTAAAAGCAAATATCACAATCAATTTTGGTTAAATTTGAGTCAGAAATCCAAATCAAGAATCAAAAGTGACATTTTAGGAAATCCAAATTAATTTTTCTTACCAAAGGTGTTTTTTTTAAGGAAATCCAAATTTTTTTTCCTAAGACCTACACTATTCTTTCTTATCAAAACCTGCTTTTTAATACTGTAATCCCATTATTTGTTTGGCATCTATTATTATTTTTAATTAACATAAAATTGCACATATTTATGTGGCACAGTGTGATATTTCAATGCATGTATACAATGTATAATGATCAAATTAGGGTAATTAGCATATCCAGCACCTCAAACTTTTTTGAAAATGTTTTAGAGATGGGGTCTCATTATGTTGCCCAGGCTAGTCCCGAATTTCTGGACTCAAGTGACCCTCCTGCCCCAGCCTCCCGAGTAGTTAGAAATATAGGCATGTGTTGCCATACCAGGCATCACCTCAAACATTTATCATTTCTTTGTGTGGGGAATATTCTAAATCCATTCTTCTATTTAAAAATATATAATAAACTGTTGTTAATTATAGTCATCCTACACTGCTACAGAACAACAGAACTTATTCCTTCTACCTAGCTGCACTTTTGTATCTGTTAACCAACCTTTCCCTATCCCCCTTCCCCTCCCAGCCTCTGGTAACCACTATTCTACTCTCTACTTCTGTGAGATCCACTTTTTTACCTCCCACATATGAGTGAGAACATGCAGTATTTGTCTTTCTGTGCCTGGCTTATTTCACATAACATAATGTCCTCTGAGCTCAGCCATGTTGCCACCATGGAGAATTTCATTCTTTTTTATGGCTGAACAGTACTCCATTGTGTATATGTACCACATTTTCTTTATCCATTCATCCACTGATGGACACTTAGGTTGACTCCCTATCTTGGCTATTGTGAATAGACTGCAATAGACATGGGAGTACAAATATCTCTTCAATATACCTATTTCTTTTCCTTTGGATATTACCCAGTAGTGGGATTGCTGGATCACATGGTAGTTCTACTTTTAGTTCAAAATCTACTTTTATTGGACAAACCAAATTTTCACTAAATCCGTGTGCCAATATAAATTAGTGAAAATTTCTAATTTATCATCTGTATATCTAATTATCATATGTATGATATACAATATACAAGTTATTAATAGCTTTACCTAAAGTGTTACTAATAAGAAAATATTCACATTCAGTCTTGTTCATGCCAACAACATATTCCTAAGTCAAGTTTGTTAATATGTCTGTGTCAAAAAAAATACAGGCCGAGGGCGGTGGTTCACGCCTATAATCCCAGCACTTTGGGAGGCCAAGGTGGGCGGATTGCTTGAGTCCGGGAGTTGAGACCAGCCTGGGCAACATGGTGAAACCCCATCTCTACCAAAAAAATACAAAAATTAGCTGAGTGTGGTGGCATGTGCCTGTGGTCCCAGCTACTTGGGAGGCTGAGGTGGGAGGATCACTTGGGCCCAGGAGGTTGAGGCTACAGTGAGCGGTGATCATGCCACCGCACTCCAGCCTGGGCGAAATCCTGTCTCAAATTAAGACAAACAAACAAACAAAAAATACTCCCTTCCAAAGGTACTTGGAAACATAAACCAGAGAAGTTTTTGTAGTTCTAACTCAAAATTCCTTGGATTTTGGCAACCATAATCTCAGCACACTTCTACATTTTCCCTATAGTCATAGAAATGTATACAAGTGGGGCAAAAAAAGATTAAAAACTGTTTTGGCTGTGGACTTAATGTTTCTACTTTGGCTGGAAAAAAATAACAAAACCTTTTACTAAATTGTGAAATACACATATAGACATTATAGTGAGCTAACATCATCTTACCTGATAAGATCATCTCTGTCTTGGAAGATGTGGGTTTTCCGATTGATGGTGTAACTAGGAAACTCCATTCGGCCGAGGTTGACCAACAGGACTGTTGAAAGCTGTCCCTGACCTCCACAAGCGGCGTCTTCATCTTCCATTGAGTCGGTCAACGAAAACAGTAGCAAGATGCGGGAAAACACAGCCCTGGGGCCTTTACAGATTCGTACTGACTGTCCAGCCAAGGCTTTGGCTCTGAAAAATGTACAATGTAGAAATAACTTTTAGCTTTTTAAGCATTTGGATGTCAGATTTTACAAATTATTTTCATCTAAAATAAAGAGAAATGACATTCACTATTTTAAACACTGGAGCATTACTTAACTGCTCTGGGGCTGAGAGCTCACCCAGGGATACACAGGAGTAAATGAATGTACATCTCCAAATGGTTCCACACATGGTTTGGCTCCATACAAGTGCTTCCTTCCTCGGCTGCACAGTAGGTTGGGGTTTACCCTGGTCATGAGTGCTTCAAATACCAGGAAAACTTTCAGAAAAGTATTGCCTAGTCAACATGAAGCAATTCTCAATTTTTTATTCTAGTGATGATTTAGATTAAATAATGGTATTTCTTTAAAATGTCATTATCAAAGGCTCCAGGTAAAACATCAGATTTTGTGTACCAAGACGTGGTGCAAATGTATATGCCAAAGTTTGGTGCTGTTCTCTAGCGCAGCAGTCAACGCTTTTGGCACCAAGGAGTGGTTTCATGGAAGAGAATTTTTCCATGGACTGGGGTTGAGGGAGGTGTTTCGGGATGAAACTGTTCCACTTCATATCATCAGGCAATAGATTCTCATAAGGAATACGCAACCTAGATCCCTCGCATGCGCAGTTCACAATAGGGTTCACACTCCTATGAGAATCTAATGCCACTGCTGATCTGACAGGAGGCAAAGCTCAGGCGGTCATGCTCTCTGGCACACTGCTCACCTTCTGCTGTGTGGCCCAGTTCCTAACAGGCAATGGACAGTTATCGGTCTATGGCCTGGGGGTTGCAGACCCCTTCTCTAGTGTACAGAATGGTCCAGCAGCATCTCTATTCTAGGATAACATTGGAGTGAATTCAGTTCAACTCTGGATGTCTGCAAGGTGGGCTTGGAGGTCTAAATTAAATCCAGGACCATGTGGGCCCTCTGACTCTAGCAGCTTAGACACCATCAATAGCAGGGTTTTTCAGCTTCAGCACTATTGACATTTAGGCTAGGTAATTCTTTGTTGTCAGGGGCTGTCCTGTAAATTATAGGATGCTCAGCAGTGCCCTGTCCCTGGCCTCTAGTCACTAGATGCCATTAGCTTCACCACCTCCAGTACTGACAACCAAAAATGTCTCCAGATGATGCCAGATGCCCCCAGTTGAGAACCACTTGGCTAGTGAAAGATGTCACACCCTTCTGGTGCAGAAGCTATTAAACCAAAAGCAGCACTGCATCCCAGAGGGTGTGGGAGAGATGAGTGCCACCATCATGGAGTTGAAGGGGAAGGGGTGGGATTCCTATCACACCACCACTGAACTGAGAGCCACTCATCTACAGACTGCCCCAAAGTACCCATTTCATCCACCTCCACGCAGAGTCCCGGGGATGCCCCAGTGGACACAGCCTCCAGTCTGCAAAAGGAAGCATTAAACACAGAAAACTAAGCAGTGACTCCTGCAAGGATTAAGAAAGCATAAATAATGTGCCTTTTTCTGTAATAATGTGGCTGTTTCTGTTTCTTTATCATAACAGCAGAGTAAAAGCACCAGGCGCTGCCCTAGCGTGGGGCTGGCAGGGACTCTGAAATTCCACTGCTGGGCTTTACCATCAGAATGAAGAAATAAAGGACAACCTTAAAGGACAGTGGTTTTCACTAGAACTAAAACAGCCTTGAGGATTCTATTTTCCTACAAGTCCAAAGTTAGAGATAAAATATGTTCATCTTATTTACTTTATCTGTTCTATGCTAAGTGCATATACCAAGAAAGGGCTGCTATTTTTTTTTTTTTTTTTGAGATGGAGTCTCACTCTGTCACCCAGGCTGGTGTGCAGTGGCGCGATCTCAGCTCACTGCAACCTCTACCTCCCAGGTTCAGGCAATTCTCCTGACTCAGCCTCCCAAGTAGCTGGGATTACAGGCACCTGCCACCACACCAGGCTAATTTTTGTATTTTTAGTAGAGACAGGGTTTTACCATATTGGCCAGGCTGGTCTCGAACTCCTGATCTTGTGATCCACCTGCCTCAGCCTCCCAAAGTGCTGGGATTACAGGTGTGAGCCACTGTGCCCAGCCAGAGGGTGGCTAAATTTAATGTTTACTTGCTTATAAAATGTTACATATAAGGTTAACATCAAATACTTAAGAAATACAATTAGATAAAGAAAGGACTTAGAAGACATTTAACATACCACACAGATGAGGATTCTATACTTCTCAAGTCAATTAATTACAAGTATGTAATTTATTGAAGTACTTTTTAAAAATCTATAACACGAGCTTTTTTCAAGTGTTGGTATTTATATTTTTCTTAATGTCTGCCTTATTACACCTATGTTTCATTAAAGATTAGTATTTATAGCACCTCCCCAACAAGGATGGGCTCATAACAACTGAAATATACAAAACAAATATATAAAATAAATAACAACATCATGTTAAAGTGTTTTCAAAAGCATCCTCTCATTTCATCCTCGACTCCACAGTAGTGAATTCCCAGGCTAGAGTTGATATAGTTTGATTATATAAATAACATGGGCAAAAGAAATCAATTCTAAAAGTTTTTGTAATTTTCAACTGAAACAGGTCAAGGGCTTCTCAAGGACAAAAGAAGCCACTCACAGTTTTTGGTAAATTGTTACGTTTAAACTCAGGAAAACTTGCACATTAAGACTGCCTGATTATACTTTGTTTAGTAAACAAAAACTAAAATAAAAATTTGACTAAATAGTTTACCTTAAAATCCCATAAGAATCACTTAAAACTGTATTTTTCTCGGAAAATAAAATACTACAATTTACCAAAGGCCTATTGCCTTCCGATTTTTCTTGGTCCTGGAAATTAGTACGGTATTACGACAAAAATTTTGAATAATAACCCAAGAAAGAATCCAGGCTATTGCAATTAAGGCTTTTCCAGCCTTCTCAATCTAACTACAACTGAAATAAACAATTACAGTTCAATCAAGTATACAATCTACTGTAAGTTAATATGTGCTATCAACATTTTAAATGTTTTTACTGTAACAATAGCCAACAAAACCTTTTTAAAATCACTGCACCAATTCCAGGCTTATTCTTGCCCCAAGTGCAGACTGAACGCTGTTTGGCCAATTTGAGAAAGGCGTCCACCAGCTGCTGTTTCTGTCCATTGGGATTCACCAAGTGGAAGGTCTTGGCTAGGGATTTTAGTTCAGGAGCAGAAAGGAGTTCAAGCACTTCAGAGAGTTCTTGCAACTCAGATTCTGAAATGGTTAAAAAAAAAAGTTTTTTTAAATTTTACTATTTTCTAGCTTTATTTACCTTAGTTAGATGAAAATAAAATGAAATGCTACTAAGAAAATTTTAATTAGTTGGCCAAACCAATCATTAAATGTGGAATTATTAACATGGTATTATTAACGTATTAATAACACTATTATTATATCTCTTAAAAGTTATCAAATAATAGAATTTCTCACTAAAATCTAAAGGAAAACATAACTAAAATAAAGACACACATGGATAGCCATTATGGTTTGGGCATCTCAACACCTGCTTGGAATATATACTCCCTGCCTTTCTCGTCACAAAACCCCTACAAAATGGGACCTCTCAAACCAGGTCAGAGAGAACTGATCATCAGCCCTCTTCTTCCCACAAGCCTCTCCTGCTCACTCGGCATTCGTGAGCCTGTTCGGCTACTGTGGGCCCCGACACCAACCTTGGCCTAGGAATTCGGCTCAGTCAGACCTCGCTGGTCTTTGCCTTCAAGGCTTCACAAGTTTAGGGCAGTGCCTTCTTCCTCCATTCAGCAAATATTTATTGGGTGTACACTGTCGGCCTGGTAATGTTCTAAGGCCCCGGGCATGCTACAGTGAAAGAAATCCCATCCATAGGAGCTAGCCTCCCAGCGTAACAATTAAATGAATAGGCAAATTTATCAGGTGGTAATAACCGCTCTAAAGAAAAACACAACTCAGGAGGCAAACTGAAGCTGGCAGGAGGCTGGCTGTATTTCACACAGTAGTCAGGCAAACCTTTGACAAGGTAACACCACGCAGCGGGGAAGGAAAGGAGAACTATGCCGTGTGGCCACGTGGTGGAAACTGACCTGGGTGGAGGGGAAAGTCAGTCCAAGGCTCTGAGACAGGAATGCACTCATCCTGGTGAAGAACACTGAGGGCTGGGTGGCCGTGGCAGAAAGCGAGAGGGACAGCCAGAGCCAGGCCCCATGGGGCTGGAGCATGGATGGGACTTGCACTTGACTGAGTGCCACGGTGAGCCACTAGGATCCTGGTTTTGTTGCTCATTTGAAGGTAAGTCAAGGCTCACCTGCAGCAGTCACCTGGCATGCCTGTCAGACATATGAATTTACGGAAGCTGCACCACATTTTCCAAGTCAGGTGGGGACTGAGTATCAAGTTCCCAGGTGACCCTGCTGGCACTGATGTGTGGGAAGCGCTGCTCTGCAGAGGGTCCTGTGTCCCACCACTAACCATTCACAACCAAGCGCCTTCACTGAGCTTTTATGCCTCTCCCGCAACTTTCCCCATCCCACGCCATCCAGCCCCACCCTAACACACTTCCTGCTCACTTCGCTTCATCCCCACTTACTGCTCCCCACAATAAACTCTGCCCCAAAGAAACCAGCTGGCTGATTCGCTTATTTTGGTCTAAAATGTCAGCAACTTGAACCCAAGGCTCACATTTCCCTTTCCTAATACAGTACAATTTTGTACCCAATACATAGGTAGGTACTTAACGAATGCTACTGACAAGACAACGAAGGGTATCACTGCAGAAGATAGACTCTCCTTAGTGTTCACATAGGCTTAAAGCAATTCAACAATGCTTAAGGCAATCAACATAATCGAAGAACTGTATGTGTGTGCAAGGGGGGCAGATGAAGTTTTTAGAGGCAATATGGGTTTCAAACAACCAGCTTTATTCTATCATAAAGAAGAGGACTCTGAGTAAGATGAGTCAAGCTCTTGCTGGAAGGAGAGCGCCAAGAAGGGATGTATCCATTTTTTTTGAGACAGAGTTTCACTCTGGTTGCCCAGGCTGAAATGCAATGGTGCAATCTCAGCTCACCGCAACCTCAGCCTCCCGGGTTCAAGTGATTCTCCTGCCTCAGCCTCCCAAATAGCTGGGATTACAGGCATGCGCCACCACACCTAATTTTGTATTTTTAGTAGAGATGGGGTTTCTCCATGTTGGTCAGGCTGGTCTCGAACCCCCAACCTCAGGTGATCCACCTGCCTCGGCCTCCCAAAGTGCTGGGATTACAGGCATGAGCCACCGTGCCCGGCCGGGATGTATTTCTTCTGTGGCACACACCCATGTCTATGCCCAGGTGACTTTCATTCTAAACCTGCCACAGTCAAGAAAACAGCAGCAGACCATCTCTCATTATTCTAGTATTCTTAACTCAGGCTAAGAATGGCTTTAGCATCACATGAGTAATTTGTTGTCCTAAGATTAAAAATTCAATTAAAAAACAGTAAGTTACCAGGCACCACCCCGGGGAGGGCACCATAATAATACTGCCATCATTCTGCAGAAGCTCAGTTCTTCAGATCATATTTTCATTTCACATCTCCTTCTACTAGTCATACCTGTCTGTAGAAAGCCTGCATTCGTCAATTCTTCAATCACAGGTGTTAAGTCTAAGGCAATCTCTTCATACTCTAATTTGGTCATCTTAATCCAGCTTAATTTACGTTGAAAGAGCCTTACATATAACTTCTGACCAGTAGCTGCAATAAAGTTAAGAAAAATGTTGAAAATCACTGCATTTACCTTTTAAACCTAAGGTGAATAAATGTACGATTTAGAAATACACATATGCTTACTGTATGTATAAGGCCTTCATTTTATGGAATAAACCATTTTGAAAGTACATTTAAAAATTTGGTAACAATTATTGGTCATTTTAAAACTTCTAAGATCAAGTTCCCCATTTTCTAGACATCAACATTTCTACTCCCTCAGAAAAGCCCTACCCAGAATTCTTATTTTGTTCTCTGCTCTTAGCTTAATATGCATTATTCTGATTTGATCGAAAATAATCTGAAATAATTTTCCAAAAAAAATGTCTAGCTTCAGTAGGGCAGTCATCTCTAACCCAGCAATCTTGACCAAGCTTCTTAATTAACCTGTTTGGTCTCAATCTCCCTATTACCCAGATTATCTTTAAATTTCGGCCAACTCTAAAATGGCTTAATTGTATTTTGAAAATTTCCAACATTTATTTTCCTTTCTTCTTTAAAAAGGCAAAATTGACCTGTCATGATGGTTCATGCTGGTGTTGTTTTTTTTGGTTGTTTTTTTGTTTTGTTTTTGTTTTGTTTTTTTTGAGATGGAGTTTTGCTCTTGTTGCCCAGGCTGGAGTGCAATGGTGCAGTCTCGGCTCACTGAAAGCTCTGCCTCCTGGGTTCATGCCATTCTCCTGCCTCAGCCTCCAGAGCAGCTGGGATTACAGGCGCCCACCACCATGCCCGGCTAATTTTTGTATTTTTAGTAGAGACGGGGTTTCACCATGTTGGTCAGGCTAGTCTCGAACTCCTGACCTCAGGCCATCTGCCCACCTCGGCCTCCCAAAGTGCTGGGATTACAGGCCTGAGCCACCATGCCCAGCCTATGGCTTATGCTTGTAATCCCAGTGCTTTGGGAGGCTGAGGCAGGAGGATCGCTTGGGACCAAGAGTTCAAGGTCACAGTGAGCTATGATTACACCACTGCACTCCAGCCTGGGCAACAGACAGAAACCTTGTCTCTAAAAGAACTTAAAATTAAAAAAAAAAAAAGGCAAAAACAATTAGCAGTAATTATTTCTACACACCAACAGATTGTACATGATTCTCCATGGAGTGCAAGACACATGCATATGCAGAACTTGCACTAGGAAAACTGTTCCTATTTCTCAATTACATGGAATTACAGAGCCACCAATCTCTGAAATACTCCAGGAATGCAATCAGCACCCAACCAAAGATCTGTGACTAGTTTGGATAGAAAAGCCAATGTGCTATTATGTCCATCTTCTGGTGAGAACAGCAAAAGTAGAGATGGAAGTGGATACTACACACAGCTGTGCCCAGAGAAGTATCGCTCACATGTTAAAAAGTAACCCAAGGAATACCATAATTTCACTGTGCGAATTTAAAATAGAAATCCTTCCCTTGAACATCAATAGTAATGTTCAGGATTTTTCTCTTTTTTATCTACTGAGGAGTCACACATGGCCGCATTTTACTAAACGACAGTGTGACTACCATGTTTTTTCCTGCCCTCAGGGACATGGTTCCACAGAGTCATCATGGCCCTCTGAATAACACCGTAAAGACACAAGGGTGGCTTTTACTACAAACCTGCACTGCTGGCTTGGAGCCACCCCTGGCTGCCAAGGACTTCAGGCATAGACTAGTATTTTTAATGTACCAATTTCAGCTTGAAAGTTTCCATTTCCTCCACACCCTGTCTTTAAAAGGCACAGTCCATAAATCTAAAATGTTGTTGGGAGAAAGAAAATATGCCTCAGGTTGGTTTGTTTTCTTCCTGTATTGTATTTTATTCTACTTTCATCTTTGAGGAACAACAAAACAACCTAATGGAAAGCCTGATTACACGCTCAAAATGCAAAGTATGCTTTTCTAAGTCACATTATATTGTTTTTTAATCTGGAAAAGGTTGTTTCATAACTATCAAATGTACCTATAAAAGAAAAACAGCTGCTTCCAATGTAACCAAAGTTCAGCAGGAGTAAACATCACCCGGGACAAAATCTTGTCTCTTTTCCATGCATCCCTCTCAATAAAACCTTCGACTATGCTCCAACTCCCATGAACACTCCCACAGGGTGCTCACAACACCACAGTGACTCCTTGCGGTCACTAGATTACTGCCCATCACATCATGCCCCAATCAGAGCAGCAAAAGGGGAATGAAAACTTGAAAACAAACACGTGCGTAAGATACCTGATAACTGATAAAATTTAGTTACAATTCCCTTCTCCTGCTCATCAAAGAGCAACATATCATCTTCATTCTCAAGTACGGTTTTCAGCACCACAAGGAAACTCCGAAGGTAGTAAGGATGACCGGTTGTTTGACCAGGACCATTGCAGCTTGACCCCTGCTCCAAAGGAATGCTGTGAGGGATATCATTGTTTAAGCAACTGTCATCCTGCAGAGGAGCCTCTTGGATGTTACTCCATGCAGAAGCATCATCTGCAGAACTATGAGATTTTGCCTCTGAATCTGACAGCTGTATTTTAGCTTCTGAAGCAACAGTCATTTTTACTTCTTCACAATGACATGCCTCACGTTTTTCAACCACTTCTTTGATACACTCTTGCTTTACAAGACTGTCTTCTGAAGTAGACTTTAATGTATTCCTAAGAGTGAAATCTGGTGAGAATAACATGATCGCATTATCTGAGAATCCAGGGGTGAGGGCTGATTTCTCACATTCCCGGGTAGCCTTTTGGCTTTCGGCTTCCATTATTTTACTTCCTCTTACCATATGTTCAGGAATGCACTCTTCCTTTAGAGAATCACATTTAAACACGTTTTCTTTTTGAGAACTGTTCTCCAAAATTTGATCCTCGTCCTCAATTTCTGAAGAGTTATCAATCAGGCTCTTAACAACTGTGGATTTGGAACTCTGTGGACTAGAACCGGCAAATTCTTCATCCTTATCTATTGATTTTTTAGCCTTTACGTATTTTCTGGACAATTTAGATGCTAGGCTTCCCAAACAAATGACTTTCACACTACGATTTCTCAGCTCATCTTGATTTTTGCACACCACATCATTACTTTTAAAGTAGGGACTGATCTTCTGCTTTACTTCCCTTTTTGCTGAATCACTTTGGCCAGGGGTTAAATTTGTCTTTGGTGGTGGTGACTTCTTAGGTGTTACATCTTCTAAGGTAACACTGGTTAAATCTACCATAGACACATTTGAATTTATTAAGCCAACCTGCCCTGGATCCACTTGAACGAAGTCATTGTTAGCACACATTTCATCAAGGTGCCGGTTTAAGTCATATCTAGGCACCATTTTACTGCAAACGGGGCAGGCAAGTTTAGCAGGTGGTGCATTGTTAAAACACGAAATAATAGAATTAGATGCTTTTTTCTTATTCTTGCTGATTGATAAGCTTCTACGAGGCCTTTTTTTGTCAGGAGGTTTCCCTTCTGACATCATGAGTATTAGAAAAACTGGATGTTCTGAGCAATAAAACACAGGATATTTAAGGTGAAAGATAGCAATGGTTTACTTTTACTTTCTTGACTTGAAATCACCAAAAGTGGGATTCTATATGACCTCATGTTATTCGTCTCGACAATTTCTTCTTCCTACAAGAAGAAACACATATAAATTAAAAACATTTTTATGAATTCAGCAAGGGGAAAAGCGAACTCTGAAACGTTTAAGAGCAAGGTCTCCTGTAACGAGGAGACAACCCTGAGCGTGAGACAGAAGACCAAGCCCCTCCGACAAGCTCTGTACGCGATCTTAGTGTCCCTTACTATAAAATGACAGAGCTGGGCTTGTAAGGGTAATTTCTAGGACATCTTTAAGACCTAAAACTATCCGTTTCTAAAAAGGGACAATTTGACCACTTCAGACCCTTTACAAGACCACTGTATGAGTAACTTTTTCTGAGTGAGATGGAGACGATCAGCGCGTGGCCCAGGGCGATGCCCGCACCATAGGCCGGCGCAGATGAAACGCCCCAGCCGCGGGCAGCTGCGCCCGCGCCGGCTGCCACCACCGCGGCTTCTGCTGCGGAGCCGAGGCCCCGGCCAGCACGGCGGACGCTGCTGGGTCAAGGCCGCGCACCTGGGACGCGCACCTGGGGCCACGCGACTGAGCCCGAGCCACTCTCCCTGCTCCCTAGGGCCTGGCTGCCCTCGCGTCCTCCTTCCCTCGGTGCCCTGTCACCCAAGATCCCCGCGCGGCCACCTCGCACCTCCCACCTGGCTCCGCGCGCCGGCGCTTCCAGGCATTCCCAGCCGATCCCCGCGTCTCGCTTCCACAGGCTTGGCAAGTGGAGGCTCGAGTGATCGATCTCCTTTCCTTTCCACGTTAAAGGCTCCCATACCGTAGGTGCCCAAGGCAGGCTGAGCCCTGGGAGCGGAAACCCGGGCACCTCCTTCCTTTCCCACCCGCAGAGGCAGGCGCCTGTGCGCCCCTGCACGCCCCCGCACGCCTTCTCTGCGACTGTGCACTCTGAGACTCCTCTCCGCAGTCGGTGAGAAGGGCAAGCAAGCTAAACGTGTTTGTTGGGGGAGCATTCAGTGTCAAAGCGAGCAAACAGCCTCCTGCGGGGAAGACAGGCGACTTCTGCAACCAACACGCGGAGCTCTACTTAAGCTGACTCCTGCGAATAAGCGAGAGGGAGTTTCAGTTGGAAAACCACTGAGCTGGGTTTTCCAAAAGATAGTACTAATCACCGGTTATCTGATACCCTTGAAATAATAACATCAAGAACCAAGAAATAAAATGTGGCGACTAGGAAGTGATGCGTCTTGAGTATTTATGACTTCTGTTTTTAATGTAATTTATTTGTAAAGCTATATGATTTATTTAACTTTCAATAATGGCTGTGTTTAACAGCTGAATTTTTTTTTTTTTTTTTTTTTTTTTTTGAGATGGAGTCTCGCTCTGTCACCCAGGCTGGAGTGCAGGGGCGCGATCTCAGCTTACTCCAAGCTCCACCTCCAGGGTTCACTCCATTCTCCTGCCTCAGCCTCCTGAGTAGCTGGGACTACAGGCACCCGCCACCACACCCAGCTAATTTTTTGTATTTTTCGTAGAGATGGGTTTTCGCCGTGTTAGCCAGGATGATCTCGATCTCCTGACCTCGTGATCCGCCCGCCTCAGCCTCCCAAAGTGCTGGGATTATAGGCGTGAGCCACCATGCCCAGCCTAACACCTGAAAGTTTAACAATCAGCCCTGAAGCACTGACACCAGCGTGTTCCAGCCCACCATGAATGACCTAGAATGCAAGCTTCTTAACATCAGGCGGTTGTGCTTGTTGCCTTTACTATAAAATCGCTGCTGCCTGCAGCAGTGGCTAGCGTTGTGTAATTATTGATAAATATACACTGAATGAGTGCATAAATGAGCAAACTAAAGAGAATAAGGACATAAATAGGGAGTTCATTAACAAGAATGTATTGACTGCCTACCTCATTCCAGGTAACATTTTAGATGCTGAAAATATGTGGCAGTGAACAATGAGGAATGGGAGGAAATTCTTCATGGGAGGGAGGGGAACTCCTCATGAAGGATACATTCTGGTGGAAGGAGATAGAGAAATATAAAAAGTAAACTATGTGGTGAAATTGAAGACAAGTAAAGCCAGAAACATCTTAGGGTTGAGGTTACAATTTGAAAGAGTGGTAAGGGAAGTCCTCACTGAAAAGATGACATTTGAAGATTGACATTGGCCTGAAGGAGGTAACAGTGTGGACTGAGAGAAGGCCATGGTAGGCCAGGAAACAGCAACAGCACATGTAAAAGCCGTCAGGCAGAAGATTATCTAGCAGGCTCTAAGAACCCCAAGGAGGCAGAAGAAAACAAAGCCAGGGAGGCAGCAGAGAGCCAGACCATGGAGGGCAAGTGTTAGCAAATTTGTTCCGTAAAGGGCCAGGGAGTAAATGTTTGAGGCTTTTGGGACCATGTGGCCTCCATCATAACTAGGCAACACAGCTATTTTAGTGTGAAAGCAGCTATAGACAATATGTAACATATGAGTGTGGTTTTGTTCCAATAAAACTTTATTTACAAAAATAGCTGGCTAACTTGCCATCCAGCTACTGTTTGCCAGCACCTGATGTATGACCCTGCAGGTCATTGTATGGATTTGAGCATTGACTTTGAGTGAGATGGGAGGAGGGGAGACAAAGATTTTGAGCATAAGCTCTAAAAGGACCCCTTTCCCTGTTGCATTCAGAATAGAGCTTGGGGCTGGTCGTGGTGGCTCACGCCTGTAATACCAGCACTCTGGGAGGCCGAGGCGGGTGGATCACAAGTTCAAGAGATCAAAACCATTCTGGCCAACATGGTGAAACCCCGTCTCTACTAAAAGTATAAAAATTAGCCAGGCGTGGTGGCGGGTGCCTGTAGTCCCAGCTTCTCGGGAGGCTGAGGCAGGAGAATGGTGTGAACCCAGGAGGCGGAGGTTGCAGTGAGCCGAGATCGCACCACTGCACTCTAGCCTGGGTGACAGAGCGAGACTCCGTCTCAAAAAAAAAAAAAGCTACACAGAGAATTACCATCTGACCCAGCAACCACTCCGAGGTGTAAAACCAAGAGAATTAAAAGCAGGTACTCAAACAAATACATGTGCACAGCACGATTAACAGTCAAAAGGTGGAAACAGCCTGAATGGCCATCAATGGATGAACAGATAAAGCATGGTACATTCCCGCAATGGAATACCATACAACCATAAGAAAGAAATGAAGCACAAGCAAATGCTACAGTCTTGAAAACATGATGCTAAATGCAAGAAGTCAGAAATGAAAGGCTGCGTATTGTAAGGCTCCATTTATATCAAATATGCAAAATAGGCAAATCCACAAAGATAGGACACAGACTGGGGATTGTTGGGGCTGGGGCTAGTGAGTAAAGGGTAGCAACTGCTTCATGGATATGGGACTTTATTGTGGGCTGATAGAACTAAAGTGTTAATATAGACTTCGTAAAATTATCCAAATATCCATTTGGATTGTAGGGACTTTTTTTTCTTTTATTTACATGTAATACGTTAAAGATTTATTCTGACAAATCACATTGAAAAAATGGACAGCAATTTTTATTCTACTGAAGAGAAAAAGTAAACTTCATACTTCTCTCTGCTCCCCTTGGCCCCAAATGCTTATTCTAAATGGCTAAGAGGGCTTTTTGTTTGTTTGTTTATTAAGACATGGAAAAAAAAAAAAACACCAGAACTAGGAAGCGACAGGCTCACTGCCTCCTGACCCTGATGCCAGAGATGTATCCAGGTCTGTTCCAATGCCCATCATCAGCACCCACCTTCCAGCCATGGCCAGGTATTACGCTACTACTGTTTCTTACTATTTTAACTTACCTTACACTTAAAAAAAAATCCTAACCGTGTCCTTTCACCTCATTCTAGGTAATGATACCTGTAAAATCGCCGGGCGCGGTGGCTCACGCCCGTAATCGCAGCACTTTGGGAGGCTGAGGTAGGAGGATCACCTGAGGTCAGGAGTTCGAGACCAGCCTGGCCAACACGGTGAAACCCCATGTCTTCTAAAAGTACAAAAATTAGTCAGGCATGGTGGCATGCACCTCTAATCTCAGCTACTCAGGAGGCTGAGGCAGAATCATTTGAACCCAGGAGGTGGAGGCTGCAGTGAGCTGAGATCACACCATTGCACTCCAGCCTGGGTGACAGAGTAAGACTCCTTCTCAAAAAAAAAAGAAAGATAGGGAAGATTTGTTAGTAGTCTGTGAGTTCCACAGTTATGTCAAGCACATTAAAAATTCCTTAAATTCCTAATTACCTTTTCCTGTCTTTTTTCAAGAGGATTTAACTTCATCAGAATTTTTCTTTACATTTAAAACACCTGCATCTTCAGTTGCCTCATCATCCAGCAAAGTGAAGGTCACTCTTTTCAAGCTTTCTTTACATTGTTTACTGTCTTCACTTTCTTCCAGGTCATCATCTTCCTCCCTACACTACCAAAACTCTTATAAAAAGAAATATACTGCTTTCCATTAGAAAAACAAAAGGAAACATATTTTCCCTTAATAAAGTTCTTCTTTTATATGCCTAATGCAACCAAATACTCAGAAGTTCCAAAATCATTCAGGTATTACGGAAGAGAAGGTATCATTTAAGTGACATGCTATGTAAGAAACAGAACAAAAGTGTCCAATATATAGAAAATAAATTATTCATCAATTGATAATACAAACCATCAATCTCACAAAAATAACAGGATTTTTGGGGTACAAAACCAAATCAAGGTTCCTGGCAAGAAATGTTTGATTGCTACTGCCAGTAATATTTTTCTTCATTAAATGATCTCTAATGTCCTTTTAAATCCACAGACTTTCCTCTGGCTATCTTGAGAATATCTGATAGGAGAGAATCTAACTTCTTAAAACAAACATATGTGAAAACCACAAGTACCAATACATGATTGGACAATTCCAGCTCACAATGTAAAGGATGGTTCAAATACTCACATTTCAGAAATGCTTAGTTCTTCTGCTGCTTCTTCAGCAATTTCATCCACTTGTTTGAACCCAGATCATCATCATGATCACTTGCTATGTCTTCATCACTTTCAACTGGATCAAAAAAATCTTTGTACTTCACATTTCTGGAACTTTTACCCGACTGAAATAAAAAGATTTTTTAAACTATTAATTAGGAATAGAAAAATACATCATTACCATTCTGAAATGGCAAGTCATAGACTGAGAATATATTTTCAAATCACAAAAGACTTGTGTTCAAAATATACAAATGACTCTTAAAATTCAACAATAAGAAATTAAGCAACGCAATTATAAAATGAGCAAAAACCAGTTGATCTTTGACAAAGTTGCAAAAGCAGCTCAATAGAGGAAGGATAGCCTTTTCAGTAAATGGTGATGGTGCAACTGGACATCCATAGGCCAAAAAATTGAACCTCAGCCTGAACCTCACATTTTTACAAAAATTAACTAAAAAATGGATTATATACTTAAATGCAAAACTGAAACTACCAAACTTCAGAAAACATAGGAGAAAATCTTTGCATCTAGGGTTAATAGCTCTCTTATTTTAGACCAAAAGCATTAACCACTGAAGGGAAAATGGCAAGTTGGACTCTATCAAAATTAAAAGTGTTTGCTCTGTGCAAGACCATGAACAGGAATAAACATAATTACAGACCACTAAAAATATTTGCAAGCCAATATTCACAAAAGAACTCATGTATAGAACATATAACAAACTCTAAAACCTCAGCAGATAAACAAATAATCCAATCAGAAAATGGGAAAAAGACATAAAGAGATATTTCACTGAAGAGGATATTCAGATGGCAGGTAACCATGTGAAAAGATGCTCCACATCATTAGCCTTTAGGTAAATGCATTAAAGTGACAATGAAGTATCATTACCTATCACAATAAAAAATAGTAACAATAAAATGCTGGCAAGGATGTGGAGAAACTGGATCACCCATACATTATTGATGAGTTTGGCAATTCCCTACAAAGATAAAATGTTCTGTACCTTGACTGCATCAAATTAAATATCAAGTTGTGATATTGTACCATAGTTTTACAAGTGTTACCACTGGGGGAAACCCAATAAAGGCTACAGAGGATCTCACTGTACCATTTCCTACAACTTCATGTGAATCTACAAAATTTTATCTCAAAAATAAAAATTTGATTTTTAAAGTGGGCAAAATATCTGAAGAGACACTTCATCAAAAAAGATATACAGGCTGGGCGCGGTGGCTAACGCCTGTAATCCCAGCACTTTGGGAGGCTGAGGCGGGCGGATCACGAGGTCAGGAGATAGAGACCATCCTGGCTAAGACGGTGAAACCCCGTCTCTACCAAAAATACAAAAAAAATTTAGCCGGGCGTGGCGGCAGGCGCCTGTAGTCCCAGCTACTCCAGAGGCTGAGGCAGGAGAATGGTGTGAACCCGGGAGGTGGAGCTTGGAGTGAGCCGAGACCGCCCCACTGCACTCCAGCCTGGGCCACAGAGCGAGACTCCGTCTCACCAAAAAAAAAAAAAAAAAAAAAAAGATATACAGACGACAAATCAGTATATAAAAATTTGCTAAATATCTTTTTTTTGGGAAATTCAAATTAAATCAACAATGAGATACCACCACACACCTATCAAAATTGCTAAAATCCAAAATCAAGGAAATTACAATTGCTATTAATAGTTAAATCCGTGGGGTGCTGGAAACTCTCATGTATTGCTTATGGGAAAGCAAAATAGTACAACCACTTAGGACAGCAGTTTGGCAGCTTCTTACAAGGTAAGACATAGTCTCATCACATGATCCAACAATAGGGTGTTCCTAGGCATTTGCATACTGATTTGAAAACTTACGTGCTCACAAAACCTGTACACAAATGTTTATAGCAGCCATCCATATTCATATTCACCCAAAACGAAGCAAATAAGATGTTTTTCAATAAGTGAATGCGTAAACAAACTGCAGTACATTTCTACAATGGAATACTAGTCATTAACAAAAAGCATCATGCAAAACATGGATGAATCTCAAATGCATATTTCTAGGTGAAAATAAGGAAGTTTGAAAAACCTGCATACATAAATTGGAATGATTGATTCCATTTATATGATAATCTGGAAAAGGCAAACTGTAAAGATCATTGTTTGCCAGGGATTTGGAGGAGAAAAGAAAGATAAAGGCTGGGTGTGGTGGCTCACGCCTGTAATCCCAGCACTTTGGGAGGCTGAGGCGGGTGAGTTGTCTGAGGTCGGGAATTCAAGACCAGCCCTGCCAATGTGGCGAAACCCCATCTCCACTAGAAAAAAAAAATTAGCCGAGCATGGTGGCACACAGCTGTAGTCCCAGATACTTGGGAGGCTGAGGCAGGAGAATCGCTTGAACCCAGGGGGCAGAGGTTGTCAAGAGCCGAGATGGCACCACTGCCCTCCAGCCTGGGCGACAGAGCAAGACTCCATCCGCCCTGGGTAACATGGTGAAACCTGGTCTCTCTCTCTTTTGTGTGTTCGGATGTGGGTGTGTGTGTGGGGGGGGGGGGCAGAGTTTTGCTCTTGTTGCCCAGGCTGGAGTGCAGTGGCGTGGTCTTGGCTCGCCGCAGCCTCCGCCTCCCGGGTTTGGGTGGTTCTCCTGCCTCAGCCTCCCGAGTGGCTGGGATTGCAGGCACGAGCCATCATGCCCGGCTAATTTTTTTTTTTTTTTGGTAGAGATGGGTTTTCCCCATGTTGGTCAGGCTGGTTTCAAACTCCCGACCTCAAGTGATCTGCTCACCTCGGCCTCCCGGGGTGCTGGGAATGCAGGCGTGAGCCACCGCGCCCGGCGTAATTTATTAATCAGAAAGGAATAGATCGGCCTGGCATGGAGGCTCAGGCTTGTGATCCCAGGACTTTGGACGACAGAGCGCGGTGATCACTGGAGCCTAGGAGCTCCAGACCGGCCTGGGCAACATGGTGAAACCTTTCTTTCTTTTTTTTTTTTTTTCCTTTTTTGAGGCGGAGTTTTGCTCTTGTTGCCCAGGCAGGGTGCAGTGGCGTGGCCTGGGCTCCCCGTGGCCTCCGCCTCCCAGATTTGGGTCGTTCTCCTGCCTCAGCCTCCCAAGCGGCTGGGATTGCAGGCATAAGCCACCATGCCCAGCTAATTTTCTTTTTTCTTTTGTAGAGACGGGGTTTCTCCATGTTGGTCAGGCTAGTCCCAAACTCCTGACCTTAGGTGATCCGCCCGCCTCAGCCTCTAGGGGTGCTGGGATTGCAGGCTTGAGCCACCATGCCCAGCTAATTTTGTACTTTTTTTTTTTTTTTTTTGGTAGAGATGGGTTTTCTCCATGTTGGTCAGGCTGGTCTCAGACTCCCAACCTCATGTGATGTGCCCGCCTCCGCCTCCCCGGGTGCTGGAATTGCAGGCGTGAGCCACCACTCCAGGCCCAATTTATTAGTCAGAAAGGAATAGATCGGCCTGGCGTGGTGGCTCACGCTTGTGATCCCAGGACTTTGGACGGCCCAGCGCGGCGGATCACTGGAGTCTAGGAGTTCCAGACGGGCCTAGGCAACATGGTGAAACCCGGTCGCTTTTGTTGTTGTTGAGGTGGAGTTTTGCTCTTGTTGCCCAGACTCGAATGCAGTGGCGCGGTCTTGGCTCACCACGGCATCCACCTCCCGGGTTTAGGTGGTTCTCCTTCCTCAGCCTCCTGAGTGGCTGGGATTGCAGGCGTGAGCCACCATGCCCAGCTATTTTGTATTTGTTTTTGTTGTTGTTTTTGTTTTTGGTACAGACGGGGTTTTTCCATGTTGGTCAGGAGGGTTTCTAACCCCCGACCTCAGGTGATCCGCCAGCCTCGGCCTCCCCGGGTGTTGGGATTGCAGGCCTGAGCCACCATGCCCGGCTAATTCTGTAATTTTTTTTTTAGTAGAGATGGGGTTTCTCCATGTTGGTCGGGCTGGTCTCCAGCTCCTCACCTCAGGTGATCCGCCCGCCTGGGCGTCCCAAGTGCTGGGACTGCAGGCCTGAGCCACTGCGCCTGGCCCCAAACAGGGTCTCTTAAGGGAAAAACAAAACAAAAACCACAAAGATTAGCCGGGTGTGGTGGGCCCCGCGGGTAGTCCCAGCTACTCTGAAGGCTGATGTAGAAGGATTGCTTGAGCCCGGGGTCGAGGTGGCAGTAAGCTATAATGGAGCTGCTGCACTCCAGACTGGGCGACAGAGCGGGACTCTGTGGCAGGAAAAGGGAAAGGAAAAAAAGAAACTAAATAAGAGGCTGCTACTTTTCCAAAAGAAATTTATTATTGACTACCAATAAAAAAAATACACTGTAGCTTTGTTACAATATACAAATAGCTAAACTTTATATAGCCATGACCCTCTTCTGGCACTGCTCTAAGCCTTTTCCTGCTCTGAAATAGCTACTGTTGTTACCTCCATTGCAGAGAAAATGGATGCCAGAGGTTGTTGTGGAAGGACCCACGGAAACTGACTATGAAATTGACTTGTTGTAAGTTTCAGACTTAAAGGTTCTTCCTGCTCTGCTCCTTACATTGCCACATTTTAGTTAAGGTACCTCTTACAATACTTGTCCTCTCTGTATTTGGAGGAACTTCTCTTGCAATTTGAAGGGGTTTTTTTGTTGTTGTTGTTGTTTTTGCACTAAGCATTTGGTCATAAGATCATCTGCGTTTTATGTCAGTTTAAGTACCTCTTTAGACATTATTCATTTAGGAATCTAAATAGGAGCTAGCATTGTGTGTAAAAGGAAAGAACAGCTGTTTACAACCATTTTTGTTTCATAATACAAATATAAATCAATATGTTAATGGTGATGCAGGCTGGGAGGGGAGGGAAAATATGCAGAGAGAAAAGCCCCATCTCTGCTTGGAGTTCAGCACTGGGTCTCTATTCCTCTCCATCTTCCTTGTCAAGGCTGTCACAGTGACAGAAGCACACAGGGCTGCCTTTTAGTGACACCTGCTGGGACAGACCTGGCAGAATGGATTGCAGATTTGCATATTTCCTGGCTGCCTCTGCTAGCCTGAGTCAGCAGCCCACTCCAATTCATGCTGAGCTTGGACGGCTCAGGTTTGAAAAATTCCCCCGTCCCTTGGAGCAACCGCTTGCCAGCCTCCTCATCATTCCTAAAGGAGAATGACATACATGCCAGCATGACAGAGGTCCAGAAATTTATAGAAGCTTCATTGTGAGCCTATATCCTTAACAGGGGCTCAAAATGCCAACACCGAATGAAGAGAGAGGTTTTGCAGTAAAGCAGGAAGTCATTAAAATAATGAATCACCAGGCTGGGTTTTGAGCTCCTTTCCCACTAATTTAATGGAAAGATTTATTGTCTTTACAATGTACAATGCCCATCATCAGTTGAAAATAGAAGCCAAAAATGCATTTAACGCCGGGTGCAGTGGCTCACGCCTGTAATCTCAGCTCTCTGGGAGGCTGAGGTGGGTGGATCACCTGAGGTCGGGAGTTCGAGACCAGCCTGGCCAGTATGGTGAAACCACATCTCTACTAAAAATACAAAAATTAGCTGGGCATGGTGGCACGCACCTGTAATCCCAGCTACTGGGGAGGCTGAAATAAGTTCATAAATTGAGCAGCTGTGAGGTAATTGGCCCAATTGCTACGTTACTTTCACCGCTTGAGGCTGAACAGTGCACAGGAGAGTGCAGGTTTACAGGTCTCTGAATAGTGCCGTCCAAAAATGGTGAACAACCACCCTGAAAAACAGCTTGGTGTTTTTTTGTTGTTGTTGTTGTTGTTGTTTTCACAAATTAGAAACGTGCTTAGCTGTTTACCCACTAACTGCACTCATGGCCACTTCCCCTAGAGAAATAAAAGCTGATATTCATGCAAAAACTTGTGCATGAGTTTTCACAGAAGCTTTATTTTTAACAACCAAACTGTAAACAACCCAAATGTCCTTCAGCAGGTGGATGGCTAAACAAACCATGGTACAGCCATACAATGGACTAGTACTTAGTAATAAAAAAGCAATGAACTGTTGAATGATTTGCAATGACCTCAAAGGAATTAAACTTTAAAAATTCAATCTTAGGACGGGTGCGGTGGCTCATGCCTGTAATCCCAGCACTTTGGGAGGCTGAGGTGGGCAGATCATGAGGTCTGGAGTTCGAGACCATCCTGGCCAACACGGTGAAACCCTGTCTCTACTAAAAATACAAAAAATGAGCCGGGCATGGTGGCACGCGCCTGTAGTTCCAGCTACTTGGGAGGCTGAGGCAGGAGAATTGCTTGAACCTGGGAGGTGGAGGTTGCAGTGAGCCAAGATCGCGCCACTGCACTCCTTCCAGGCGACAGAGTGAGACTCCGTCTCAAAAATAAATAAATAAATAAATAAATAAATAAATAAATAATGCAATGTCAAAAGGTTGTACAATATATAATTTCATTATAAAAGGTTTTCAACATGACAAAATTCTAGAAATAGGGAACAGATCAGCAGTAGCCAGGGACTTAGAGAAGTGGGGTGAGTGTGATTATAAAGGGATATCATGAGGTCCTTTCTTCGGATGACAGCATAATGCTATATCTTGATTATGTTATTGGTTATATGTATCTACACCAGTGATAAATTTCTTAGAAGTATACACATATACACAAAGAATAAAAAAGAGTGCAGAAAAACACTTCTGAATCCAAGTGAGGTCTGTAGTAAAGTTAATTGTAATGTGGTTTTGATAATGTAGAGTTGGTCCTTTATAGCTGCAGTTCTGCATCTGCAGAGTCAACCAGCTGATTGAAAATACTCAAAAACAAAACCAATAAAGATAACAATACAACAATAAAAATACAAATTGCAAAAAACAGTGCGGAATAGCAACTATTTCTGTAGCACTTACATTGTATTATGTATTATAAGTAATCTAAGAATGATTTAAAGCAGTGGTCCCCAACATCTTTGGCACCAGGGAATGGTTTCCTGGGAAACGATTTTTCCACAGATGGGGTAAGGGCTGCGGGGGTGGTTTTGGTATGAAACTGTCCCACTTCAGATCATCACGCATTAGACTCTCATAAGGAGCATGCAACTAGATCCCTTACATGCACAGTTCACAGTAGAGTTTGCACTCCTACAAGAATCTAATGCTGCTGCTGATCTGACAGGAGGTGGAGCTCAGGTGGTCATGCAAGCAATAGGGAGGGGCTTTACATACAGATTTATTACATGTATTATAAATACAGATTACATTTATTATAAATACAAATATATTTACAGAGCACACTACTCATCTCTTGCTGTGCAGCCTGATTCCCAAAAGGCCACAGACCAATAGTGGTCAACAGCCCCAGGAGCTGGGGGCTCCCGATTTAAAGGATGTGCATAGGTTATATGCAAATACTAAACCATTTTATGTCAGGGACTTGAACATCCATGGATTTTGGTGTCTATGGGGGTGCTTGTACAAAACCCCAGTGGCTACTGAGGGATGACTATGCTATGATTACATAAGAGGTTTTCATTATAGGAAGTGAGTTGAAGGGTACACAGGGACTCTTATCTACTATTTTGTAACTATTAATATTTTTAAATCTATAATTACTTCTAAAAAAGAAAAAAGCCGGGCGCAGTGGCTCAGCCTGTAATCCCAGCACTTTGGGAGGCTGAGGCGGGTGGATCACAAGGTCAGGAGATCGAGACCATCCTGGCTAACACAGTAAAACCGCGTCTCTACTAAAAACACAAAAAATTAGCCGGGCGTGGTCGTGGGCGCCTGTAGTCCCAGCTACTCAGGAGGCTGAGGCAGGAGAATGGCGTGAACCCGGGAGGCAGAGCTTGCAGTGGGCCGAGATCGCACCACTGCACTCCAGCCTGGGCGACAGAGCGAGACTCTGTCTCAAAAAAAAAAAAAAAATAAAATAAAAAGAAAAAACCCTGATGGACAACCTATCTGCTAGGTTGGTTAATTGTAAAGGGGAACATCACATTAATAAATTGGTTAATTGTCACTGGAGTATCAATGGTATATGACATCCTGGGTAGCCTGCAGATGAAATCCTAATAACCACATCCCATAGGCCTTTACAGCATGTAGTGCAGTAAGCCTTGTCAAAGGCAGTGACAATGCAGGACTGAGTTCCTAAGGTTTGGATGCCAGCAAGTTCTTTCTCAGATTAAGTAGTTTTGATGTATAAGCTTGTATTTGTCCTTCAAAACATTCTTATCTTGAGAAGTCTGCTGTACCAGTTCTCATCACAACTTGGAAAACATGTGCTTGGTGTGGGTAAGAGAAGTTTTCCTTTCATGTTTATTGGAGTTGCTCTGCACAAAAACTATTAATTGTGTAGGTTTTTGGCATTTAGAAAGGAGCAGGAGATTGCCCACTTCACTGGGCTTCACTGGTTGATATTTCTTCCTTTTGCCTCACTCTAACTTCCTTCAGAGACTTGATATACACTTTTGTAGTAATGGTAATGCATTAGTGAAAATAATTTGGAAATCATTGACAGCCATTTGTCCTAACTACATTGTTTTTGGATCTATTCAAAAGATAACATAAAACCGCCCAAATCTTTCCACATAGTCCTTTGAAGGTTTTACTCTTAGAAACCTATCTTAATAAAGTATCTATACTTGTCTGTGTAACAACATGAAGAGTATTGTCCACCTGGACATGGGTCCCCAGAGTGCTCATGCAGCAGACCCTCTCAGAACTCCATCCATTTCTCCCACTGCCTTTGGAATACCCTTTGACATAATGCTGATTTCTGATCCAGCAAACAGCCCCAGTGAGTTTCCTGAAACACTGAATTATTGCCAGGTGGCTTGAGCAAATAATTCTGCAAGGCAGGGTTATCCCCTTCTAAAAGAGGTTACCTACACAATGACTTAAGCTGTTTGACAGTCAGAGATGACTTTGAGGAAACAAATCTGGAATGCTGTTGATATATTAATAGTCTGGATATTTCTCCCCACCCAAATCTCACGTTGAATTGTAATCCCCAGTGCTGGCGGGAGGTGTTTGGATCCTGGGTGACTTGGTGCGGTCTTCATGATAATGAGTTCTCAGAAGACCTGGTTATTTAATAGTGGCACCTCCCCACAACCATATCTTTCTTGATCCTGCTTTCAGCCTGTGAGATGCACCTTTCACCATGATTGTAAGCTTCCTGAGGCCTCTCTAGAAGCCAAGCAGATGCAAGCACCATGCCTCCTGTAAAGCTTGCAGAACCATAAGCCAATTAAACCTCTTTTCTTTATAAATTACCCAGTCTCAGGTATTGCTTTATAGCAATGCAGGAATGGCCTAACACAACACAACACAAACTGGAAGAGGTGGTTTACAAAGCATGAGGGGAAACAAAGTTGTATTTCCCATAGTTACTCCAGGCTGAGGTGGTTGGAGCTTTCTTTCTCTAGATGGCAGGCCTAGTAGGGCTGGAAGGCAAATAAAAAATTCAATACATAGACATATATATATAGAAACATACTGGAAGGTAAAAATTAACTGCCATGCCATCATCTACTTTGCTTCTGTGAAAAATAGGCCTGGGACAATAGCATCATAACAAGATACCTCTGAGAGAAAGAAAATGGTCCCCAACTGGTTTGGTTTATTTTGATATTTTCCCTGAGGTTAAAGCCATGTATATGCTTTCTAAAATCAGTGGAAGAGGGGGTTTTGGAAAAATGGTAGCTTAAAACCCAAGCACTGGCTGGGCGCGGTGGCTCAAGTCTGTAATCCCAGCACTTTGAGAGGCCAAGGCAGGTGGATCACAAGGTCAGGAGATCGAGACCATCCTGGCTAACACGGTGAAACCCCATCTCTACTAAAAATACAAAAAATTAGCCGGGCATGGTGGCGGGCGCCTGTAGTCCCAGCTACTCGGGAGGCTGAGGCAGGAGAATGGCGTGAACCCAGGAGGCGGAGCTTGCAGTGAGCCGAGATCATGCTACTGCACTCCAGCCTGGGTGACAGAGCGAAACTCTGTCTCAAAAACAAAACAAAACAAAACAAAACAAAACAAAACGCCAAGCACTGACTCCAATCTACCTGCCTTTCCAGAGACAAATGGCTCCTGGGCCTTACAGATAGTTGGATGTCGGGTTCCAGGAAGGCTTTGGATTCTGTGAGCATCCAGGACAGAGAAAAAGCACCAGATACCAGCGTGAGAGCTCTTGAGTGAAAAGCTGAAAGCTTGGCCCCATAGATCTCGTGGCCTCTGCCAGAGTAATCAGCTTTCACAAGGGCCTTTTATCTCCCTGGCTCCCATGAGTACAAGGAGAAAATGAATGGCTGAGCTTGATCTTCACTGTGTTTGAGCCTGAAAAGACTAGTAGGGACTGAGAACCGAAAATCTTCCTTCAACTGCCTCATCTCCATTCCATTAGCCTGGCTGCTTTTATACCATATTCCCATTGTGTTGGTGGGACAGGGGAGAGAAAAAATGCCTTCACTTCAACATGACTGCTGACACCTAGGGAAATCAAACAACTCACTCTGGACTTCAGTGAAATTATATTTAACAAAAACACATAAAGAAGCCCAGAAGCTGCTAAAAGATTAACAGTCAGGATTAATGGAATTCATGCAAACTGATACAGAATTACTAGAGGCAATGGATACCAATTTGATTTAGAAGTAAAAGCATTAAGAATCAGTCACCATCAAAATCTATTATAATCTTAACTCATTTTATGATATTTTTGCTTTAACTAAAACCTTGCCCTGCTTTGAAGTAATTGTTTCCTTTACAGCCTTTCTCAAGTGATGGCTGCATTCTTTTCCACTCCTCACACTATCTGCTGGTGTATTTCTTGTTTTTCATTGCCATTTACAGAACATTATCTGTCCTAGACCAGATTTTCTTCTGCTTCTTCAGAAGTCCCCAGTCTTGAATCATAGCATTATACTATACCATCCCAGACCCTTATTATTGCTAGTATCTACCAGCCCCTATTATCAATGTTCTCCACACCCTTATTCTCTAAACATTTTATCTCTGTGAGAACTGCTATTTTCTTCAAGTTTTTCTTTTACAAAATTTGGTTACTTTAGGATCCACAAAGATGACCCTTGAACATGCACTTCCTAGACTCCTCTCCTCTAATAATTGTGTTTTCCACCTTATCTCAGCCACTCATATTCAAGGTATTTATTCATTACCAATAGCAACAAACTGTTCCCTACTTTCAACTTTAAGCATTCCACTTCTTTTTATAATTTGCCCTAAGTCCATCATTTTTTGACCTCTTCAGACAATAATCCATTAATCCTACTGCTTTTTCATTATCCCTCGACATCCTCATAGCCTCAATTTCTTCCTTATTCAACTTAAATTCCATAGCCAATATTATCTCTCACCTTGAATCTCACTTCTCTCTGACTTTATAGTATTCCTCTGGCAATTCACTATTTAAAATTTATGCCCAAACTCAAATGCCTTTAAATATTATAAATATACAATTATTATTCTTAAGTGAGCCCTAAATGCTGACCAGCCTTCAAATTATTTTTCTATCCAGCCAATCCTTCATTCTCCTGAATGACTATTTCATAACGCCATCCAACATGCACACTCTCAGCTGAGAACACCTTGCTAGGTATTTCATTAAGATACTAGAAGCAATCAGAAAAGAACTTTCACATATTCCCACCACCATGTTTACTGACTACCCACACCTGAGGTTGTGTACTCTGACTTCTCCTCAACTTTGGGAGAACTGCCTAAGATTCTAGCAAAGGTCATCTGTTTTACTTGTGCACTCATCCCATCTTGCCTAGTTACTTGGATCCAACACTTCCCCCTTCTTCCTCTCCTCTATCTCTTATTTTGCCTTTGTTGGAATTATCCAGTTGGTATACAAACAATTACTGTTAATTCTACCTTAAAATAAAACAATCAATGAAAACAAAACCTCTAAATGCGATTTTATTCTCCAGTTAAGAGCTCATTTCTATGGTTACATTTTATAGAAAAAATATCTTGGGTATAGTTGCCATCTCCAATAATTTTCTACTTTCTTTATGAACTCACTGTATTAAAACTGCTGTTTTCAAGGTCATGTAATCATCAAATAGCTCAATCTTACAATAGATACTACTTTTTACTTCTTGCTGTAGACTGAATATTTGTATTCCCCTGACATTTACATATTGAAACTTAATCCTCAATATTATGGCATTTAGAGATGGGGCCTTTGAGAGTTGAATAGGTCATAAGGATGAAGCTCTCACTAATAATATTAGTTCCCTTATAAAAGAGTTCCCAGCGAGCGCCATTCCCTGCTTTCATCAAGTGAGGACACAACCAAAAGATGGCCATTGGTGAACCAGGAAATAGGCTCTCACCAGACACTGAATCTGTTGATACCTTAATCTTAGTCTTCTCAGCCTCCAAAACTGTGAGAAATAAATTTCTGTTGTTTATAAGACATTTCATGTATGGTGTTTATTGTAGCAGTACCAAGACAGAAATTGGTACCAATAAGTGGAGGTGTTCCTGTAACAAATACTTAAAACTGTGGAAGGGGCTTTGGAACTGGGTCATGGGTAGAGATTGGGAGAGTTTTAAGGTGCATGCTAGAAGAAGCCTACATTGCTGTGAATGGATTTTTAAAGGCTATTCCAGTGAAGACTAAGAAAAAAACTAGAAGAGTCATAGAGAAAGCTTGCATCTTCTTAGAGAGTATCTAGGTACTCATGAACAGAATATTGGTAGAAATACAGACAATAAAGGCCATTCTGATGAGGCCTCAGTCCGAAATTAGGAACATGCTGTTGGGGACTGGAGGAAAAGCTACCCTTGTTATAAAGTGGCAAAGACCTTAGCTAAACTGTGCTTGTGTTCTAGTGTGTTTTGAGAAAGACAGAACTGTGAGTGATAAAATTGTATACTGAGCTGAAACGATTTCTAAGGGAAGTGTTAGTGGAGTGGCTTAATTCTTCCTGACTGCTTATAGTAGAATGCAAGAAGAAAATGCAATTAGTTCCTTTATAAAATGGGCTTAGGCTGGACGCAGTGGCTCACACCTGTAATCCCAACATTTCCGGAGGCCAAGGTGGGTGGATCACCTGAGGTCAGAAGTTTGAGACCAGCCTGGCCAACATGGTGAAACCCTGTCTCTACTAAAAATACAAAATTGGCCGGGCGTGGTGGTGCATGACTGTAATCCCAGCTGCCCTGAAGGCTGAGGCAGGAGAATCACTTAGAACCTGGGAGGCAGAGTTTGCAGTGAGCCAAGATAGTGCCACTGCACTCCAGCCTGAGCGACAGAGGGAGACTGTCTAAAAAAAAAAAAAAAAAAAAAAAGAGGCTGTGAACCTATGAAATCAAAACAAGTTTAAGTGTTTCCAAAATACCATGGTGAGTCAGTCATAGGACAGACAGTTCCCTTCCAAAAGGGAGAAATGGGAAAGAAGAAATGATGACAGGTTCTGAGCATGTCCAAAATCCAATAGGGAAAATTCCAATAAACCTTTTTGCCTAGCTGCTGTCCTCCAGGCCCACTGGGGTGGGAGTCCCGCATTTTGGACCTACTGAGGTGGTGATCCTGCCTCTGCAGCCTTGCTGGGTAGGAGTTGAGCTCAGAAGGCTCTTGGAGGGTTTGTCCTAAGGGCTCTGGGCAGCCCTGCCACCACAGTGGCTCTCTGCCTGGGCCCATAGCTCTCCAAGGTCCTGAAGGTGCTGGTGGCCTCTCTGAAATAGTGATTTCCTTGGAGCCCTTACACTCTGGGCCTGTGGTGGGAGTGGCAGCCCTGATGACCTCTGAATTATGTGAGAGGGAAGAATCATTTTTCTCTTGTCTTGAAGTACCTTGCTTCTGTGGAGATGGCTGATTAGGTCTGTGGTATGTATTCATACTAATGGTCTTATCGAATGGCTACTTGGCTACACATTTAATGTTCTCTTCCAAACAAACTTTCTCATTTTGGGGAAGATAATTGGCTGAGAATTTTCTAAACCTTAAAGTTATGGTTTCTTTTTGCTTAACAATTTTATCTTCAGATAATTTCTTTATGATAAAAACCCACAAAAACTGGATGTAGACAGAAAACTGGATATAAATAGAATATGCCTCAAAATAATAAAAGCCATATATGACAGAGGTCCACAGCTAGTATTTTACTGAATGGCAAAAAACTGAAAGCCTCTCCTCTAAGATCTGGAACATGACTAGGATGCCCACTCTCACCACCGTTATACAACATACTACTGCAAGTCCTAGCTAGAGCAATCAGACAAGAGATGGAAATTAAGGACATCTAAATTGGAAAGAAAGAAGTCACATTATGCTTGTTTGTGGATGATATGCTCTTATATATGGAAAAACGTAGACTCACCAAAAACCTATTAGAACTGGTAAACAAATTCAGTAATATTTCATGGTACAAAATCAGCATACAAAAATCAGTAGCATTTCTATATACCAACAGTGAACAATCTGAGAAAGAAATTTAAAAGAATAATTCCACTTACAACAGCCATAAAAATGTTAAACACCTAGGAATTAACCAAATAAGTCAAAGATATCTACAGTGAAAATGTGTCTGGAATTGGTGGGTTCTTGGTCTCACTGACTTCAAGAATGAAGCCGTGGACCCTCGCAGTGAGTGTTACAGCTCTTAAGGTGGCGTGTCTGGAGTCTGTCCCTTCTGATGTTCAGATGTGTTCGGAGTTTCTTCCTTCTGGTGGGTTCGTGGTCTCGCTGGCTCAGGAGTGAAGCTGCAGACCTTTGCGGTGAGTGTTACAGCTCTTAAGGTAGCGCGTCTGGAGTTGTTCGTTCCTCCCCGTGGGCTCGTGGTCTCGCTGGGCTCAGGAATGAAGCTGCAGATCTTCATGGTGAGTGTTACAGCTCATAAAAGCAGCGTGGACGCAAACAGTGAGCAGTAGCAAGATTTATTGCGAAGAGCGAAAGAACAAAGCTTCCACAGTGTGGAAGGGGACCCGAGAGGGTTGCCAATGCTGGCTCGGGCAGCCTGCTTTTATTCTCTTATCTGGCCCCACCCGCATCCTGCTGATTGGTAGAGCGAGTGGCCTGTTTTGTCAGGGCGCTGATTGGTGCGTTTACAATCCCTGAGCTAGATACAAAGGTTCTCCACGTCCCCATCAGATTAGATACAGAGTTTCCACACACGGGTTCTCCAAGGCCCCACCAGAGCAGCTAGATACAGAGTGTCGATTGGTGCACTCACAAACCTTGAGCTAAACATAGGGTGCTGATTGGTGTGTTTACAAACCTTGAGCTAGATACAGAGTGCCGATTAGTGTATTTACAATCCTTGAGCTAGACATAAAGGTTCTCCACGTCCTCACCAGAGCAGCTAGATACAGTGTCGATTGGTGCACTCACAAACCTTGAGCTAAACACAGGGTGCTGATTGGTGTATTTACAATCCCTGAGCTAGATATAAAGACTCTCCACGTGCCCACCAGACTCAGGAGCCCAGCTGGCTTCACCTAGTGGATCCCGCACCGGGGCTGCAGGTGGAGCTGCCTGCCAGTCCTGCGCCGTGCGCTCGCATTCCTCAGCCCTTGGGTGGTCGATGGGACTGGGCGCCGTGGAGCAGGGGGTGGTGCTCGTCGGGGAGGCTCGGGCCGCACAGGAGCCCATGGAGTGGGTGGGAGGCTCAGGCATGGGGGGCTGCAGGTCCCGAGCCCTGCCCCGTGGGAAGGCAGCCAAGGCCTGAAGAGAAATCGAGCGCAGCGCCAGTGGGCCAGCACTGCTGGGGGACCCAGTACACCCTCCGCAGCCACTGGCCAGGGTGCTAAGTCCCCCACTGCCCGGGGCCAGCAGGGCTGGCTGGCTGCTCCGAGTGCGGGGCCCACCAAGCCCATGCCCACCCGGAACTCCAGCTGGCCCACAAGTGCCGCACACAGCCCCGGTTCCCGCTCGTGCCTCTCCCTCCACACCTCCCTGCAAGCTGAGGGAGTGGGCTCCGGCCTTGGCCACCCCAGAAAGGGGCTCCCACAGTGCAGTGGGGGACTGAAGGGCTCCTCAAATGCCACCAAAGTGGGAGCCTAGGCAGGGGAGGTGCCGAGAGCAAGCAAGGGCTCTGAGGACTGCCAGCACGCTGTCACCTCTCAAAAACTATAAAATACTGATGAAAGAAATTGAAGAGGACAACAAAAAATGGAAATATATTCCTTGTTAATAGACTGGCAGAATCCATATTGTTAAAATATCAGTACTACCCAAAGCAATCTAGAAATTCAGTGCAATTCCTATCAAAGTACCAATGACATCCTTCACATAAATGGGAAAAAAGTCTTAAAATTTATATGGAACCACAAAAGACTCAAAACAGCCAGTTATTTCAGCAAAAAGAACAACAGTGGGCGAGAGTTAGCGGCCTCCGGTGCGGGATGCCCGCGGAGCCTGGTGGAGCTGGCCTGCGGCTCCTGGGACCCGCTCTCCAGGCCACAGACGTGGCCCAGGGGCCCAGCCCACTAGGCAGGCCTCGCCCAGACACGATTGCCCTGCCCAAGAGGGGAAAGCGACTCAAGTCGCTCCTCTGCTCCAGCCGAGTGACTGTGGAGGATTACGCCAACTCGGATCTGGCGGTCGTGAGGTCTGGATGAGTCAAGAAAGCCGCAGCCAATGCTGTTCAGCAGGAAGTAAAATCTCTTTGAAGCTTGGAAGCCTCTCAGGTTCCTGCAGAGGAAGCTCATTCTGGGGCTCGTGAGCCCTGTGACATCATCGACAGCAGTGATGAGACTGATGCCCAGGAGGAAAGCATCCATGAGAGAACTGTCTCCAGAAAAATGAAAAGCAAGAGGCACAAAGAAGAACTGGACGGGGCTGGAGGAAAAGAGTATCCCATGGATATTTGGCTATTGCTGACCTCCTATATCCGTTGTGAGGACATTGTGGTCTGATCTCTGTACCATATGTATGAGCCATTTGCTGCTGGAATCTCCAAGAATCCAGCCATTCCAGAAAGCACCCCCAGCACATTAAAGAATTCCAAATGCTTACTTTTCTGGTGCAGAAAGATTATTGGGAACAGACAGGAACCAATGCGGGAATTCAACTTCAAGTTCAAAAAACAGTCCGCTAGGTTAAAGAGCAAGTGTACAGGAGGATTGCAGCTTCCCATCCAGTACGAAGATGTTCATACCAATGGAGACCAGGACTGCTGCCTACTGCAGGTCACCACCCTCAATTTCATCTTTATTCCGATTGTCATGGGAATGATATTTACTCTGTTTACTGTCAATGCGAGCACGGACACGCGGCATCATCGAGTGAGACTGGTGTTCCAAGATTCCCCTGTTCATGGTGGTCAGAAACTGTGCAGTGAACAGGGTGTGCAAGTCATGCTGGACCCAGTGCACAGCGTTCGGCTTTTTGACTGGTGGCTTCCTCAGTACCCATTCTCCCTGACAGCATAGTTACTGCTTCCCATCCCTTGGGGCCAGCCCCAAGTCTAAGTCCATTAGTAATCAGATTCCAGTTTGGACAGGGTGGGTGGATTGTGTATCTGGTTAGTAATGTACATGCTCTTCAGGTTCTAGGGCTCCTGTTAGGGGAGGAAGAAATGTTGAATCAAGAGGAAAAAGAACTACTATGATTTATAAACATATTTTAATGTAAAAATTTGCATTTAAAAGGAGTGGCCCTGTTTTCTGTGTTAAAACCCCATTTGGTGCTATTGAGTTTGTTCTTTATTCTTTTATCCCAGTGAAAATTGTTGATCTTGCTCTAGGGAAAAATTAAACTCTTTGAATCTCCAAACAAGAGAGAAAAAAAAAAAAAAAAACAACAACAGTGGAGGAATCACATTACCTGACTTCAAAGAGCTACAGTAACCAAAACAGCACGGTACCGGCATAAGAACAGACACAGACCAATGGAACAGAATAGAGAACCCAGAAACAAATGTAAACACCTACAGTGAACTCATTTTTGACAAAAGTGCCAAGATCACACACTGGGGAAAAGACAATTTCTTCAATAAATGGTGCTAGGAAAAGTGGCTATCTGTATGTAGAAGAATAAAACTAGACCCCTATCTCCTGCCATATATAAAAATCAAATTAAAATCAATTAAAGACCTTAATACATCAAACTATGCAACTCCTACTAGAAAACATTAGGGGAACTATCCAGGACATTGGTCTGGGCAAATATTTCTTGAGTAATACCCCACAAGTACAGATAACCAAAATAAAATGGAAAAAATGGGATCACATCAAGTTAAAAAGCTTCTGTACAACAAAGGAAACAAATGACAAAGTGAAGAGACAACACATAGAATGGGAGAAAATATTTGCAAACTACATATATGACAAGGGATTAATGACCAGAACATGTAACGAGCTCTAATAACTCTATAGGAAAAAATCTAATAAACTGATTAAAAATGGGCAAAATTTTTATTTGAATAAGCATTTTTCAAAAAAAGACATACAAATCACCAACAGGCATGTGAAAAGGTGCTCAACATTACTGATCATCAGAGAAATGTAAATGAAAACTACAATGAGATATTATCTCACCCCAGTTAAAATGGCTTTTACTCAAAAGACAAGCATTAACAAATGCTGGAGAGGATGTGGAGAAAAAGGAACCCCCATACACTATTGGTGGGAATGTAAATTATACAACCACTATGGAGAACAGTTTGGAGGTTCCTCAGAAAAATTAACAATAGCGCTATCATATGATCCAGCAATTCTACTTTTAGGTATATACCTAAAAGAAATCAGTATATCTAAGAGATATATTTGCTCCCATGTTTGTTACAGCACTGTTCATAATAGCTAAGATTTGGAAGCAACCTAAGGGTCCATCAATAGAAAAATGAATAAAGAAAATGTGGTACTTATCACAATGGAGTACTATTCAGCCATAAAAAAGAATGAGATCCTGTTATTTGCAAAAACGTGGATGGAACTGGAGGTCATTATGTTAAATGAAATAAGCCAGGTGATATGGTTTGGCTCTGTATCCCCACCCAAATCTTATGTCAAATTGTAATCCTCATGTGTTGAGAGATGGACCTGGTGGGAGGTGACTGGATCATGGCAGCAGATTTCCTCCATGCTGTTCTTGTGATAGTGAGTGAGTTCTCATGAAATTTGATAGTTTAAAAGAGTAGGACTTTCCCCCTCATTCTCTTTCTCTCCTGCCGCCATGTAAGACGTTCCTTTCTTCCCCTTCATTTTCCACCATGATTGTAAGTTTCCAGTCACCTGCCCAGCCATGTGGAACTGTGAGTCAATTAAACCTCTTTTCTTTATAAACTACCCAGTCTCAGGTAGTTCTTTACAGTAGTGTGAAAATGGACTAATATCCCAGACACAGTAAGACAAACTTCACATTCTCACTTATTTGTAAGATCTACAAATCAAAACAGTGAACTAATAGAGACAGAGAGCAGAAAGATGGTTATCAGAGGCTGGCAAGTGTAGTGAGAGGGTGAAGGGTATGTAGGGATGGCTAATGAGTAACAAAACAAATAGAAAGAATGTAGAAGACTGGTCATTTACTTTTACTTGGTTACTGAAGACATTGGTCTGTTTTCCAGAACTCCTCTCAAGTTATTTTAGCCAGTTTCAGTTTTTTTTTTTTTTTTTTTAATACATCTGTGGGTGGTGTGGACTGGGAGCATCCTGGTCTTCCATGTTGCTGATGTCACTTTTCTCAAGTCAACAGTTTTAAATACAATCCATAAACTGATGACTCTCAACTTCTAATCTCCAAGGAAGTCTTATCCCTGAATCTCATAGTTGTATCCAATTGCCCTTCTGTCATCTCATTTTAAACTTAACTCATAATCTGCTTCATTGTCTCAAATTTATTCCTGCCACCTTCTTTCCCATCTTACTAAATGGTAACTTCATTGTTTTATTTGCTCAAACAAAAACTTTGGAATCCTCATGAGTTTTCATGCAAAGCCTCAGCAAGTCCATTAGCTGTTTATTAGAAATATATCCTTTACCTGACTTTTTTTTTTTAAATCATGTTCATTGCCACAACTCAGATGCAAAATTATTATCATCTCCAATTTGGATCATCACAATAGTCTCTTGTCTTTTATTATCTTTCTCCGTTCCTTGCCACTCTCAGAAGAGTCAGAGTAATACTTGTAAAATGTAAATCATATCAAGTTACTTTAGCGTTATTGAGAATCTAGAGCAGTACAGTCCAACCAAACTTTCTGTGCTGATGTACACTGTGACAGTTTGAAATGTGGAAAGTGTGACTGAGGAACAAAATGTTATTGTATTTAAGTTTAAATAATTTTATTTTAATGTTACATAGTCATATGTAGCTACTTGCTATCTTATTGAATAGCACCACTACAGATGGACAAATATCAAATCCCAGGGACTGGTAAATATGGAAAATGTTGAAATGGTACACAGAGCTGAACTGGAGCCATCAATGCATATACTTCACTGAACAGACAAACCAGAAGTGTTTTAAACATGCCTCTCTACAAACTTTTATCAGACACTCAATCTTCTAGCACCTTGATCTTGGACTTCCCAGCCTTCATAACTGTGAGAAATAAATTTCTGCTGTTTATAAGTTTTCTGGTTTATGATGTTTTGTTATAACAGTCAGAATGTAATAAAACAAGGGGTAAATTCTGCCCGCATTATTCCACCTTGGCCAGAAGCAGGCATCCTCAGTTTCTTTAAATTGATGCTTTGTAAATTTCTATCTAGTTTTTAAGATGTTTATAGAAAAGAGGATTAGTAAAAATCACTTTAGGCTTCCGCAACTACTTGTATTCTATTCCTGATATTGTATTTTCTTTTCTGACTAGCTATCATTATGTGCTATTAATTGTAACTGGCAAATTATTTTTATTAATAACTTTAAGTCTAAAATGTTGGTATATTCCTCTAGAATGACATATTATTTTCTGATAAACTCTTATTGATACCATCATGTTTCTTACCAGTTTAATCTGGGTGAGTGATGAGGGCCAGCTTTCTGGTCCACAGGTGCCATCTAGCTGTGTCCACACATGGTGGAAGGGGCAAGGCAGCTCTCTGGGGCCTCTTTTTAAAAAGCATTAGTCCTGAGGGCTCTTTTCTCATAACCTAATCACCTCTCAAAGGCCCCACCTCCCAATGCCATCACATTCATATGTTAATTATGTTTCAACGTATAAATTTTGGGAGACACAAACGTTCGGACAATAGGACCCTCTCACCTTAAACAAGAAAATAAGCAGACAAAAATATAAAATAATGGTTTCAGACACTGGATCTCAGGCACTGTATTAGTTTGCTGGGGCTGCCATAACAAGGTAACACAAACTGGGTGCCTTAAACATCATAAATATATTATCTCACAGGTGCAGATATTAGAAGTCTGAAATCTAGATCTTGGCAGTGTTGATGTCACATGTGAGGGAAGTATTTGTTCTAAATCTCTCTCCTTGGCTTTTAGATGGTTGTCTTCTTCTCCTATGTCTATTCAAATACCCTTTCTTCTATGTGTGTCTGTATATCCAAATTTTTCTTTTTTATAAGGACATCAGTCATAATGCATTAGAGCCTGCCCTCATTGTATCTTGATTAACTTTGTAAAGATTGATCTCTAAATAAGATAACATTCTGGGGTACTGGGAGTTAGAACAACAAACTTTTTTGAGCAGACAAAATCTATCCTGTAACAGGCACTGAATAACTATGATTCCCTGAGAGACAAGAAACAAATGCAATAATCCCTATCATTTTCCTCTTTTACTGCTTGAGTTCCCAAGCTACGGTGCAGGCAAGGGGAACCCAAGTGTAGGATGGCAGACTACCAGATTTGAGGATATGGAATTTAGTCTCAGGAGACTAAGGGGACTATAACTCATGTGGGAGAGTGTCAGAAAGGAGACAGCTGCACAGAAAGATAAAGCCAGAGATTCCAGAGGGTTCCCATCAAGTATTCATCTGAGGATATATGTACAAGAAAACTACCTGTATTCGAGGGTTGCCAAGACCACCCTCAGGTTTAATCATTGCTACAAGAACTCACAGAACTCAGAAAAGCTGTTATGCTCATAGTTAAAATTTGTCACAGTGAAAGGATATAGAGTAAAATCAACCATGGGAAAAAGCACCTAGGAGAGCGTCCAGAAGAAACCGGGTACACATTTGTCTTCCCTCATTGGAGTCATGTGGACAGCACTTCATTTTACCACCAACGGTGTGTGCAACACACATAAAGTATTGCCAGACAGTGAAGCTCACTGAGCCTTGATGTCTTGTTTTTTTTTATCCAAGGCTGGTCATATAAGCTTATCTGGTCTTTGTTTCCAGCTCCTCAAGAGGCCAAGCTGATACCAGTTGGCCCAATGCCCCACCATAAGTCACATCATCAGCATAAACTTTCTGGTGCAGTCCTATATCCTCAGGTAATAAACATGTACCAGGCAAAGAAATACAACAGGAAGCTATCTCAAGGATTTAGAGGTTACCTTCCAGGAGCCAGGCAAGGGACAATTCTTTCTTTGGAATGTGCAGTGTGTGTACAGCCCAGCCCTGCTGAATTAATCCTTTATTGCATAGTACTCAACATTAGTAAAAGAACAATACAAAAGGATTAGAAAAAACAGCACCTGGGACACACACAGGGCTGGTAGTAAAGACTGGTACCACAAATAAGACTTGTAAATGTTATAATTCATTGGGGCATTGATTAGGGTATTAATTAGCCTCACACCAAATATTGCTTTGGTCTTCCCTGACAGATTTTGAGAGCAAGAACCAAAATAATCAAATTGGTTTCAAGAAACCTAACTATATTCCAGAACAACCATCAGGAATATTTTAATATTATAAAAATATCCAGCACTCTGGTACTGGTACAAAAACAGACACATAGGCCAATGGAACAGAATAGAGAACGCAGAAATAAAGTTACACACCTACAACCAACTGATCTTTGACAAAGTCAGCAAAAATAAGCAATGGGAAAAGGACTCTGTATTCAATAAATGATGCTAGGACAACTAACTAGCCATACGCAGAGGAATGAAACTGGACCCCTACCTATCACCATATACAAAAGTTAACTCAAGATGGATTAAAGATGTAAATGTGAGACCTCAAACTATACAAATATTAGAAGAAAATCTAGGAAATACCTTTCTTAATATTGGCCTTGGCAAACAATTTATGGCTAAGTTCTAAAAAGCAATAGCAACAAAAACAAAAATTGACAAATGGAAACTAATTACACTAAATAAGTTCTTCACAGCAAGAGAAACTATCAAGGGTATAAACAGATAATTTACAGAATGGGAGAAAATATTCATAAACTGTGCATTTGGCGAAGGCCTTATATCTAGAATCTATAAGGAACTGAAATCAACAAGCAAAAAAACAACCTCATTAAAAAGTGGGCAAAGGATATGAACAATCACTTCTCAAAAGGAGACATACAAGTGGCCAAGAAACATGAAAAAATGCCCATCATCACCAATCACCAGAAAAATGCAAATCAAAACCATCTCACACCAAGTCAGAATGGCTTTTGTTAGAAAGCTTAAAGACAGCAGTGGCTAACAAGGCTGTTTAGAAAGGGGAATACTTATTCACCACTGGTGGAATGTAAATTACTCCAGCCACTGTGGAGAACAGTTTGGAGATTTCTCAGAGAACTAAGAGTGGAACTACTGTTTGATCTAGCAACTATATTATGGGTTTATACCCTAAGGAAAGTAAGTCATTCTACTAAAAGGACACATGAACCTGTATGTTCATCGCAGTGCTATTTGCAATAGCAAAGACATGGAATCACCCCAGGTGCACATCAACTCTGGATTGGATAAAGAAAATGTGGTACCTCTATGCCAGGGAATACTATACAGCCATAAAAAGAATAAAATCTGCAGCAACATGGATGCAGCTGGAGGCCATTATCCTAAACTAATTCAGAAACTTGAAGCCTAATATTGCATGTTCTTACTTATAAGTGTGAGGTAAATACTGAGTACCCATGGACGTAAAGATAAGAATAATAGACACTATGAAATACAAGTGGGGGAAAGAAAGGAGGGAGCAAGGGCTGTAAAACTACCTATTGGGCACTCTGTGAACTACCAGGGAGATGGATTCATTCGTATTTCCAACCTCAGCATCATGCAATATACCTCTGTAATAAACCTCTACATGTACCCACTAAACCTGTAATAAAAGTTGAAAATATATATCTAGCAATGCTATGGTCTGAATGTTTGTATCTCCCCTCAAATTCATGCATCTATACCTAATCTCCAATGTGATAAAATTAGGAGGCATGGACATTGGGAGGTGACTAGGTCAGGAGGGTGGAGCCCTCATGAATGGAATTAGTGCTCTTATAAGGGGATAAAGAGACCACTGCACAACAACAATGCAATGGCTATCTGTGAATCAGGAAGCAGGCCCTCACCAGACTTGAAGTCTGCTTTTCCCTTGATCTTGGAGCTCTCAGCCTCTACAACTATTAAATTTCTCTTCTTCAAGCTACTCAATTTTGGCATTTTGTTACAGCAGCCAGAATGAACTAAGACAAGCACCAAACAAGGTTAAAATCACAGTATCTGGTATCCAAAAAAGTTTACCAGGAGTGCAAAGAAGCAGGCAAATGAAACCCATAATAAGAGGAAGAGTCAACCAATCAAATGTTACCCATAACTGAAACAGATGTTAAAATTAGAAGGGCATAAAACAGTTACTATAAGTATAGTTCATATGTTTAAGAAGTCATGTAAGGACATAGGACATATAAAAATGGCCTAGATTTTTTTCTAGATAAAAATAAAAATGTCTGAGATGAAAACTGCACTGGGTGTCATTAATGGCAGATTGGACATGGCAGAAGTAAAGATTAGTGAGTCACAAGATAGAGGAATACAGACTGTTCAAAATGAATCACAAAGAAAAAACTTTTTAAATTAAACGCATGATTAAGATGTGGGTTAACTTCGGCTAGGCGCTGTGGCTCATACCTGTAATCCCAGCACTTTGGGAGGCTGAGGTGGACGGATCACGAGGTCAGGAGATTGAGACTATCCTGGCTAACACGGTGAAACCCGGTCTCTAATAAAAAATACGAAAAATTAGCCGGGCATGGTGGCGGGCCCCTGCAGTCCCAACTACTCCAGAGGCTGAGGCAGGAGAATGGTGTGAACCCAGGAGGCGGAGCTTGCAGTGAGCCGAAATCGCGCCACTGGACTCCGGCCTGGGCTACGGAGCAAGACCCCGTCTCAAAAAAAAAAAAAAAAAAAAAAAAAAAAAAAAAGATGTGGGTTAATTTCAAGTAGTATAATATATGTGTGATTAGACCCCACAATGAAGATAACAGGAGAGTCAGAAACAGAATTGAAGAAATAATGGTTATTTTTTTCCTAAATTTTCTGAAAAATAAAATATCGACATACAAGAAAATTAATGAACTGCAAGCACAAGAAACGTTAAGAAACTATACCAGGAACATCATAATCAATTTTCTACAAACTAGTGAACATAAAATATCTTCAAAAAAGTCAGAGAAGAAAACACATGGAGAACAAAAATTTTTATAAACAGGGAACAAAAATAATGATGGCAGCAAATCTGTTGTGAGAAACAAGTGAAAGACTGTGGAAGAATATCGTTAAAGATTGGAAAGGGGAGGGGCGCAGTGGTTCACCCCTGTAATGCCAGTACTTTGGGAGGCCGAGGCGGGCGGATCACAAGGTCAGGAGATCGAGACCATCCTGGCTAACAAGGTGAAACCCCGTCTCTACTAAAAGTACAAAAAAATTAGCCGGAGGTGGTGGCAGGCCCATGTAGTCCCAGCTACTCGGGAGGCTGAGGCAGAAGAATGGCCTGAACCCGGGAGACAGAGCTTGCAGTGAGCCGAGATGGCACCACTGCACTCCAGCCTGGGCGACAGAGCGAGACTCCATCTCAAAAAATAAATAAATAACTAATAAAAGATTAGGAAGGGAAAATATGACCTGTGAACCCAGCATTCTTTTTGTTTTGTTTTGTTTTGTTTTGAGACGGAGTCTCGCTCTGTCGCCCAGGCTGGAGTGCAGTGGCACCATCTCGGCTCACTGCAACCTCTGCCTCCGGGGTTCACGCCATTCTTCTGCCTCAGCCTCCCGAGTAGGTGGGACTACAGGCGCCCACCACCACGCCCAGCTAATTTTTTTGTATTTTCAGTAGAGACTCAGTTTCACCGTGTTAGCCAGGATGGTCTCGATCTCCTGACCTCGGTATCCGCCCGCCTGGGCCTCCCAAAGTGCTCAGATTACAGGCATGAGCCACCGCGCCCGGCCTGAACCCAGTATTCTTAATCATACTTATGGGTTGAATTGCATCCCCCAAAACACATATGCTTGAGCCCTAACCCCCGGTATCTGTAAATGTGACCTCATTTGCCTACAGGATTATTGTATATGTAAGTAGCTAAGAAGAGAACATGCTGGGGTAGGATGGGTCCTACTCCAGGGTTTCTGGTGTTCTAATAGGAAAGGAAGATGCCATGTGAAGACATGCACAGAGGGTGGACAACAGAGAGACACAGGGAGAATGCCAGGTACAACAAAAGCAAAGGTTGGCATTGTGCAAGCAAAGGAATGCCAAAAAATGGCCAGCCTACCAGCACAAGCTATAGAGAGGTAAGGAAAGGTTATCCTTCAGGTTTCAGAGGAAGCATGTCTCTGCCAACACCTTAATTCCACCCTCTAGCCTTCGGAATTGTGAGATAATAAATTTCTGGTAGAATTTCTTAATTCTCAGGGAACCTCAATGTTTTCTCTTAAGGCCTTCAATTGATTGGATAAAGCTCACCCACTGTATTAATCTGTTTTGTGTTGCTATAAAGGTATACCTGAGGCTGGGCAACTTATAAGGAAAGAAAGTTTATTTGGCTCATGGTTCTGCAGGTCGTACAAGAAGCATGGTGCCAGCATCTGCTTCTGGTGAGGCCTTAGGAAACTTTTACTCATGGTGGTGGAAAGCTAAGGGGGAGCAGGTGTGTCATGGTGAGAGAGGGAGCAAGAGGGAGAGGAGGAGGTGCTGGGCTCTTTTTAACACTCAGATCTCATGGTAACTGATGGGGAGGGCACCAAGCCATTCACAAGGGATCTGTCCCCATGACTCAAACACCTCCCACCAGGCCCTACTTCCAACACTGGGCATCAAATTTCAGCATGAGATTTGGAGGGGACAAATATACAAATGATGTCACCCATATTATGGAGAGTAATAGGCTTTACTAAAAGCCTACTGATTTCAATGTTTATCATTGCTAAACAGTGCCTTCACAACATCAGTACTGCTGGCTGACTAAACTGGGTATCATCGCTTACCCAGAATGACACATAAAATTAACCATTTCAATTCACCCCTTGCAAATATGTATTCATACAAATTTCCTTAAGCCATACTTAATCTCCAAATAAAGACAATAACAAGGTCATAGTTCTGCCTAACATGACACAACTATGCTGTGTGTAAACAAAAACTAACCCTTTCCCCAGAAGAGGATGATAGGTGCTTAATGACATTCACTCTTCTTGATATCCTATAAATTAAATGCTATGATGTAAAGTTAACAATATTAAATACTGTGATGTGAAATGGATACATATTATGTTAGATGATAAGATGATAAAAGAGGGAAGAAAGAAAGATATATATATGGAGAGAGAGAGAGAAGAGAGGGAGGGAGACATATAGATATATGTGATATATATCACAAACATATATATAACATTACTATATACAATACACATAATATATATCACAAACATATATAATACAATAAAAAATACTCAGTCATTATTCACATTTCTGTAAGTGGTCATATGATTATACCTGGTATTTATAGCCACCTTCTTCCACTACTCAATCTTTATTTCTGGTGCCCTCAGCCAGACCATTGGTTGATTAGAGTTCTTTGCCTAGTGGAATAACCCAGACATTTATTCCAGAAGGTAGTGGGCCTAGTCCTGTCTGAATTAGGTTGTCATAGTTATCCATTGAATTTATCACAGTGCGTGTTAGTAGTAGAAGTCACCCAAAGGGATCTCCTGTTTTGCAGAATACTCTTTCTTACCTCATTTGTGGAGTAACAGTCTAATTTCCCCTTGGTAATTAGTGTCAATCATCACAGTCAGTATGTTAATTGCCTTCCTTACCCATTGATTCTGAAACATGAGGATCTCAAACTATCTGGGTGGCAGTCTAAATGTTCACACTAATAGAGTCATTGTTGTGTTTCCCGGCAGAAACACTGCGTAAAGGGAATGTAAATCCACATCCACAGTAAGTGTGTGTTCCAGTTAGAACAAAAAACTGACGCTGCCATGATGGGAGTGGGGCCATGTAATCAAACTTCCTCTAGGAAGCTAGATGTTTAACCAAGATATGGTGCCATATCAGGGACTCAGTGTTGGTTCCTACTGCTGGCCGATTTGGCAGTTAGTTGTTGCTGCAGTCATGCTGGCCTTGGTGAGTGAAAGTCCATGTTTCTGAGCCCATGCATAGTCTTCATTCCTGCCACTGTGGTTATTTGGTTCATGAGACCAGTGGGCAATGACAGGAATGGCTGGGGAAAGGGGCCAGCTAGAATCATAGAACAGATCACACTGTCCACTTAATTGTTGTAATTCTCCTCTTCTAAGGTCACTGTTTGATGAGCATTCACATGAGACACAAATATATTCGTGCTCTTTACCCACTCAGAAATGTCTATCCACATATCTCTTCCACAGACCTTGTAACCAGTTTTCAAATTGTATTTCTTTCAAAGTACCTGACCAACCAGCCAAACCACTTGCCATAGCCTGTGACTCAGTCTGGCCATTTCTCCTTCCAAGTACAATGAATAGCCAGGTTTACTTCTTGACCATGGCTACTGGGAGGATTTGTGTTCACCACTGTCCTTTAGGAATGTTCCAGAATGGGACTGTAGTGCTATGACTGCCTATTACAAAGAACCCCCTAGGGCCAGGTAGATGTTTTCTCCTTCTCTGCCAACCAATCACAGACAAGTCTCCATGAGGCTGTAGAGGCAGGATGAGAGAGAGAAGATAATATAGCCAAAATGGAGCCCATGGGCATTTGGGCCACTTACTCATATAAATTACTTGCATTTTCAGAGTCTGCTCAGACCCAGTTTTGTACAAAACATTTCCATTTGATGACGGAGTTCTGCTGTGCACACCCAACTCTGTGGCCTGGTGGGTCAGACAACACTGAGTTTATAATGGACACCTTAGATTGCACGGTAAGTTGATACCCCATGGTTAAATGTTTAGTCTCTACTAAGACCCAGTAGCAAGCCAAAAGCTGCTTCTTTAAGGACAGTAATTATCCACAGAGGATGGTAGGACTTGACTCCAGAATCCTACGGGTCTGTGTTATAATTTACTTTCAGTAGCCTGCCAAAGGCTGAAAAAGCATCCTTATCTGCCACAGCCACTTCAATACCACTGACTCGGTTGGATCACCTGGCTCGAGTAGCAGAGCAGCTTGCACAGCAGCCTGGAACTGTTGCTGAACCTTTTCTTCTTCTGGGCCCCACTCAAAACTAGCAGCTTTTAAGTTCACCTCATTAAATGTGCCAGAGTGGCACAATCAAATGAAGAATACGTTGCTTCCAAATTACAAAGAGGCCAATTAGACATTGTGCCTTTCCCTTTGATTGTAGGAGGGGCCAGATGCAATAAGTTATTATTCATCTTAGAAGAATTATCTTGACATGCCCCCAATACAACTGGAACCCAAGTTTACTGAGGCCAAAAGCCCCTGAGTTTTTTTTTTAATTTGTTTCCAACCGTTTGGCACACAAATGTGTTACCAATAAGTATAGATTAGTTGCTACTTTTTGCGAACTAGGACCAATCAGCATAATGTTATCAATGATTAACAGACCAACATAAAATCTTGTAGAACATCAAGGTCCCTATAAATTATTTATGACATAAAGCTGGAGAGTTGTTGTACCTTGAGGTAGGACAGAGAAAGTGTATTGCAAACATTTTCTGGTAGTCTTTAATCTTAGATATGAAGGAGAAAAAGGCATTTTCCAGACAAATGGCTGCATGTCATAAACCAGGGTATATTTTAATCTATTCAAACAATGAAACCACAACCGGTATAGCAGCTGCAAGCGGAGTTACCAGCTTGTTAATGTTAAGATAACCCACTGTTATTCTCAAAGATACATGTTTCCAGCACAGGCCAAGTAAGTAAGTTGAATGGGGATGTGGTGGGTCTCACCATTTCTACACCTTTTTTTTTTTTTTTTTTTTTTTTTTTTGAGACGGAGTCTTGCTCTGTCGCAGTGCAGTGGCGCGATCTCGGCTCACTGCAAGCTCCACCTCCTGGGTTCAGGCCATTCTCCTGCCTCAGCCTTCCGAGTAGCTGGGACTACAGGCACCTGCCACTACACCCGGCTACTTTTTTTAATTTTTTTAACTTTCAGTAGAGACGGGGTTTCACTGTGTTAGCCAGGATGGTCTCGATCTCCTGACCTTGTGATCCGCCTGCCTCGGCCTCTCAAAGTGCTGGGATTACAGGCGTGAGCCACCGCACCCAGCCCCATGAAAGACTGTTTTTAAAATCTGTTTTAGGTTTACAGAAAAATTAAGAGAAAGGTACAAAGATTTTCCACATATCTCCTACCCACCTATACATGATTAGCCTCCTTCATTATCAACCTTTGCTACAAGAGTGGTGCATTTGTTACAATTGATAAGCCTACATCGATACATCATTATTACCCAAAGTCCATAGTTTACACTAAGGTTCAATCTTGTATTATACATTCTATGGGTTTGGACAAATGTATGATAACATGTATCCATCACTACACAGTATTTTCAATGTCCTAAAAATCTTCTGTGCTCTGCCTATTCATCCAATTACTGGTATTTTCACTGTCCTCATAGTTTTACCTTTTAGAGACTGTCGTATAGTTAGACTCATAGAGTATGTAGCTTATCAATTATTTCTTTCATGGATCATGCCTTTGGTGTTGCATCTAGAAAGCCATCAGCATACTCAAGGTCATCTATGTTTTCTCTTGTATTATACTCTATGAGTTTTATAGTTTTGTGGTTTACAGTTAGGTCTATGGTCCATTTTGGGTTAATTTCCATGCAGGGTTAAGGTCTGTGCCCAGATTCAATTTTTTTTTTTTTTTCAAAAGGATGCTTGTTTGTTGAAAAGACTACCGTTTCTCCATTGTGTTGTCTTTGCCCGTTTGTCAATGATCAGTTGCCTGTATTTATGCGTGTCTGTTTTGGGGCTCTCTATTCTGTTTCATTGATCTATTCCTCTATTCTGTCACCAATACCACACTAATCACTGTAGCTTTATGGTAAGTCTTGAAGTAGGGTAGTGTCAATCCTGCAACACCGACCGCACTTTTCAGGTTTTTGACGGCAGCAGTGATCTTTGCAATCCCTCCAGGTATATGGTACGGTTTTGTTTTACTATGTTCCTAGGTAGAGGCAGTTACAGTGGTTTCTACTTGGCCTTTCCTATGATAATAGCCCTCGCTCCAGAGGTTAGGGAACCAATTTGTAGATTTGACCTGCTGCTATTTCTACTCCAATTATGCTTCTTGGAACTGGGAAAATAACCACAAGATGGATTTAGGCACACCCTGGGCCCACTGTGAGATAGACTTCAGCTAAAACTCTATTGATCATTGACCCTCATAGGCCCTTCCTGTAACTGATAGACCACAGTGATGTTTTGAGCCTTTTGACATTAATGTCAGTTGAGAGTCAGTGTTTAATTGTCTCCAAACATCTGATTATCTCTTTTTTCCCAAGTGCAGTTACTCTAGTTAAAGGCTGTTGGGGCTGGGCGCAGTGGCTCATGCCTGTAATCCCAGCACTTTGAGAGGCCGAGGCAGGTGGATCATGAGATCAGGAGTTCGAGACCAGCCTGACTAACATGATGAAACCCTGTCTCTACTAAAAACACAAAAGTTAGCTGGGTGTGGTGGCACACATCTGTAATCACAGCTATCCAGGAGGCTGAGGCAGGAGAATCGCTTGAACCTGGGAGGCGGAGGTTGCTATGAGCCAAGATCGCGCCACTGAATTCCAGCCTGGGCAACACAGTAAGAGTATGGCTCAAAAAATAAATAAATAAAATTAAAAAATAAAGGCTGTTGGTTCCTTTAAGGGAGGACTGCAAGAAAGATTAACAATATATATATTTTTCAATGTACCAGGATCCCTCCCCCAGGAAACGAGACTCCCCTTCATTCAAGGGAGTATAGGTCTGTAAACTGGCTCTGATCTAAGATTTGACTGACAGCCACATATATAAGTAAAAAAACTTATGCCTGGTTTACAGATGGTTCTGCACAATATGGAAAAACCACCAAAAGTGAACATCTGCAGCACTGTCGAGCTTTTCTAAGATATATCTCTGACAAACTCTGTGGAAGGGAAATCTACTCAGTGGGCAGAACGTTAGACAAGGCACTTGGCTGTGCACTTTTCTTGGAGGGAGAAAAGGCCAGCTGTGAAATTATATGCAATTCCTGGGTTGTGACCAATAGTTCAGCTGGAGGACCAGGGACTTGGAAGGAATATGATGGAAGACTGGTGACAAAGACATTTGGGAATGACATGTGGGGACAGATCTCTCTGAGTGGGAAAAAAATAATGTGAAGATACGTGTATCTTATGTGAATGCTCACCAAAGGATAAACAATTGAGGAGAATTTTAATAATCAAGAGGACAGGATGACCCATTCTGTGGATACCACTCAGCTCCTTTCCCCAGCCACCCCTGTCATTGTCCACTGGCTTCATTTAAAAAGTGGCCATGGTGGCAGGGATGGAGGTTATGCATGGGCTCAGTAACATGAACGTAATCACCAAGGCTGACCTGCCTGTGGCCAGCACTGAGTGTCCAATCTACCCACAGCAAAGACCAACACTGAGTCCTTAATATGGCACCATTTCCCAAGGTGATCAGCCAGCTACCTAGTGGTAGATTACATTGAACGACTTCCATAATGGAAGGGGCAGCATTTTGTTCTTAGTGGAACAGATAGTTACTATGGACATGGATTCAACTTCCCTACATGCAATACTTCTGCTGCCAACTAGCATCTGTGGACTTACAGAATGCATTATTCACCATCATAGTATTCCACACAGTATTGCTTCTGATCAAGTAGCTCATTCAATGGTCAAAGAAGTGTGGTAATGGGCTCATGCTCATGAAATTCAATGGTCTTACCATGTCTCCCACCATCCCGAAGCCTGGTCTGGTAGAATGGTGGAATGGACATTCAGAGACTCAGTTATAGTGGCAGCTATGTGGCAACAGCTTGGAGGGCTAGGAAAAACATTTCCAGAAGACTATATATGCTCTGAATTTGTGACCAATATATAGTGCTGTTTCTCCAATATTCAGAATTTACAATTTCAGAAATCAAGGGGTGGGAAAGGGAAAGGTATCCTTCAGTATTACACCTAGTGTTCCACTAGCAAAAATTTTTCTCACTATTCCAGTGAATTTATGTCCTGCTGGCCTAGAGGTCTTAGTTGGATATGAAGAAATGCTTCCAACAGGAGACACAATAATGATTTGAAGTAAAATTTAAGACTGCCACCCCATCACCTTGGGTTTCTCATACCTCTCCATTAATAGGCAAAAAGAGAGTTATGTTATTGGCTGGGGCAGTTGGTCCCAACTTCCAAGTGGAAACTGGACTGCTACCCCACAGTGGAGGTATGGAAGCATTATGTTCATAATACAGAGGATCCCTTAGGGCATTTCTTGGTAGTGCCATCCCTGTGATTAAGATAAATGGAAAACTGCAGCAAGCTAATCCAGGCAGTAATACTAACAGCTCAGATGATACAGGAATGAAAGTTTGGGTCGGTCTACTAGGTAAGGATCTAATAAAAAGCTGAGGTGCTCACTGAAGGCAAAGGGAATATAGAATGGGTGTAGAAGACGGGAGTTATAAGCACCTGCTAGGACCACATGGTGAGTACAGAGACCAAGGCTGTAACTGTCATGAGTATGTCCTTCTTATATTTTCTAAATATGTTGTGTTCATATATGTCTATATTAAGCAAATATCTTTGTTTTTCCCCTCTCTTAGTCCCTTATTATGTATAATAACATGTGTTGACTTTACTTAATAGTCTTTAAGTATTATTGATTTTACATAGTAGTATTTATGTTATACAATGTCAGGAGAAGAGTAAACATTACTCATGGACTTCACCTCTTCCTGGGAAGGGATTAGTGCATTTATGGCTGTAAACAGGGTAGTTATATGATGTTGGGCAGAAATATGACCTTGTCATTGTCTTTGTTTGGAGATTAAGTATGGTTTAATGAGAAACACATGGGTACAAAGTTGACAAAGGGTAGACTTGTGATGGTTAATTTTATTTGTCCACTTGGCTGGGCTAAGAGACCCTTAGCTGGTAAAACATTATTTCTGAGTGTTTCTGTGAGGCTGTATCTGAAAGACATTAGCATCTAAATCAGTGGACTGAGTAAAGATGATGGCCCTCACCAGTAAAGGTTGGCATCCTCCAATCTGCACCTGGGACTACAGGCGCCCGCCACCACACCCGGCTAATTAGAAAAAATCATGGAGGAAAGGCAGGGTTTTTTTTTTGTTTGTTTGTCTCTGCCAGATCTGGGATCTCTATTTTCTCCTGTTCTCAGGCATCAGTGTTTTAGATTCTGGGACCTTCAGACATGGACCTAGACTTACACTGTCAGTCACCCAGTTCTCAGATCTTTGGATTCATACTGGGGCTTACACCATTAGCACCCCTAGTTCTCAGAACTTTGGGTTTGGACTGGAATTGCACTACATGCTTTCCTAAGTCTTCAGCTTGAAAACAGTAGACTGTGGGACTTCTCAGTGTCCATCACCACCTGAGCTAATTCCTCATAATAACTTTGTTCTAGATATCTACATATATCCTGTTGGTTCTGTTTCTCCAGACGACATTGACTAATATATGGCTTATGATAGCTCTATGAGCTTTGGTGTCAGTTGAGCCTAAGTAGAAAACCCACTTCACATAAGCACTGTAGGCTGATTGGCTAAAAGTATTACTTGTTAGCCCAGTAACACCTTAGTGGAATTGCAGAAAAGGTAACAAGATTTTCACATACACAAAAATAGGCATACTATACATAACTAAATATAGCTTCAGTTATACCCCCAAGAGACTTCAAAAAATTTAAAATTTATATGCCTCTTCCAATTATTGTAAGCTAACAAATAATTATAGTTTGATTAAGCTGATAAATACATCAAATACTTGCTAAATCTGAATTTAGGAAAAAACAAGGTTTACCTATGAATTAATATAATGGCCTGATTTACTTGGTTAAAAATATAAAAGGCAAAAGAATGCTAACAGAATGTTGACATTTTAAAAAGCAATTTTTAAAGTTTTAATATTTGGCTTATAAACATGGGAAAATAGTTTGGGTACTTTTAATAATCAAGGTAAGGTAAAGGTAAGACTTGTAGAGTGGGTGAATCTCGAACTTGGCAAACCTTCTCTCCAGAAAGCAATGGTAACGTTTGGTTAAAATGTAGAAACAACCTTTTTTTTTTTTTTTTTTTTTTTTGAGACAGAGTCTCGCTCTGTCGCCCAGGCTGGAGTGCAGTGGCACAATCTCGGCTCACTGCAAGCTCCGCCTCCCGGGTTCACGACATTCTCCTGCTTCAGCCTCCTGAGTAGCTGGGACTACAGGCACCCGCCACCACGCCTGGCTAATTTTTTGTATTTTTAGTAGAGATGGAGTTTCACCGTGTTAGCCAGGATGGTGTCAATCTCCCGACCTCGTGATCCACCCACCTCGGCCTCCCAAAGTGCTGGGATTACAAGTGTGAGCCACCAGGCCTGGCCCCAAACAACCATTTAAGCACTTCGGAGATTAACCAAAACAACAAGTTGAGACACATTTTCTTAAGAAATTCTAAAATCTCAGTTAGGGCACTTGGATTTGTTGGCATTCTAGCCTGGAGCTATTCCCAGTACCCTCCTCCTTGCCCCCGTGTGGCAGGCATTAAGGAATGGCAGCTCCACTGCCATAAGGATCTGACTTTATTTAAAGCAGAACACAGAAAGTTTCATGCCAGGGGCATTGCCAAAAACAGGAGTGACCTTAGTGGCAAAAAGTCAGGGAAAGCCAACACCATAGCCAGCCTGAGATAACAATACTGGTTGGGGAAGTAACAGACTGGCATCTCAGTCAGAAATTTAGAAGGCCAATCCAGGAAATGAGACAGCCAGAGTTAGATTTAATAAGATACTACTTATCTGTGATGGTCTGGAGGGCTGTGCCCATATACAATGTTGCACACATGCCCAGGAGACACCACAGAGGGCTCTAGCAAAGGGACTCATTCCTGGCTGGATCTGAGGCCTTACTAACATAGAAAGTAAAAGCTAGGACAGATGTGTAAACTGCCTAAATATTGAATGTGTTTTTGTTTTTTTGTTTGTTTGAGACAGAGTCTCGCTCTGTCGCCCAGGCTGGAGTGCAGTGGTGCCATCTCGGCTCACTGCAAGCTCCGCCTCCCAGGTTCACGCCATTCTCCTGCCTCAGCCTCCCGAGTAGCTGGGACTACAGGTGCCCACCACCACGCCCGGCTAATTTTTTATATTTTTAGTAGAGATGGGGTTTCACCGTGTTAGCCAGGATGATCTCGATCACCTGACCTCGTGATCCGCCCGCCTTGGACTCCCAAAGTGCTGGGATTACAGGCATGAGCCACTGCGCATGGCCCAATATTGAATGTGTTTTCTATGCCACACACGGATCCGTTGGCAGATGGTGGAAGCCTTACTAGCTCACAGAATTTCAGTACTGCCTCTAACCAGTCATTGACCATTAAGGTATGCTGACCTGGGGCAACTCCTAATAAGCCAGGCATGAAAATGAAAATATGATGAGGGAGAAAAAAATAGCAAAGGCACAAGCAGCCACACACTCTGGAGGAATTAGAATTAGCTCAGGCAAGTCATTGAACAAACAATAACTACTTCTGAGAGAAATAGAATTCAGGGTTGATATAATATCTTACAGAAAATGTCCAGTTTTCAACAACAAAAACATGAGACATGCAAAGAAACTACAAAGTGTGATCTAGACACACACATACACAATAATAGCAGTCCACAGAAAATTGTAAAGGGGACCCAGATGTTGGATTTGACATACACAAACTTCAAAGCAACTAGTATAATTATGTTCAAAGAAGTGGCAGAAGACATTTTTGAAGAAGTAAAGAGTGATGAAACAACTCATCAAATAGAGAATATAAATACAGAAATAAAAATTTTTGAAAGGACCAAGTAGAAATTCTAGCATGGAAAATTACAGTAACAGAAATAAAAATTCACTGGAAAGGGTTCAAACACATTTTATTTTGCAGAAAGAAGAATCAGGAAACTTGAAAAGAAATGAATAGAAATTATTCATCCTAAAGATCTGAAAGAAAAAAGTAGAAGAAATAGGGACTATCTTAGAGACTTGTGGGAAGACAAGAATGTGTATATATCTTTTTCTTTTTTTACTCCCTGAATATGAGCATTTACATGAATAGATTTCCCAATGTTTAAATTTGCTTTTATGCCCAGAATGAATACTTCTTGGTTGATATATTTTTATCACATATATGTTGCATATGTTTTATTCATAATTAGACTATAGTTGTTAATGTTTTAATTACAGTATTTGAATCTAAGTTTATGAGTGACATTAGCCTTTTTATTCCAGTCTTGTAATGTCCTTAGCAGGTTAAGCTGTTATTCTACAATGAATTTGGAAATGTTTACTCATTTCTTCTCTGTGCAAGTATTTGCATAAAACTGACATTATTTTTTATCTTAAAATAATTTTTAGAATTCATCATACAGCCATCTGAGACTGGAGATTTTAGAGAAGGAGAAGCAAAACTTTTATTGATACAATCACTTTCTTTAGGAACTAGAGTAAAATTTATTTTTCTTATTTCTTTTCACGTCATTTCCAGTAGTTTATATTTTTCTAGGAATGTAACAAATTTATTTACTTTTGAAATTTAACAGTATAAAATTCTTCACAATATAATCTTATCTTTTTGGTGTTTGCATCAACTGTAATGATACCAGCCATTTCATATATGATACTATTTGGGTATTTTCTACTTTTTTTGGGAAAAGAATTATCAGTGGTTTGCGGCCAGGCGCAGTGGCTCACACCTGTAATCCCAGCACTTTGGGAGGCAGAGGTGGGCAGATCACCTTAGGTTGAGAGTTTGAGACCAGCCTGACCAACATGGAGAAACCCCGTCTCTACTAAAAATACAAAATTAGCCGGGCATGGTGGCGCATGCCTGTAATCCCAGCTACTCTGGAGGCTGAGGCAAGAGAATGGCTTGAACCCGGGAGGCAGAGCTTGCAATGAGCCGAGACCGTGCCACTGCAGTCCAGCCTGGGTAACAGAGCAAGACTCCATCTCAAAAAAAAAAAAAAAAAAAAAAACTAAAAAGGAAGCACCAGCCGGGTGCGGTGGCTGACACCTGTAATCCCAGCACTTTGGGAGGCCAAGGTGGGTGGATCACAAGGTCAGGAGATCGAGACCATCTTGGCTAACACAGTGAAACCCCGTCTCTACTAAACATACAAAAAATTAGCCAGGTGTGGTGGTGGGCACCTGTAGTCCCAGTTACTTGGGAGGCTGAGGCAGGAGAATGGCGTGAACCCGGGGTGCAGAGCTTGCAGTGAGCCAAGATCGCGCCACTGCACTCCAGCCTGTGCAACAGAGCGAGAGTCTGTCTCAAAAAAAAAAAAAAAAAAAAAAAAAGATGTTACCTTAGTTTCCATAGGAGATTTTAACTTCTTTGGACATTGTTTAAAGCTATAATTACTGTCTAGCTTATCAAGTCACTTACATATGTCTCAGGGCTACCTTGAAAGAACTGAAGATTTTCCTTATTTTCGTGCTCGAGGCAACCCACAGGCCCCTAAGAGGAGTCCAAGCTCCATCTTATATACTAGGATCATTGTGTAGCAAAAAGTGAGCTCAGAAAACATACTAGAATTCCTAATATCAAAGAAATAATATCAAAGGAAGAAACACAATAAATATCCCATTTCATATTTGTTAGTGCCTTAGGAGGGGCAGCCCATTGGCATTGTTGGGGAAGCTAAGCGTACAAGGTAAAGTAATCTCCAGTGCAGGAGGTGAAGTCATCTCCAATGGTGAAGTATTGGTCTGGGGCAATGTTCTCTGAAGTTAAGTCATCTCCAGCAGTGAATTCCTGGACTAGGCAGACCACTGTCATCTGGGATGTGAGACTGGGATATCCTTCCCAAGTGGATAGCCACTAGGGTTGGTATGAATCATGTTTTTGTTCCTCTATTGTATTATAACAAGGCTGAGCCACTTGAGGAATTTGAAGGCAATGTTGTGCCTGGGAATTTGACTTGCAAATATTCTTAAGGTCAAGGGGCTTTGTGGGTGCACAGCTAGCTAAGGTAATGTCTGCATCTAACATGCTGCTGTAACTGTACCAAAGTGCTGGAACTTGACTGGCACAATTAACACTATAATTAATAGCGTCTAAATCTGAATCTCCCAATAGTCCAAGGTTTTTCTCAGATGGGTGATAAGAAACATTTTACTACAAATAGGTTTTAAATCACACAGCCTGATTTGCGTGTATGTTGTTAATAAGGTGTCAGGTTTTTTTGCCAATTAAAATCTTGAGGCTGAGGTTGGATATCCATCATTAGATTGTAGGTGGGTCCTCCAATTTAGCCACTTAGTATGAACTCTTTTCTCCAGTTTTTGGTTTGTTGGTGATAGGCAAGTGGATGAGGTTTGGGGCTGTATTAACAATACTTGATGGCTTGTGGACCACAGGATTTGCTATGTCTATTTGAAACAATGGCTTACTTGGAGGGTTTGGACTACCAGATTGCAATGAAAACACCCAAATCAATAGTAATAAAACCAATTGTCAACATAATAGTGTGTAGCAACACTTGATGCTTTTGTTATCTAATGATGATTATTTTTCTAGTGTATATTATTACCAGGGCAGGTATATGCAAACCTACCCTCAAAGGCTGAGGGAGCTGAAAGGCCAAAGAGGCTGACAAATCCGTATTCTTAGAAAGAAACGTTTAATATGAACAGAAGCTATGTTTCAGGCGGCCACTAGAGGGTGAATCCTTGCACTCGCCCTCTAGAAAGTATTCTTTATATAGCAAGCCTTCTTTGGGTAAAACATTTGCAGCTGGTTATGTCTGAGACCCCTTAGTGAAACTGGTGACTACTGGGGAAGTTAGATAAGCATCTTTATGAAGGGTTAGCTATGCTGCAGGGATTGTTTCTTTATGAGGGGTTAGCTATGTTGCAGGCATTGTTTTTATATGACGAGTTATCTATGTTGAAGGCATTGTTGCTACATGATGAGTTAGCTATGTTGCAGGCATTGTTTCTATTCGAGGAGTTAGCTATGTCGCAGGCATTGTTTTTGAGGGGTTAGCTATGCTGCAGGCATTGTTTCTATATGAGGAATTAGCTATGCTGCAGGCACTGTTTCTTTATGAGGGGTTAGCTATGCTGCAGGCATTGTTTCTATATGTGGAGTTAGCTATGCTGCAGGCATTGTTTCTTGACCTTGCTGCTGGAATGCCTTGGTATGCTGGAGTGAAACATCAGTCCTTATGGCAGTTTTGCTTCAAGATGGCATTACTCTTGCCATGCAACAGGCTGTTTTCCTACAATAATTTTGGAATATAGTGTTTATTCTCTCAATATCTGAATGTGAGTTTAAGTTACAAACTGTAGTTTTCTATCTTTCATTCTGCCATTTTTCGGGCTGGCTTTTGGGCAATAATTTTAATTTCTGAGTGTAATCAGAGGACGAGCTCAGATAAATTATCCATCCCTTATAAAATGAAAATTGAGGAAAATTTGGGGGGTAAGTTTAGGTTGAAGTGAGTTCCATATCAGATGAACAGGTGCCTGTCTTGTGAAACAATCTGATTAGCAAAAGTACCTAAGAGAGTTGTATCCTCAATCTGGGATCCGTTTGAATCTCCCTTTAAATATAGATAATGGTGATGAGAAGATTTTTTAAAGTTGCTATAAGCCAGTTCTGCATCTTTAACTTAAGAGAGATTAAGGTCTGGGACAAGATAGAGGCCACTTAGGAATTCATTTATTATTTTGTAACTTAAGTAGGAGTCATTTGAAGAGCCCACAAGACTTCCCAATTAATCCAGCTTCCTGGGGGCCTATTGGGAAAATATAATTTCATTGAATGTTGTTTCTAAGAGACCACCATTGTATTTGAGAGTAAAATGTATACCTTGGAGCTATAAACTGTTTCTGTCCTTCCAAAATTCATGTGTTGCAATCCTAACCCCAAATGTGATGGTACTGGGAGGCAGGATCTTTAATAGATGATTAGGCCATGAGAGCAGAGCCATCACAAATGGAATTAATGTGCTTATAAAAGAGTCCCCAGAGAGCAAGCTTGACCCTTGTGCCATATGAGGACTCAAAAATATAGTACCACCTATGGATGGGAAAATTAACCCTCACTGGACACAAACTTGGTGGCACCTTGATTTTGGACTTCCCAGCCTTCAGAAGGTGAAAAATACATTTCTTTTGTTCATAAACTATTCAGGCTATTGTATTTTGTTAGAGAATCCCCCAAAGACTAAGACAAAATATTGGTTCCAAGAAGTTAGGGTGTTGCTGTAATAAATAATGGAAATGTGGTAGCAGCTTTGAAACTAGGTAATGACTAGGAGCTGGAATAGTTTTCAGGTGCACGCTAACAAGCACTTATGTTTCCACAAGTGGCTTTAAATGATTAATTCCAGTGAGGGCTCAGAAGGAGAGGAGGAGAGCTGCAGAGAAAGGGTAAATCTTCTTTGAGAATGCCAAGATGGCCATAAACCCAATGTTCATAGAAATATGGATGATAAAAGCCATTCTGATGAGGTTTCAGACAGAAATGAGAAACATGTCATTGTAATTGGAAACTGGAAGAAAGACAATTCTCATTATAAAGTGACAAAAAATTGGATGAACTGTGTTCATATTCTAGTGTTTGATGGAAGGTAGAATTTTTGAGAAAATGAATGGATATTTTACAAAGGAAATTTCTAAGTCAAGTGTTGAAGGTGGAGCTTGGCTTTTCTTGAAGGCTTATAGTAAAATTCAAGAAGAGAGAAATGGCCTAAATGTTATTGTTAATCAAAAGGGAAGCAGATCTTAAAATTTTTGATTCTCAGCCTATCCACATTGAAAAAAAATAAGAAAGCTGTCCAGGTGTTGTGGTTCACACCTGTAATTCCAGCATTTTTGGAGGCCAAAGTGGGAGGATCATTTGAGGCCAGGAGTTCAAGATCGGCCTGGTCACCAGAGTAAGACTCTGTCTCTACAAAAAATTTTAAAATAATTTAAAAATTTAGTCAAGTGTGGCAGCACACATCTGTAGTCCCAGATATTTGGGAGGCTAAGGCAGGAGGAATAGTTGAGCCCAGGGGTTTAAGACTGCAGTGAGCTATGATTGCACCATTGCACCCTAGCCTGGGCAACAGAGCAAGACCCTGCCTAGAAGAAGAAGGAGAAGGAGAAGGATTCATCCTCCTTTTAGGGAGAGAACAAGGGCATGGTCAAGTGACCATTTGATAAGGAGACTGGTATGGATTGGGAATCTAACACAAGCCAAGTGCTATTTCTCAAAACAATGACAGAATGACCAGGAAGGAATTTTGGAGATTATGGAATCTGTCTCTCTCATTACAGGCTTATGCAAGGACCTGGAGGGAAGAATGATTTCAAAGCTCTGCTCCCTGAATTTGAGCAAAATTGTCCTTGGCCACACCGGCTGTGGCTCCAGTGTGCCCAGGTGCAGCACAGGACATGGTGGTCTGCCCTCCACACAGCACAGATGATAAACCTTGGCAGGGTACATGTGGTGCCATCTCCAAAGAAGTACAAAATGCATAAACCATGGGGGTATGGCTACCCCCACATAGATTTTGAAGAATGAAGCCAGGCAGAGCCTCAGGCTCAAGACTCAAGCAGTGGGCTATCGTAAGGTTGGAGCCAACACAGAGAGTTGCCACTAGGGTTATGCCTAGCAAAACCATGGGGCCCCTCCTCCAAAATTCATATGTTGAAATACTAATTCCCAATGTTATAGTATTAGGAGGTAGAGTCTCTGGGAGGTGATTAGGCAGAACTCTCATGAATGGTATTAATGCCCTAATAAAACAGACTCCAGAGAGCCAGCTCACCCTTCTGTCATATAAGGACTCATCAGAAAGGCACCATCTATGCATCAATAAATGGGCCCTCAGCAGGTATCAAATCTACTGGCACCTAAATCTTGGACTCTCCAGTCCCTGGAACTGTGAGAAGTAAACATCTATTCTTTATAAAGTACTCAGTCTTTACTTTTTGTTATGGCAGCCTGAATGGAGTAAGATACCTCTCTTTCCAGAGAAAGCTGGATTTAGTTAAGATCTTTCCTGCAAAGATTGTGTGTGATGAGGAAGCTTTTTTCCACACAGTAGTCTGGAAGGGCCTATTGTATCCCTTTGGAGGTGAAGTCAAACTGAGGCTGAGAAATTTTTGAAATAGATACTGAACAATACATATTAGCCACTTCCATAATAGGAAAATCTTTATTGGTTGCCGATTGAATAGAATCAGAAATTTAAATGCATAGGGTGATGGGCCCCCCACCAGGTTACTTAAGGGTGTAGGTCTTCTGCTTGGCCCCTGAGGGCCAACTGGTGAGCCAAGGCAATGGTTTCCAGCTGAGGAACAGGTGTTCCTGGGAACCCAAACATCCTGGAGTGTACAGGTAACCTACCAAGAAAAAATAATCTCATTGCATGCAGTAGGCAATGACCCAAAAAATTAGCTTAAAAGCAGCTTAGAAATGTGTGGCAGGGAAGGTCTCTGGAGTTTTCCTGTTGCTGCCCAGGAATGTCCTGTATGTAAGTCCTAAAAGCCTCATGTACTCATCAAGCTGGACTTGTCCAAGTTATTATTTGGTCACTTAGCCCCTTCCCAGGGTGTGGGGACATTCTTCTAAATAGTCCTGTTTTTTTTCTCATAACAAAATAATATTGGGTATTGAATATGGGAGCCTTAACAAATGGGACCATAGCATTTTAGCTGTAGTAGTCTACTATGAGGCAATCTTCATTCTTCCCAGGTCTAAGAATTGGCAAAATTGGGCTGTTAAATGGAGAAGCAATGGGAATGATCATTCCTTTACTAATTTTCTTTTATATAAGATATTTTAATCCTTGAAAAGGTTGTTTTTAGTTATATTAAACTTTATAAACTATTTTAACCTGGGGCACATGGGGTCCTGTTTTATCAATCCAATTCGTAAATGCCAAATAATTAAATTTAATTTGTTATTCATTGTGTTGGAACATAATTTAGAACAATGGGTATTATGATTGGGAAATTTAGGAAAAGATATAAAGTGAAACATACCTATTTTTCTCTACTTTATATTTAGCTACTCTCATAAAATGATTAGGGCATCTTGTTTAAATCTAGTGGGATCCCCAGGTGTAACTCTAATTTGAGCTCCAGTATTAAAGCCATGAAGTTCTGTCAATTGCTATATTTAAGCCAATACTAACGTTAATCCAGGAACTATGTTGTAGAGGTATGAAAGCCAATCAGTGCACTTTTATCTCTGTTATATAAATTATTTTAGTAAATTTTGGATTTCCAATTGGGTTAAATTACAAAACTTTGTTTCTTCATCATCATCATCAATGCATTTTTCTAGGAGTATTAGTAGCATTTCTTCTCCTTATATAAATACTTTTTCTTTCTCTCTTTTTTTTTTTTTTGTTATGGGCTTCTAGCCACCTAAAGACATGGTTTTGGGGTGGAGCCAAGATGGCCCAATAGGAACAGCTCCAGTCTACAGCTCCCAGCATGAGCAACACAGAAGATGGGTGATTTCTGCATTTCCAACTGAGGTACCAGGTTCATCTCACTGGGGAGTGTTGGAAAGTGGGCACAGGACAGTGGGTACAGCGCACCGAGCATGAGCCGAAGCCGGGTGAGGCATCGTCTCACCCGGGAAGCGCAAGGGGTCAGGGAATTCCCTTTCCTAGTCAAAGAAAGGGGTGACAGATGGCACCTGGGAAATCGGGTCACTCCCACCCTAATACTGCGCTTTTCCAACAGTCTTAGCAAACAGCACACCAGGAGATTATATCCCGTGCCTGGCTTGGAGGGTCCTATGCCCACAGAGCCTCGCTCATTGCTAGCACAGCAGTCTGAGATCAAACTGCAAGGCAGCAGTGAGGCTGGGGGAGGGACGCCTGCCATTGCTGAGGCTTGAGTAGGTAAACAAAGCGGCCAGAAAGCTTGAACTGGGTAGAGCCCACTGCAGCTCAAGGAGGCCTGCCTTCCTCTGTAGACTCCACCTCTGGGGGCAGGGCATAGCCAAACAAAACGCAGCAGAAACCTCTGCAGACTTAAATGCCCCTGTCTGACAGCTTTGAAGAGAGTAGTGGTTCTCCCAGCATGCAGCTGGAGATCTGAGAACGGACAGACTGCCTCCTCAAGTGGGTCCCTGACCCCCGAGTGGCCTAACTGGGAGGCATACCCCAGTAAGGGCAAACTGACATCTCACACAGCCGGGTACTCCTCTGAGACAAAACTTCCAGAGGAATGATCAGGCAGCAACATTTGCTGTTCATCAATATCTGCTGTTCTGCAGCCTCCGCGACTGATACCCAGGCAAACAGGGTCTGGAGTAGACCTCCAGCAAACTCCTACAGACCTGCAGCTGAGGGTTCTGACTGTTAGAAGGAAAACTAACAAACAGAAAGGACATCCACACCAAAACCCCAACTGTACATCACCATCATCAAAGACCAAAGGTAGATAAAACCACAAAGATGGGAAAAAAACAGAGCAGAAAAACTGGAAACTCTAAAAATCAGAGTGCCTCTCCTCCTCCAAAGGAACGTAGCTCCTCACCAGCAACAGAACAAAGCTGGATGGAGAATGACTTTGACGAGCTGAGAGAAGAAGGTTTCAGATGATCAAACTACTCCGAGCTAAAGGAGGAAGTTCGAACCAACGGCAAAGAAGTTAAAAACCTTGAAAAAAAATTAGACAAATGCCTAACTAGAATAACCAATGCAAAGAAGTCCTTAAGGGACCTGATGGAGGTGAAAACCACAGCATGAGAACTACGTGACGAATGCACAAGCCTCAGGAGCCGATTCGATCAACTGGAAGTAAGGGTATCAGTGATGGAAGATCAAATGAATGAAATGAAGTGAGAAGAGAAGTTTAGAGAAAAAACAAGGAAAAGAAATGAACAAAGCCTCCAAGAAATATGGGACTATTTAAAAAGACCAAATCTATGTCTGATTACTGTACCTGAAAGTGATGGGGAGAATGGAACTAAGTTGGAAAACACTCTACAGGATATTATCCAGGAGAACTTCCCCAATCTAGCAAGGCAGGCCAACATTCAGATTCAGGAAATACACATAACGCCACAAAGATAATCCTCTAGAAGAGCAACTCCAAGACACATAATTGTCAGATTCACCAAAGTTGAAATGAAGGAAAAAATATTAAGGGCAGCCAGAGAGAAAGGTTGGGTTACCCACAGAGGGAAGCCCATCAGACTAACAGCTGATCTGTCGGCAGAAACCTTACAAGCCAGAAGACAGTGGGGGCCAATATTCAACATTCTTGAAGAAAAGAATTTTTAACCCAGAATTTCATATCCAGCTAAACTAAGCTTCATAAGTGAAGCAGGAATAAAATACTTTACAGACAAGCAAATGCTGAGAGATTTTGTCACCACCAGGCCTGCCCTAAAAGAGCTCCCGAAGGAAGCACTAAACATGGAAAGGAACAACCAGTACCAGCCATTGCAAAAACATGCCAGACTGTAAAGACCATTGAGGCTAGGAAGAAACTGCATCAACTAATGAGCAAAATAACCAGCTAACATCATAATGACAGGATCAAATTCACACATAACAATATTAACCTTAAATGTAAATGGGCTAAATGCTCCAATTAAAAGACACAGACTGGCAAATTGGATAAAGAGCCAAGACCTATCAGTGTGCTGTATTCAGGAAACCCATCTCACGTGCAGAGACACACATAGGCTCAAAATAAAGGGATGGAGGAAGATCTACCAAGCAAATGGAAAACAAAAAAAGGCAGGGGTTGCAATCCTAGTCTCAGATAAAACAGACTTTAAGCCAACAAAGATCAAAAGAGACAAAGAAGGCCATTACATAATGGTAAAGGGATCAATTCAACAAGAAGAGCTAACTATCCTAAATATATATGCACCCAATACAGGAGCACCCAGATTCATAAAGCAAGTCCTCAGAGACCTACAAAGAGACTTAGACTCCCACACAATAATAATGGGAGACTTTAACACCCCACTGTCAACATTAGACAGATCAATGAGACAGAAAGTTAACAAGGATATCCAGGAATTGAACTCAGCTCTGCACCAAGCAGACCTAATAGACATCTACAGAACTCTCCACCCCAAATCAACAGAATATACATTCTTTTCAGCACCACACCACACCTATTCCAAAATTGACCACATAGTTGGAAGTAAAGCACTCCTCAGCAAATGTAAAAGAACAGAAATTATAGCAAACTGTCTCTCAGACCACAGTGCAATCAAACTAGAACACAGGATTAAGAAACTCAATCAAAACTGCTCAACTATATGCAAACTGAACAACCTGCTCCTGAATGACTACTGGGTACATAACGAAATGAAGGCAGAAATAAAGATGTTCTTTGAAACCAATGAGAACAAAGACACAAAAACCAGAATCTCTGGGACACATTCAAAGCAGTGTGTAGAGGGAAATTGATGGCACTAAATGCCCACAAGAGAAAGCAGGAAAGATCTAAAATTGACACCCTAACATCACAATTAAAAGAACTAGAGAAGCAAGAGCAAACACATTCAAAAGCTAGCAGAAGGCAAGAAATAACTAACATCAGAGCAGAACTGAAGGAAATAGAGACACAAAAAACCCTTCAAAAAATCAGTGAATCCAGGAGCTGGTTTTTTGAAAAGATCAACAAAATTGATAGACTGCTAGCAAGACTAATAAAGAAGAAAAGAGAGAAGAATCAAATAGACGCAATAAAAAATGATAAAGGGGATATCACCAACAATCCCACAGAAATACAAACTACCATCAGAGAATACTATAAACACCTCTATGCAAATAAACTAGAAAATCTAGAAGAAATGGATAAATTCCTTGACACATACACCCTCCCAAGACTAAACCAGGAAGAAGTTGAACCTCTGAATAGACCAATAACAGGCTCTGAAATTGAGGCAATAATTAATAGCTTACCAACCAAAAAAAGTCCAGGACCAGATGGATTCACAGCCTAATTCTACCAGAGGTACAAAGAGGAGCTGGTACCATTCCTTCTGAAACTATTCCAATCACCAGAAAAAGAGGGAATCCTCCCTAACTCATTTTATGAGGCCAGCATCATCCTGATACCAGAGCCTGGCAGAGACACAACAAAAAAAGAGAATTTTAGACCAATATCCCTGATGAACATTGATGCAAAAATCCTCAATAAAATACTGGCAACCCGAATCCAGCAGCACATCAAAAAGCTTATCCACCATGATCAAGTGGGCTTCATCCCTGGCATGCAAGGCTGGTTCAACATACACAAATCAATAAATGTAATCCAGCATATAAACAGAATCAACGACAAAAACAATATGATTATCTCAATAGATGCAGAAAAGGCCTTTGACAAAATTTAACAACACTTCATGCTAAAAACTCTCAATAAATTAGGTATTGATGGGACGTATCTAAAAATAATAAGAGCTATCTATGACAAACCCACAGCCAATATCATACTGAATGGGCAAAAACTGGAAGCATTCCCTTTGAAAACTGGCACAAGACAGGGATGCCCTCTCTCACCATGCCTATTCAACATAGTGTTGGAAGTTCTGGCCAGGGAAATCAGGCAGGAGAAGGAAATAAAGGGCATTCAATTAGGAAAAGAGGAAGTCAAATTGTTCCTGTTTGCAGATGACATGATTGTATATCCAGAAAACCCCATCATCTCAGGCCAGAATCTCTTAAGCTGACAGGCAACTTCAGCAAAGTCTCAGGATACAAAATCAATGTGCAAAAATCACAAGCATTCTTATACACCAATAACAGACAAACACAGAGCCAAATCATGAGTGAACTCCCATTCAGAATTGCTTCAAAGAGAATAAAATACCTAGGAATCCAACTTACAAGGGATGTGAAGGACCTCTTCAAGGAGAACTACAAACCACTGCTCAAGGAAATAAAAGAGGATACAAACAATTGGAAGAACATTCCATGCTCATGGGTAGGAAGAATCAATATCGTGAAAATGGCCATACTGCCCAAGGTAATTTACAGATTCAATGCCATCCCCATCAAGCTACCAATGACTTTCTTCACAGAATTGGAAAAAAACTACTTTAAAATTCATATGGAATCAAAAAAGAGCCCTCATTGCCAAGTCAATCCTAAGCCAAAAGAACAAAGCTGGAGGCATCACGCTACCTGACTTCAAACTATACTACAAGGCTACAGTAACCAAAACAGCATGGTACTGGTACCAAAACAGAGATATAGACCAATGGAACAGAACAGAGCCCTCAGAAATAATGCCACATATCTACTACTATCTGATATTTCACAAACCTGATGAAAACAAGAAATGGGGAAAGGATTCCCTATTTAAGAAATGGTGCTGGGAAAACTGGCTAGCCATATGTAGAAAGCTGAAACTGGATCCCTTCCTTACACCTTATACAAAAATTAATTCAAGATGGACTGAAGACTTAAATGTTAGACCTAACACCATAAAAACCCTAGAAGAAAATCTAGGCAATACCATTCAGGACATAGGCATGGGCAAGGACTTCATGTCTAAAACACCAAAAGCAATGGCAACAAAAGCCAAAATTGACAAATGGGATCTAATTAAACTAAACAGCTTCTGCACAGCAAAAGAAACTACCATCAGAGTGAACAGGTAACCTACAGAATGGGAGAAAATTTTTGCAATCTACTCATCTGACAAAGGTCTAATATCCAGAATCTACAATGAACTCCAACAAATTTATAAGAAAAAAAAAACCCCATCAAAAAGTGGGCAAAGGATATGAACAGACACTTCTCAAAAGAAGACATTTATGCAGCCAAAAGACACATGAAAAAATGCTCATCATCACTGGCCATCAGAGAAATGCAAATCAAAACCACAATGAGACACCATCTCACACCAGTTAGAATGGCGATCATTAAAAGGTCAGGAAACAACAGGTGCTGGAGAGGATGTGGAGAAATAGGAACACTTTTACACTGTGGGTGGGACTGTAAACTAGTTCAACCATTGTGGAAGACAGTGTGGCGATTCCTCAGGGATCTAGAACTAGAAATACCATTTGATCCAGCCATCCCATTACTGGGTATATACTCAAAGGATTATAAAACATGCTGCTATAAAGACACATGCAGCACTATTCACAACAGCAAAGACTTGGAACCAACCCAAATGTCCAACAATGATAGACTGGATTAAGAAAATGTGGCACATACACACCATGGAATACTATGCAGCCATAAAAAATGATGAGTTCATGTCCTTTGTAGGGACGTGGATGAAGCTGGAAACCATCATTCTCAGCAAACTATTGCAAGGACCAAAAAACAACCACTGCATGTTCTCACTCACAGGTGGGAATTGAACAATGAGAACACATGGACACAGGAAGGGGAACATCACACACCCGGGCCTGTTGTGGGGTGGGGGAGGGGTGAGGGATAGCATTAGGAGATATGCCTAACATTAAATGATGAATTAATGGGTGTAGCACACCAACATGGCACACGTATACACATATGTAACAAACCTGCACATTGTGCACATGTACCCTAAAACTTAAAGTATAATAAAAAAATAAAAATACAAAAATTAAAAAATATATATATATTCTTGAGCTTTGATCTCTGTGATAAGTTACTTATAAGTAGTTTAATCCTTTCGGGTCTTGCTTTTAAGCTTTGTTGGTGGGATGATAGCAACAATTCGTCTGTCGCTAATTTTTCACCAATACTGGGTAACATCATTCTTAGTACTTTAATCGTTGCCCTGTAAATTGTGAGGTTTTGGGAGCAGGCTCCAACTCCCTGCTGTGTGAGCTCTGGGGACTATTCCTTCTCATCCCTTTGGGCGGTCTGTTCCTCAACCTCACAGCTGTGAATGCCATATTAGGCTCTGCAGGTCTCCGCAGTCCTCTCTGTGCAGCTCTCTCCGCTCTGGTACTCTGTATACAGACTCTGTATGTCTTGGCCTCCCTGGATTTCCAGTTCTGTCTCCTCTCTACTAAGGGGGTGTGCCAGGATCTGCCTGGCATTCTCCTTCCTGTGTCACAGTCTGGAAACTTTCTACAGGAAATCCATTGGGAAATTTTTAGAACTTGCCTTTTTCTTTTTAATTTTTCATTTAAAAATTTTTTAATTTTTGTGGGTACATAGTAGAGTATATGAAATATTTTGATTCAGGCATACAATGTGTAGTAATCATATCAGGGTAAATGGGTTATCCATCACCTCAAGCATTTATCCTTTCCTGTGTTACAAACAATCCAATTATAATTTAGTTACTTTAAAATGTACAATAAGTTATTGTTGCCTATACTCACCTGTTGTGGTATCATACTTGATATTATTCCTTCTATCTAACTATATTTTTGTACCATTACACATCATCCCTTAGAACTGTCTTTGTTTCCCATGACTCACGGAACACTGTATTTTGTTGCCTGATATTCAATGGCTTTGGGACCATTTCATTTCATTATTTCATTTCATTTCTTTCGTTTCTTTCATTTCATTTATTTCATTTCAGACAGGATCTCACTCTGTCACCCAGGCTGGAGTGCAGTGGCACAATCTCAGCTCACATTTCATTTCTTCATTTTGTTTCATTTCTTTCATTTCATTTCTTCATTTCATTTCATTTCATTTCATTTATTTCATTTCATTTCATATGACAGGATCTCACTCTGTCACCCAGGCTGCAGTGCAGTGGCACAATCTCAGCTCACATTTCATTTCATTTTATTTCATTTCATTATTTCATTTCATTTCATTTCATTTCATTTCATTTCATATGACAGGATCTCACTCTGTCACCCAGGCTGGAGTGCAGTGGCACAATCTCAGCTCACATTTTATTTCATCATTTCATTCATTTCATTTCATTTCATTTCATTTCTTTCGACAGGATCTCACTCTGTCACCCAGCCTGGAGTGCAGTGGCACAATCTCAGTTCAGATTTCATCATTTCATTTCATTTCATGTCATTTATTTCATTTCATATGACAGGATCTCACTCAGGATCTCACTGTGTCACCCAGGCTGGAGTGCAGTGGCACAATCTCAGCTCACATTTCATCATTTCATTTCTTCATTTCATTTCATTTCATTTATTTTATTTCATATGACAGGATCTCTCTCTGTCATCCAGGCTGGAGTGCAGTGGCACAATCTCAGCTCACATTTCATTTCATCATTTCATTCATTTCATTTCATTTCACTTATTTCATCATTTCATTTCATTTTTCATTTCAATTCATTTCTTTCGACAGGATCTCACTCTGTCACCCAGCCTGGAGTGCAGTGGGACAATCTCAGCTCACATTTCATTTCATCATTTCATTTCTTCATTTCATTTCATTTCATTTCATATGACAGGATCTCTCTCTGTCATCCAGGCTGGAGTGCAGTGGCACAATCTCAGCTCACATTTCATCATTTCATTCATTTCATTTCATTTCATTTCACTTATTTCATCATTTCATTTCATTTTTCATTTCATTTCATTTCTTTCGACAGGATCTCACTCTGTCACCCAGCCTGGAGTGCAGTGGGACAATCTCAGTTCACATTTCATTTCTTCATTTCATTCATTTCATTTCTTTCGACAGGATCTCACTCTGTCACCCAGCCTGGAGTGCAGTGGCACAATCTCAGTTCACATTTCATTTCTTCATTTCATTTATTTCATTTCATTATTTCATTTCATTTCATATGACAGGATCTCACTCAGGATCTCACTCTGTCACTCAGGCTGGAGTGCAGTGGCACAATCTCAGCTCACATTTTATTTCATTTCATCATTTCATTTATTTCATTTCATTTCATTATTTCATATGACAGGATCTCTGTCACCCAGGCTGGAGTGCAGTGGCACAATCTCAGCTCATATTTCATTTCATCATTTCATTTCATTTCATATGACAGGATCTCACTCTGTCACCCAGGCTGGAGTGCAGTGGCACAATCTCAGCTCATATTTCATTTCATCATTTCATTTCTTCATTTCATGTCATTTCATTTATTTCATTTCATTTCATTTCATATTTCATTTCATTTCACAGACAGGATCTCACTCTGTCACCTAGGCTGGAGTGCAGTGGCACAATCTCAGCTCACATTTTATTTCATCATTTCATTCATTTCATTTCGTTTTACTTATTTCATTTCTTTCGACAGGATCTCACTCTGTCACCTAGGCTGGAGTGCAGTGGCACAATCTCAGCTCACATTTTATTTCATCATTTCATTCATTTCATTTCATTTCATTTCATTTCACTTATTTCATTTCTTTCGACAGGATCTCACTCTGTCACCCAGCCTGGAGTGCAGTGGCACAATCTCAGTTCAGATTTCATTTCACCATTTCATTTCATTTCATTTATTTCATTTCATTTCATATGACAAGATCTCACTCAGGATCTCACTCTGTCACCCAGGCTGGAGTGCAGTGGCACAATCTCAAGCTCACATTTCATCATTTCATGTCATTTCATTTATTTCATTTCATATGACAGGATCTCACTGTGTCACCCAGGCTGCAGTGCAGTGGCACAATCTCAGCTCACATTTCATTTCATCATTTCATTTCTTCATTTATTTCATTTCATTTCATATGACAGGATCTCTCTCTGTCACCCAGGCTGGAGTGCAGTGGCACAATCTCAGCTCACATTTCATCATTTCATTCATTTCATTTCACTTATTTCACCATTTCATTTCATTTTTCATTTCATTTCATTTCTTTTGACAGGATCTCACTCTGTCACCCAGCCTGGAGTGCAGTGGGACAATCTCAGTTCACATTTCATTTCATCATTTCATTTCTTCATTTCATTTCATTTCTTTCAACAGGATCTCACTCTGTCACCCAGCCTGGAGTGCAGTGGCACAATCTCAGTTCACATTTCATTTCTTCATTTCATTTCATCATTTCATATGACAGGATCTCACTCAGGATCTCACTCTGTCACCCAGGCTGGAGTGCAGTGGCACAATCTCAGCTCACATTTTATTTCATTTCATCATTTCATTTATTTCATTTATTTCATTTCATTTCATTTCATTTCATTTCATTATTTCGTATGACAGGATCTCTCTCTGTCACCCAGGCTGGAGTGCAGTGGCACAATCTCAGCTCATATTTCATTTCATCATTTCTTCATTTCATTTCATTTCATATGACAGGATCTCACTCTGTCACCCAGGCTGGAGTGCAGTGGCACAATCTCAGCTCACATTTCATTTCATCATTTCATTTCATTATTTCATTTCACTTCATTTCATTTCATTTCATTTTTTATGACAGGATCTCACTCTGTCACCCAGGCTGGAGTGCAGTGGCACAATCTCAGCTCACTGCAACCTCCACCTCCCAAGTAGCTGGGACTTCAGGTGTGCACCACCACATCTGGCTAATTGTTTTTCTATTTTTCATAGAGATAGGGTTTCGTCATGTTGCCCAGGCTGGTTTTGAACTCCTGAGTTCAAGCAATCTGCCCACCTCAGCTTCTCAAAGTGCTGGGATAACAGGCGTGAGCCACCATGCCGGACCTGTTTAATGTATTTTATATGGTGTTTTAGTTATTCCTAGGATAGGAAGGCCCCTGTTACTCCAATCTGGCTGGTAGTTCTCATTCATTTTTTAAAACTTGTGAGTTTGGTTCATTTGTTTAAAAAATGGTGTCGATTGTGTGTTCTTTCTTCCTCACCCCTGCTATTTCCTCTGTATTTGCAGTTTTAGTATCACGCACGTTACACAAAATGCCAAACGTGATTCAGTGGATGATTTAAGGGAGAAGGACAAAAAAACACTTACTTAGTACTTGTCATCAAAAACTCAGAATTGACTTTTTTTTCTTCTCAACAGAGGAGTCATATGGGTAAGGCTTCATATTGGAACATAAAACTATTGCTGCCAAATGAGTCATTAACATTATTTAGTTTGAGCAGATTATTGCAAATGTTGCCTTGAAAAACGAAGTGCCAATAAATTGTAGCAGCATTAAAACAAACAAAGACAAATAGAATGTTGAAATAATTTTTTCACATCACACCTTCTGTTGCCATTCCCCAACTTCCTTTCTGCCTCACCCCAAGAGTAAACTCCTTCTGAAGACAGGGCAAGGCAGTGCTTTCCTCCCGAGTTCATAGCTACTTTCTAAATAAAACACATGCTGAATGGGTTCAAGCAATGTTGGGGTAGACACCGACTCTGTCCCTTCAATGCCTAGTCTGCCACCTGCACCATACCCAGTGGCATACAGCTAATAAAAGAAAAAGCAACAGTAACATCAGTTTTTAATCTCAATATCCCCTAAATTTAGTAATTCATAAACAATCCATGTTTTAGACATTTTTACCACATAGAAATAAAATTTAAAGTTAAAAATCACAGGAATGTTTATGCCTTTATACATGCTCTATCAAAGTTCTAGAAATGAAATAAAAACACGACTATTAGAAATTCCAAATTCAGAAAACATACTGTGAAAATAAAGTCTTCTCCCTGGAAGCTCTTCGATTTTTGTCTGGAATACCAACTACAATTAACACCAAGAAAAGCAAAAAACAATTTAATTATCTACTATATGCAAATCTCTGACAATAACAGCCACAAAACATACCCGTAAAAGAACACAAATACATTTTAATATTTCAGCAGGGCAGCGTATAAACCACATGGGAAAAAACGCTTTTTTTTTCCATCTAAGTGGGAATGTTTTAGGACACAAAACATCTATGATTAATTTTTTAAAAAACATGATTAATTTAAAAAGACACACACACACAATCAGACTGCCATTTTCCAAATGAAGGCAAACATGCCTCCTGATAAAAACTTAAATGCTGTTCCATGCTGTTTTAGACATCTTTCAAACGTGCTGCTACGCTGACATAATAGTAAGGAAGCCACAAGGCCCAACGCAGGAAGTGAAACCCAAACTCAGGTGGATAAATGAGCCCCACCCCCAAAGCCAGCTTCTGGCGGGGAGGGTGTGAGGCTCTCTGGTGCACACGGTGCAGGGTAATGCAGCATGCCTCCAAGGACTTCCTATAGAAAGTGGGGCTCCAAAGGGTTGCCCCTCAGTGACTGTGAATAAGAAGAACACCACAGAAAGCTGCCCTTCCCAGCCTCAGCACTGACAGGGAGACAGAGGCTTGCTCCTGAGAATTCATAACTACAACAGGAGTTGGCAAATTATGGCCCATGGGCTGAATCAGGCCCATCATTTGTTTCTGTAAATGAAGTTTTATGGGAACACAGCCACACCCACTCATTTATAATATGTCCAGGGCTACTTTTGCAGTTGCAACAGAGACTATATGGCCCAAAGCTGAAAATACCATTGTGTCCTTTACAGAAAGTGTTTACCAACCCCCACCCTAGAAAAAGGACAAAATGAAGATATTTTGAAACAATCAGAATTAACCAATGAAAGAATTTCACTAAAGTAAATTGAAAAAGATATGATAAAGGAGAAGGAAATGATTTTATAAGATCTGAGACATAGCAAACGATGGTAAGAAACGATAGTAAGCAAAGATGTGCAATATTTGGCTAACTCCAGAAAAAAACCACAGTCCATATAAAACAACCAAAACAACAACAATAATGTCTATGGCAGAGGGGAATAGGTTAGAACCCAAACACTGGGTAACAAGGGGTCACTGATTGGGAGGAGGGGAAAATACTAATTAACTTTAGGTTTTTAAGTACCTATGTTAAAATAACCAGAGAAACAACGAAAAGAAACAAAATTCTCCTGAGAATTGACAAAGAGGGGCTATATTTCAAACCTTTTTATGAGGCTAGACCACTTCGACACCTGTGCTAGCAATCTGCCCCTGACACGGTTCACAGTGATCCCTGCTTCCAAATATGCATGCTCCTGTACACAGGCACACTCCATTTGACTGTGCCTCGCTTTACTGTACCTCGCAGATACTGTTTTTTACAAACCGAAGGTCTGCGGCAACCCTGCACTGACCAACTCTAACGGCGCCACTTTTCCACCAGCATGTGCTGACTTACTGTCTCTATGTCACATTTTGATAATTCTTGCAATATTTTAAACTTTTTCATTATTTTATCTGTTATGATGATCTGTGATCAGTAATGTTTGATGTTACTGTTGTACTTGTTTTGAGGCACCACAAACCACACCCATAGAAGATGGTGAACTTAAATGATAAATGTGGTGTATGTTCTGATTGTTCCGCCAACCAGCTGTTCTCCCATCTCTCTCCCTCTCCTCAGACCTCCCTATTGTGTACCTGAGACATAACTTATTGAAATTAGGCCACTTAATAACCCTGCAGTAGCCTCTAAGAGTTCAAGTGAAAGGAAGAGTTGCATATTTCTCACTTTAAGTCAAAAGCTAGAAATGATTAAGATTAGTGACGAAGGCACACTGAAAGCCAAGACAGGCTGAAAGCTAGGCCTCTTGCACCAGTTACCCAAGAAAAAGTTCTTGAAGCACAATTAAGTGCAACTCTAGTAAACACACAAATGATAAGAATGCAAAACAGTCTTATGGCTGATATACAGAATGTTTGACTGGCATAGACAGAAGATCAAAACTGATACAACATTCCCTTAAGCCAAAGCCTAATCCAGAGCAAGGCTCTAACTCTCTTCAATTCCACGAAGGCTAAGAGAGGTGAGACAGCTGCAGAAGGAAAGTCTGAAGGTAGCAAAGATTGGTTCCTGAGGTGTAAATAAAGACGCCGTCTTCATAACATAAAAGTGTGAGGGAAAGTAGCAAGTGCTGATGTAGAAGCTGCAGCAAGTTACCCAGAAGATCTAGCCAAGATCAGTGATGAAGGTGGCTACGCTAAACAACAGGCTTTCAACGTAGATGGAACAACCGTCTATTGGAAGAAGATGCCAGCTAGGACTTTCATAGCTAGAGAGAAGTCAATGTTTGCCTTCAAAGCTTCAAATATTTTGTTAGGGGCTAATGCAGCTGATGACTATATTAGTTGAATTCGTTGAAGTCAATGCTCATTGACCATTCTGAAAATCTTAGGGCCCTTAAGAATTATGCTAACTCCACTCTGACTGTGCTCCAGAAATAGAACAAAACCTGGAAGTCAGCACATTTGTTTACAGCATGGTTCACTGAATATTTTAAGCCCACTATTGAGGCCTACTGCTCAGAAAAAAAGATTTCTTACAAAATATTACTGCTCATTGACAATGTACCTGGTCACCCAAAAGCTCTGATGAACATGTACAAAGAAATTAAAGTTGTTTTCATGCCTGCTAACACATCATCTTTTCTGCAGCCACATGGATCAAGGAGTAATTTCAACTTCAAATCTTGTTATTTAAGAAATACACTTCAGTCTCTACTAAAAAATACAAAAAATTAGCCAGGCATGGTGGCGGACACCTGTAGTCCCAGCTACTTGGGAGGCTGAGGCAGGAGAATGGCGTGAACCCAGGAGGTGGAGCTTGCAGTGAGCAGAGATCACGCCACTGCACTCCAGCCTGGGCTACAGAGCAAGACTGTCTCAAAAAAAGAAAAAAAAAAAAACAAAGAAATACATTTCATAAGGCTACAGCTGCCATAGATAGTGATTCTTCTAATGGATGTGGACAAGCTAAATTGAAAACCTTCTGGAAAGCCAGCACCATTATAAATGCCATTAAGAACATTTGTGATTCATGGGAGGAGGTGAAAATATCAACATTAACAGGGATGTGGAAGTGGATTCCAACCCTCATGGATGACCTTGAGAGGTTCAAGACGAGAGGAAGAAGTGACCTCAGATGTGGTGGAAACAGCAAAAGAACTAGAATTAGAAGTGGAGCCTGAAGATGTGACTTAATAGACTATAGTATACACATACTTTTATATCCACTGGGAAACCAAGAAATTTGTGTGACTTACTTGTGAAGACACTTGCTTTATTGTGTTGGTTTAGAACCAAGCCTGCATACCTCCAAGTATGCCTACAGCTCCCTCTCCCTGAGTGTGGGCTGGACTTAATGACCTGCTTCTGATGAGCAGAATAGGGCAAGAACGATGGAGTGTGGTCACTTCTGTGATTCAGTTACACAGGACCGGGGCTCTGTTTCCTCCACTCTCTCTTGCTGGTGCTCCCTCCTGCGCCTCCCTTGCTCTCGCTGACAGTCAGTTGCCACGCTGTGAGACGCTCTATGGACACGTGGCAAAGGGCTGAGTGAGGGGAGGCTCTGCCAACAGCTCATAAGGGACTGAGGCCTCAGCCCAAAGGTCCACAAGGGACTGAATCCTTGCTCGGACAGCCTCAAGACAACTGCAGCCTGCTGAGATTCTGAGCTGGAGGATGGAGCTATGCTGCATCCAGAGTCCTGACCCAGAGAAACTATGAAATGATACATGTGTGTGAGACAGAACATTACACGAGACTATCTCACTCATGAATAGGATCTCCCAAAAATCTAAACAAAACAATCACAAACACAAGCCAGATACATATCCTGACCAAACTGGATTTATCCAAACAATGCAAGTTTGTTTAATATGAGAAAACCAATTAATCCAACTGACTATACCAATCCATTAGAAAACATTGGCCAGGTGTGGTGGCTCATGCCTGTAATCCCAGCACTTTGGGAGGCCGAGGCGGGCGGATCACAAGGTCAGGAGTTCAAGACCAGCCTGACCAATATGGTGAAACCCCATCTCTACTAAAAATACAAAAAAAAAAAAAAAAAAATTAGCCGGGCATGGTGGCAGTCGCCTGTTGTCCCAGCTACTCGGGAGGCTGAGGTAGAAGAATCTCTTGAACCCGGGAAGCAGAGGTTGCAGTGAGCCGAGACTGTGCCACTGCACTCCCGCCTGGGCGACAGAGTGAGACTCTGTCTCAAAAAAAAAAAAAAAAAAAAAAAAAACAGAAAACATCTATGAAAGAACATTTCAAAAATACATAGAAAGAGTGTTGAACACTCCACTGATGAACAGAAACAGAAGGAAACATGCCTAATCTAATCAAGGGCTTCTACTCAAACCCCACTGGAAGCCTGGAAACGCTCCTTCTGTGCCTGCTCCAGTCTGGATCAAGGCAGGAGCCTCTGCCCACTCCTACCCAGAATCACATCACAACCCCAGCCCGCACCATGAGCTCCCATTCTCCCACACAAATGGGAAAAATAAAAGAGAGGTATGCTAGACAGAAAGGAACAGAATTCATTTAGAGACTATGGCACTCTATAAAGAAGATATAAGAAATCTTCAGATACACTAGAATGAAGAGACTCAAGTAGGTCACCAAACATAAAGTCAGTATATAAACATCCAATATTTCTATATATCAGTGGCAATCTTTTTTTTTTTCTTTTTTTTTTCTTTGTGACAGAGTATTGCTCTGTCGCCCAGGCTGGAGTGCGGTGGTGTGATCTCGGCTCACTGCAACCTCCGCCTCCCAAGTTTGAGTGATTCTCCTGCCTCAGCCTCCCGAGTAGCTGGGATTACAGGCACGTATCACCACGCCTGGCTTATTTTTAGTAGAGACGGGGTTCCCCATGTTGGCCAGGCTGGTCTCAAACTCGTGACATCAGGTGATCCACCCATCTTGGGCTCCCAAAGTGCTGGGATTACAGGTGTGAGCCACTGCACCGGGCCAGCAGCAATAAATTTTTTAAAAGTATTTACAATAGCAAGGAAGAAACACATCTAACGAGTGATACACAAACAAAAATTGTAATACTTTCGTATACATGATGTATTTTCAAAATTAAAAAAAAAAAATTGGCCAGGCATGGTGGCTCACACCTATAATCCCAGCACTTTGGGAGGCCAAGGTGGGCGGATCACCTGAGGTCAGGATTTCGAGACCAGCCTGGTCAACATGGTGAAACCCTGTCTCTACTAAAAATACAAAAAAGTTAGCCAGGTGTGGTGGCGGGCGCCTATAATCCCAGCTACTCGGGAGGCTGAAGCAGGAGAATGACTTGAACCCAGGAGGTGGAGGTTGCAGTGAGCTGAGATTGCGCCATTGCACTCCAGCCTGGGCAACAAGAGCAAAACTCCATCTTAAATTTTTTAAAAAAAAATTTAAAGATTATGCAAAAATATCTTAGAAGTCTAACTGCTTCCTGCATACCACAGTACTATTAATCCTGAGAAACGTTTTAGTGCAGATCCTTGCCTGTGCTAAGAACCACACAGCACCGTTAGCCACAACTGCCTCAGGCTCAGTGACCCTGTGACACAGAAAAAGCACCCTTACCTTCCCATCAGCTGTCACAGCAGAGGGTCTGTTCCCCTCCGATTAACTGCATGGGTCTGAGAGTTGTGAGGGCTTCACAGGGAGAGGGAATTTTGACTTTTGCACCTTCAATGCCCCCGAGCTGGCCCCTATGATCATGTCCCCAACCATAAATTGTTCCACTGCCACCAGCAGACAGATTCCAATCATCTGGTCGCCTACAACACACATCAAGTGAGCATTTGCCATGGGAAAGAACAATGCACACAGCCTCTCGCGTTCAAGATCGACATTACTGCTTGTTTCTAATATAATAACCTGTTCATTCACTGCACAACTTGTTCATCTTGCTCTCTTTTAAAAATGTCTTGGCTCTCAGGCAGAACATCCCATGTTTTCGCTGTCTGCCATTAATTCACGAATTTTCTTAGCCACTTAAACAAAATTATTATGATGTTACAAATCAAACACTCATCTCAAACAAAATAAATAAATACTAAGGAAAGACAGAAGGAATCCCTGCCTGAAAATATGAGGGAAGAGCAACATTGCAATGTTATGGTTCCTGGGCAAAACCAATAATGACTGCATCAAGTCTAACATATTAAAAATGTCTAGACAGTCTCATTCTATCTGTAGTTCACTAAAAATAAACTTTAACTGAAATTCACAGTGTCAGTTCACTCATTTTCACCTATGTGTTATTTTCTTTCTTTTTCTCTATGGTGCGATCTCGGCTCACTGCAAGCTCCGCCTCCCGGGTTCAAGCAATTCTCCTGCCTCAGCCTCCTGAGTGGCTGGGATTACAAGCGCCCGCCACTACGCCAAGCTAATTTTTGTATTTTTAGTAGAGACGGGGTTTCACCATGTTGGTCAGGCTGGTCTCAAACCCCTGACCTCGTGATCCACCCGCCTCGGCCTCCCAAAGTGCTGGGATTACAGGCGTGAGCCACCGCGCCTGGCCCTACCTATGTGTTATTTTCTTTGATATTCCTTGGCAAGGAAAATTTTTCTGTGTCTCATAATATTGGCATCTTGTTACACTATAGCTAAACAATGTTTTTGCATCCCAAAAGTGATTCCAAAATATCATGCAATACCTCATCAAGAAACAGACGGGGCAATGGTGTTCTTTTGTCAAGGGCCACAGCAATGCGGGAGGCCATGCAGTACCTCCGGAACCAGGCCCACTTGTGCGTCTCGGCACAGCAAGGCAGAGTGTCCAGCTCCAGGTCACAAGCAAGAGCTACCAGTACCTGCAGGCACCAAAAATGACAAACTCAGGGACACTCAGAAATGCAGTGAACAGGCCAAGGTTTCTGTGGCTCCTTCCGCAGGACCTCCTATTCCAGGATGACGGCCATGGGCACAGCAAGGATACGGCCACCATCAGTGATGTGGCGATCTCTGACAGTTCCTAGCCACGTGCCACACAACTGCTGCAACACTTGTTGCCTGCATCAAGTGACAAGAACACCTGTGCATCTCAAGGCATGCTAACGGTTACAGGCTTATGGTTTAAGGGTTTAGATTACACGATCATTTCTTGAGATTTTTTCATATTTGACTTCAGCAACCTACAGCTGCCCTCAGAGGCCTAAAACACACAAACAGACTGCACATGACAACTCTCAGTGGCTCTTTCAGTCAAATAGCTCTATTGTCACTTTAAAAAAGAAGTGAAACATTACCTTAAAGAATGGGCTGTGGAGCAGCTGTTTGCCACCCCTCACAATAGGATCTTCATATTCAAACTGCCTTTGCAAAGCTTCTGGAAGACCTTTCACCAAAGCAGCAAGAGCACTACCTGTAAAACTCTAAGAAACAACAGAACAGTATTCTATCGTGGGAATCCAGAGTACAGGAGAGGCTGACCATTTGTCTCTAAGGTCAAATGTTTTATTATGTTGGTACCATTTCTTCTAAAAAAAAAAAAAAAGCTTATCAAAATTCTCAAGTAGGAAAAAAGCTAAAAGAACATAAACACTAAAATAAAAAAGAGGAGTTTAAAGACTCATCTCAGAATGTTTGGTCTTGATTTCAGTACATCCGCTTCCAGAGAAATAGCCCCTCTCTGGCCCACAAACGCTGCCTGTCTCCTCCCATGTGTAGGATCAAAAGGGACTACTTTAGTCAGCAAAATAAAGGGGAGGCCAATCAGTTAGCCTCATTGTCCAAGTCCAATCAACACAATCCTATGTTCATGGCAGTCGAGACAGATTTTCACAAAATCAAAGTCCAACTTGAACTCAGTATGCACTGCAACATACAAAAAGTCTGGATGTGACAAAGCCTTCCTTATTCTTTTTCTTTTGAGACGGAGTCTCGCTCTGTCACCAGGCTGGAGTGTAGTGGTGCCATCTCGGCTCACTCCGAACTCCACCTCCCAGGTTCAAGCAATTCTCCTGCCTCAATTTCCCGAGTACCTGGGACTACAGGCGCCTGCCACCACGCCCATCTAATTTTTTGTATTTTTAGTAGAGTTGGGGTTTCACTGTGTTAGTGAGGATGGTCTTGATCTCCTAACCTCGTGATCCGCCCGCCTCGGCCTCCCAAAGTGCTGGGATTACAGGCGTGAGCCACCACACCCGGTCCGAGGCCTCCTTTTTCTTATGTGAAATTCCCCAACTCTTCTCAATGATTTAGAGGTTTAGACTACGAAAGCAACATTTTATTCCCCAAAGGTCACAAATCTAGAAATTGTACTAGAATGCTCCATACCAAAGCTCTTGCTTCCCCATCATTTTCTCCAAGCAGCCTATTTATGTTAATTGATTGCCCAAATTCAGTTGTAAGCAGCTTCCTCAATTTCTGAAGGGCCCACATTCTGTGACTGGTGGCTGAAATGAGCAGAAAGAAGTATCAGAAGTCTGATGGTTTCTTCCAAGTAGGAAGACAGATGTAACTGTAATGGTGGCATTTACCTAGGCCACTCAGCTGTGCACAAGCTGCCAGCAAGGCCACAAGGCAAGGGACGACACTTCTGTTAGAGGCAAGGTTGAGTCGGAAGTCTAACAGACACGTCACCAAGTCCGTGGATGGACAAGAGAGGACGCAGCAGTCAGAGAGGAGTTCTTTAGGGCCTGTGAATGAGCACTGTAAACACCCCTGTGTTTCACAAGCTAGGGACCAACCCATAAGAAGCCAACAAACAAGGGTGGCTCCACCCAGCCCCACCCACCAGAAGGCAACAGCTGGTGTGCCCACGCATGCCACTGCGAGTCGGTGAGCCTTGCTCTTCACACTCACACTTCCACTGTAAACCAAAAGCCTAAGAATGACACCAGCAACAACTCCTTCCACACCAGGTGAGGAGGAGTGTGAGCCTGATAGTTGGACGGCTGGGACAGTTCTCTGTGTTCTGTTCCACGCCTCAACGGGGCCTGTGGGAGCATTCACCGCAACACAGCAGAAGGCAGGCCGTCAGGCACTACATGGAAATGTGCACATGTCCATGTTACTCCAGAAACAATCCACAGCCAGTCATCTAACTTTGATTGCCATAAGCCCCTCCCTTACCAGCAGCTGGCATGATGGGATAGATGGTGAAGCACCAGCCCCAGCCGTTCACAGGCCCGTCGCTGATGAACTTCCATTTTAACTCATCCCCCGGGATACGTAGCTAGCTGGACCAGTCGGACCACCCTCGGTCTGGGGGAGGAAAGTGAATCTCGGGGTTAGCTTCACTCCATCATCCAATCAACACAAACTTCCTTAGACACAAAGCAGAATGATTTCCATCATGCATGAAGAGCAAGTTCCTCCAATCCAAGCTCTCCCAAGCTGAAGTGCACAGTGACACATCACTCTTGGGATTCACATTTTAATACATACCATTCTTCAGCAAACACGCATTCAGCCCCTGTACCAGGTACCTAGGAAACTGGGGCAGGCGGGCAGACACTGCCCTGGCAGAAGCCATCGCCCAGTGGGGAAATGACCCCACCAGCCAGGATACAGTGAGTGGGCCTCCAGGTCTCCAGCACACACCAGGCCAGGGGCCATGGGGATGTTTCCCGGGAATGCTCTGATACAACCAGGTGGCCAGGCAGCAGAAGGAAGAACCCTAGCTCTCCCATCAAAAGGCCCATGTGTGTGGTTCAGCACAGCCCAGAGGAGGCCGCCCTCGAGGGAGCAGAGGGCCTGGCTGCTGTGGACAGGAGCGGTGGTGTACTACAGCATCTCAGAAGGCCAAGAGAACCCCTCCAGATTTCTGCTTCAGAATGACCATCTGGCAGCAGCCCAGGGATGGCCCATAAGCACTTTCTGCTGGATGCAGAAATACGGTCACATCCAACAACACTACTGAAAACTACACTGGCAAACATCTGTCAAAGCACCAGAAAAACCCACGCCCACTGGGACCACACCACTTCATGCAAAGCTTTACTTAACTAAGTAACGCTGTGTGAATAAAGTTTTCCTGGGACACAGCCACGCCCATTCACTGGCATCCTGTCTGCATGTTATGACAGAGGCTGCATTACCTGGCCCTTTACAGGAAACACTCGAGATGAAGGATAAAGAGGTCTTAAAAGGTGCATACACACACCCCTGCACTGCCAATTCTAAAATACTTGGTAAAAGAGCATTTCACAAGCCCCCAAAGACGTCCTGATGTGTCCCCGCTGGCCTCATGGAGCCCAGCAGCAGAGACAAGCCGGACACGTGGCTGCCTCCACCTACACACAGAAATCACTCCACACATGGCCATGCCCTCACTGCAGCCAGTAAGAAACAAACCCCTTGAAGAAGCTCTGTATTATGCCAACCATGACCTCGCACGAGCCCTGGCACCCCACACGTCACCAGCACCTTCTGCAACTGTCTGGTGAGGCAGGGCCCATCCGACAGGGATGTGGTACATACATCACAGATAACTACTGTATTTAAAAGTATGGGAAAGAGGCAAGCAAACCTACTGTGTTTCACAGCTACATAGCATACTGTCCCTTCCTCAAGACTTCGATGAGAATATGGTAGCAGCATTCTGTCCTATAAATGTGAAGGGTTGTGTCTATGGAGACACAGGTGGGCAGATCATGCCCTGCTCAACCTCCTGTTCTTACCTGACCGCATGGAGACAATCCTGGCTCAACCTCCTGTCCTTACCTGACCACACGGAGACGATCCTGTTGACGCCATCCATGATTGTGAGAGGGTCGTGGTGCCACTCTGAGGAGCACTGCCGGTCAAATTCCACCCTGAGTCCTTCTGCACCTGGAGGACAGGCGAGCACAAAACATAGCAACCACTCCAGATCAGCACCCAAAGTAGAAACAGTGCACCAAGGAGTTAACAGTGAGATTAAAACCACATTTAACAGCTAATGAATAGCAGAAAGTCAGAAAGAACTGGCCTCAAAGGCAAGCATCTCAAGACTGACCACCCTTTCCCCAGCTCATCCCCACTGAAGATTATGTCTGTGGACTGGAAGGCCAGAAAACACTTCCACTTGGCCAATTTGTTTTGTGCAGTCACTCCCGGGCAGACTTTCCTACTGCAACTCCACTCCCCTGATCAAGCTTTACAGCGAACATCACACTGACCAGGGGCTGTGGGAATGCCCAGTGTGCAGCCAAGTCAGATGGCAGCTGTGGGTCACCTGGGGAGTGAGCGGCATTGGAGGTGAGGAGCACCTCAACTTCTGGCGTGTCCAGAGAACTGGAGAACCGCTTGGTGTGGAGAACCCGCACATCTGGTGTGAGAGGTGTGCGAGCAGAGGCACAAGAGTTTTCCTTCAGGCTGGAAGATCTAGCAGAGGATGGCACTGAGAGGCCGGGAAAGAGGCAGGGGAGGAAGGAGGGAAGAAGGAGGGACGTGGGGCAGGGGCTCAGGTCCTCTCTTACGGTTACAGGGTTGACAGGCTTGGACTGGTTTTAAGATACTATCTCTGCATGCTCTGTTGGGAGCTGATTCTGGGGGGGCCGCAGGAGGTGGGGAGTGGAAGCAGGAACACAGGGAGGCAGCTAGTATGTGGTTGCTAGGATGATAAACTGGGTGAGACCCCGCGGTGCTCTAGCCCAGAATGTCTAGAGTGAGGGAAAAATGGTTGAATTTGGAATATATTTTAAAAGCAGAGAAAACAGGATTTGCTGGTGGACTGGATATAAAGCGAGAGAGAAACAGAAGAGAAAAAGGGTCACAAGATTTTCATCTAGGCAAATGCTGACTAGAAATACCTTTTGTTCTTTAAATTTCTATCATGAAGTAATAGCTTAAAGTTTAAAAATGCTTTTCTGAGCCAGATGTAGTGGTACACGCCTGTAATCCCAGCACTTTGGGAGGCCTAGGCAGGAGCTCGCTTGAGCTCAGGAGTTCAAGACAGGCCCGGACAACATGGTGAAATCCTTTCTCTATATAAAATTTTAAAAATTAGCTGGGCACGGCCTATAGTCCCAGTTACTCAGGAGGCTAAGGAAGGGGAATCGCTTGAGCCCAGAGGTTGGGGCTGTACTGAGCCAAGATCGTGCCACTGTACTCCAACCTAGGTGACAAAGTGACAAAGCTTTTCTGAATCTCACCTCATTCTAAAAGTTCAAGAAAAATGATTTCACATAAAAATGAGCAAGATACAAGTATAAGACCAAATACAATAAAAAGTTATTGTTAGAAAAAGGGAATAGGCTGGGCACGGTGGCTCACACCTGTAATTCTCAACACTTTGGGAGGCCCAGCTGGGAGGATCGCTTGAGCCCAGGAGTTTGAGACAAGACTGGGCAACATAGAGAGACTCGTCTCCACAAAAAATAAAAATAAGTTAGCCAAGCGTGGTGGCACAAGCCTGTAGTCCCAGCTTCTCAGAAGGCTGATGGGGAAGGATGGCTTGAGCCTGGGAGGTCGAGGCTGCAGTGAGTCAGAATCATGCCACTGCACTGCAGCCTGGGTGACAGAGCAAGACTGTGTCTCCAAAACAAAGTGAGAATAAGGAACAAAATAACATCCCTATAGGCAATAAAAGCAGGCCAGAAAGATATGCCCCCAAAACATGTCAACCCTATAATCTATCATCTCAAAAGAAATTGAGTGAAATTAGAAAAATGATACAAGACGTGAAAGAACCACATAAATCAGACTTAGGAAAATGAAGAAACTAAATAAAGCTGAAGACAGAATTACAATGAAAACAAAACTACATTCCAATGGAGACTAAAACAGAGTGTAAAATCAAATAAACACAGTAGATGCTACCTTAAGACAAATAGGAAAAAAAGAGGAAGTTTTTAAAAAATAAACAGAGGTAAAAAGTACTTGAAAGAGAAAGTAACCAACACTAACTCTAAAAGGCATGAGGTATGCAACGCATGGAGAGTTACCAAGCGTCCCTAGAAAAGACTGCTAAGCAATGCTACAGAACAAACACTGCAGACTGCAATTCAAGAGAACATCCTGCAAAACAGACTTGGGATGACAGACTAAAAGAGCACCCCTTACCCGAGAACATCACAGAGAACAGGCACACGAACGCACATTCTAGTGAAATCACCGAAAAAACACACGCAGCTTCTAACCGAGAACATCACCGAGAACGGCCACATGAACATACATTCTAGTGAAAGCAACAAAACAACACATGCAGCTCCTAACTGAGAGCATCACCAAGAACGGCCACACGAACGTATATTCTAGTAAAACTACCGAAAAAACACACGTGGCTCCTAACCAAGAACACCACCGAGAACGGCCACACGAATGCACATTCTAGTAAAACTACCGAAAAAACACACGTGGCTTCCAACCCAGAACATTACCGAGAACGGCCACACGAACATACATTCTAGTGAAATTACTGAAAAAACACACTCGGCTTCTAACTGAGAACATCACCGAGAATGGTCACACCAATGTATATTCTAGTAAAATTACCGAAAAAACACACCTGACTTCTAACCGAGAACATCACCGAGAACGGCTACACAATCGTATATTCTAGTAAAATTACCAAAAAAACACACGCGGCTTCTAACCGAGAACATCACTGAGAATGGCCACACCAATGTATATTCTAGTAAAATTACAAAAAAAACACACATGGCTTCTAACCAAGAACATCACCGAGAATGGCCACACCGACGTATATTCTAGTAAAATTACAAAAAAAAAAAAACACACACGGCTTCTAACCGAGAACATCACCGAGAACGGCCACACCAACGTATATTCTAGTAAAATTACTCAAAAAACACACATTACTTCTAACCGAGAACATCACTGAGAATGGCCACACCAACGTATATTCTAGCAAAATTACTGAAAAAACACACGTGACTTCTAAGGGGGAAAGATGCTAACATTATCACACTTTCACAGAGGAAAAAGACATGATCCAAGGCTTTAATACCCAGAAAAACTACCTTTCAAATTCAAAGGACAAAAACTCTCATGGACAAGTCTGATCTCAGGGGCTAATGAGGAATTCACTAGAGTGCACTTCAGACCCCATGAGGACCAGTCAGTAAAACTAAGACTCGAAGACTGAAAGAAAGTATAGTATGTAACAGCTATTGTGCTCTTGTAGATGCAGTATAATTATTTTAATAAATTTGAAAAAATTAGGGCATATTCTAAGATTTTTAAGAATTTCAGTAATTATACTGATGTTGGCAGTATTGAAATTATATCCTAAGTCTGTCATGTATGCAATGTGGTTATGTTAAAGCAAATGAAAAATCATGAGATATTTTATCAAACACTCTTGGAACCAGGATTTGATATGGAAGAAAGGAGAGGCAGATGTAACAGAAGCACAGACCTTGTACTTTTGAATTTGAGTAGAAGGAATCAGCATATTAGCCAGGTGAGGTGGCATGTGCCTGTACTCCTAGCTACTCAGGAGGCTGAGGCAGGAGGATCACTTGAGCCCAGGAATTCGAGGCCACAGTGAGCTATAATTGCACTACTGCACTCCAGCCTGGGTGACAGAGCAAGATCCTGTCTCTAAACGAGTAAATACATAAATAAAATATAAAACAAAAGGAAAAAAATTTTAAGTATCAGTATGAACTCAAAAGAATCCAGGGTAGACCCCAGGTGAAGAGTGGCAACCTACAAAAAACTGAGGACACCTTCTGTAGACTGCCTGGATGCTACCGAAGAACACCGGAATCACTTTGGGAGCCACACTGAAGAGGCTGCCACTGTCTAGAAACGGATAATCTTAGCTTCAACAAAGATAATCACAATACAGTAAAACAATCACATATGTTTCAATCCATGAGCTCATAGTAATATTAAAAATAAACAGGTCACCTTCAAGAAATGATAGAAAACCAATTCATTCTCTGGTAAACAGAAGAAAGACTCAAGCTTTTATCTTGTCTTTCTCAGTGCTGTTTGCCTGGGCAACCAACTGTAGGATGAGGGGAAATGTCTCTTTACAAGAAAGTATTCCAGCTAATAAATAAGCAAGAAATGATTCCACTAGAATAGCACCATTTGTAGCCCCTCATGGGCCAACGGCCTCGGGTGCTAATAAGCCTCAGGGACTGCTGATGTCACAAAGGAAAGACAGGCAGGCAGGAGGTGCCTGCTGAGGCTGAGTCACAACCACTAAGGAGCTGGCAAAAGGGGCGGAACTTATGGGCCTCCGAATCGGGCAGCACCTTGCAGAAGGACGGGCCTGAGGAACACACTGAACAGCAGCACACGTGTCCAGTCAGCAGATCCAGGCTGCAGTGAAGCCTGCCAGATCAAAGGCCGGGGCCTCAACAATTTTCTTCTTAATAATTTTTCTTGAGTTGTTAAAAAGAAAAGGAAAAGAAAAAGAAAAGAAAGATACACACATGGGTAAAAGAAGCTGCCCAGAAATGCAAGTCAGTGATGGCTCAACATCAGGAGAGCATCACTCAGAGGGACGTCAGGGGACACGCTGAGGGCTTCCAGAATCTGCCACAGGTTATGTCTAGACCTGGGTCATGATGACTAGGGCATCTGTCTGATTATCATGAAGCTAAACATTTACTTTGTGTGACTTTCTGTGTCATGATTTATTGTGCAAAAGAAGTTTGTTGGAAAAGGGGAGAAAAATGATTCTAAAGCAAGTCTGTAACTTTTTTTTATAAAATGGAGACGGTTGTTTCTACTGAAGCAATTACAGAATCACATCATTCTGAAGGTGGGAAAGGCTGCAGCTCCCCCCTGGGGCCAGCCCCCGTACCTGGTATCTTCACTGTGCCACTGGTGGAGGTGTCGTCGGTGTAAGGGTGGCTACTCTCCACCACCACAGGCTGAGAAGAGAGGCGGCCGCTCTGCAAGTCTTGTGGCCACATCCTCCAACTCGGTGACACAGAGCTCCAACAGCATATCTGCCACCTGGGGAGGAAGCAATGACATGAATGAGGGGGCCAACAGCCCCACACCTGGTCACCTGCATGCCACCTCTGCCCGTCCTGCTCAGGAGCTCCACAAGGACAGCGTGGCAGAGTGGAGGGCTTGGAGTTTGAGAAACTGAGTTCAAATCAGGGCTTGGCTTCCTTGCACATAAAACAGAGACAGCACAGAGCTTGTAAGATGCTGTGAAGCTTAGAGATGATCTATATTAAAAAGTCGTTGGGGCCAGACGCTGTGGCTCACGCCTGTAATCCCAGCACTGTGGGAGGCCGAGGCAGGCGGATCACCTGAGGTCAGGAGTTCAAGATCAGCCTGACCAGCATGGAGAAACCCCATCTCTACTAAAAATACAAAATTAGCCGGGCATGGTGGCGCATGCCTGTAATCCCAGCTACTTAGGAGACTGAGGCAGGAGAATCGCTTGAACCTGGGAGGCAGAGATTGTGGTGAGCCTGAGATTGCACTATTGCACCCCAGCCTGGGTGACCCAAGCGAAACTGCGTCTCAAAAAAAAAAAAAAAAAAAAGTCATTGGGTGGAGCACAGTGGCTCACACCTGTAATACAAGCACTTTGGGAGGCTGAGGCAGGCAGATCACTTAAGGTCAGGAGTTCAAGACCAGCCTGGCCAATATGGGGAAACCCTGTCTCTACTAAAAATACAAATGATTAGCTGGGCTTGGTGGCCTGCACCTGTAGTCCCAGCTACTCAGGAGGCTGAGGCAGGAGAACTGCTTGAACTCAGGAGGTGAAGGTTGCAGTGAGCTGAGATCGTGCCACTGCGCTCCAGCCTGAGCGACAGAGAGATATTCTGTCTCAAAAAGAAAAGAAAAAAAAGTAGTTGGAAGGCTCCCAACACACACAACACTTAATATGTGCCAGGTGATAAAATGAAACACCGTGGTGACAATAGCTTCATTTTACACCAAGACAAAATTACTTCCTAGTGAGTAAAGTTGGCCTCGGAAACAAAAACATCAAGGGAAGGAGCACCCAGTACGTGAAAATGACCACAATCTTAGAAGGCAAGGGAGCCCAGTGGGAGGGGCGGGAATCAGGAACCATCAAGCTGCCCAGGCCAGACAGAGACAGGGAGAGTCTGTGACAGGAGGGACCACCAACCCCAACACAGCTGCCCCTCTTGACCCAGTACACTAGTGGTCAGACCCATACCACATTCTCAACAATCCACAGTGTTCTTATTTTATTTTAAAAATTATTGGTGATTCACATCTTTTACAATTCAAGTTAAGAGTGATTATAAGCTGTTATTTTTAAAAATAAATGAGAGAATACATCATAATAGCAATAATCTATTAACTCCAAAATTTTCAATCCAGAAAAAATAAAATTCTTCTAATGCCCATTCTATACTTTTTAGAAATAGATTATTCTTTTTTCAATTTTTCCTCACATTTAGGTAAGAAATAGCTTTGCTTAGTAAATATATTATATATTAATAACTAATATCATTGTCATATAGGCATGATTTTAAATCTAAATTTGTCTCTCTTTTTGAGTCGCAAATATCAGGTCAGGGCAAGACACAGAAATAGCCATCTTGCCAATCTGGCAAGGGCAGTATGAAAACGGCCATATCCTTATTCCTGTCTCTCCTGGAACCTGGTTGAGTTACTGAAAGCAGATGTTGGCATCATCAAGCGCCCATATGCAGAGTCGACCAGGGGCTCTGGCCTTCAGAAGGTTGCTCTGCCAAGCGCATCATCTGCAGAAGGGTCATGACGGAGCTGGGGCTCAGAGCACTCAGGGTTCCAACCCATCTCTTCCACCTACCAGAAAAGTGAGTGTCCTCAAGCCAGTAATAACCTCTCAGCCTCAGTGTCCTCATCCATATATAAAGGTAACCCCTCCTATCTGTACTGAGAATGCAGGGATGTGCATGGCAAATGCTCAGCATTATTATAAATCGAAGTTCTGATTCATACCCTTCCCTCTCACAAATGCAATAAACTTATGAAAAATAATAATAGTGCTTAAGGCAATTCACCTCGATTTCATCTCTCAGAATTACACCAAGTAACTCGTCTCAAAAAAGTAGAAAAAAGGAAGCCTACAGCTTTTTAGTTCTTCATGAATAGCAGATGAAGAAATAACAAGCCCCTAAAATATCCACCAAATAAATCTTTGCTGTGCTTTCAAGACTGCTCAACTCTACTTAAGTACTTTATCGTTTTGGTGATCATGTAAGTTACTAAAATTTCTGACTATCAGAGCTTTAACGTTTCAGAATTGCAGATAAAGGACTATGAACTTGCATTTAATGATTTTTTTTAAAAAATCTAATTCTACTTATAAACTTTAGAAGTTCTTTTAAAGACAATATTCTTCTAACTAAAGCCAAAAATCCTAACAGGCACAGAAACTGCCTAAACTGAGTGACAGAGTAAGACTTTCCTCCACACCAAGTAGCCACCCAGAGAAATGGATGAAGTGTCTGCAGCCAGGAAGGACATCTCATGCCCAGCCACTTTGTCTTTAACTTTGTAGTCTGAGGGCACTGTGCCTGTGAGGATATATAGGTCTTCCCCACTGCCACACTGTGGGGTCAAAGCCTGGTCCATTAGGCTGTTGAGATTCACGTACCACCATTCCTGGAAGGACTGAGTCATCGGGCTGAATTTGTGAGAATAAACGCGGCCACCTGGAGATCACTGCCAAGGGAGAAAGGGTACAGCTGTCCTCTTTGGTAATCAGAATCAAGGTAATCTGTATTCAAGGCTTGCTTACATCCCAGGCTGTTCTCAGAGGTGATGGCCTCTGCCTCATTAATCACCTCCTCAAGGTTGCTGTTGGGGTCATCGATCTGCGGCTCCACCTGCCATTTGGTAATTTCACAATACAAAGCGAAAAAAGAATGCCTCTTTACCTCTTCAGTTTTGGTCATGGTTTCTGCAAAGATGCTTGCAGCTCCCGGGTCATCCGTCACTGTGATAAATGGCCCAGCGGAGGCTGAGAGGGCCGATGGAGTCACTGCAGAGGGGGTCACCACGTCCTCAGAGGAAACAATCTAGTCGAACAGTGCACAGTAGGGGAAGTTTAAGTGGAAAAACTCAAAAACATAACACGTTTCCTACTCAAGTCCCAAATGCTTTATTTAAAACTACTTGGGCTGTTTGGAATGTTCCAGATTTTACAGAGGTAACATGGTGCCTACCCGACATAGCCACTACCACCCCCAGTCGGGCCTAGGACAATTGTGCAAAGTCGAGTACATTCATATTTTCAAGAAAAACTATTAATATTCACAGCAGGTCACATGAACCAGACTAAAATGAGTTCACGTATCTTCAAGTTGGTTCTTTCCCCCAAAGTAAGTTACTAAAGTTCAGAACTTTAAGGTTTCAGAATTGCAGATAAAGGACTGTGAACTTATATATATATATATATATTTTTTTTTTTTTTTTTTTTTTGACAGAGTCTTGCTCTGTCACCCAGGCTGAAGCGCAGTGGCGCGATCTCGGCTCACTGCCAGCTCTGCTTTCCCGGGTTCATGCTATTCTCCTGCCTCAGCCTCCCGAGTAGCTGGGACCACAGACGCCCACCACCAGCCTGGCTAATTTTTTGTATTTTTAGTAGAGACGGGGTTTCACCATGTTAGCCAGGATGGTCTGGATCTCCTGACCTCGTGATCCGCCCGCCTCGGCCTCCCAAAGTGCTGGGATTAAAGGCGTGAGCCACCGCGCTCGGCCATGATTTTTTTAAAAAAGAAATCTAATTGCACGTAAGCACTTTAAAAGCTCCTTCACCGAGAATATTCTTCTAAGTAAATCCAAAAATCAAAGCGGGAGGCACAGAAACAGCCTAAACTAAATGACAGGATGAGACTTTCCTAGGCACAAAGTAGCCACCTTTTCCTTTCTGATGTAACACTGCTTTACGATTCGCTTTTACCTCTCTCTTTTCTTGCCACGGATTTGGACTCAGTCTGTCTTCGATATCAACAGCCAGCATGCATTCTTCTCCATTCATGGGACTAGCCATCGCAAATGCGTCCGAAGCAGCCGCAGAGGGGCACTCCACCGGGGCGATCATGGCGGCCGGCATCAGGGCCCCCACTACGGCATCTCTGTCAGGACACAAAGCCAGGCCTGTGGTGAGCTGCCCCTTCTCCACTGCACCACAGGAAGTGGTGAGGCAGGACTAGCACGCACTGAGGCGTTTCCTCATTTTTACTGAATACATGTAGAAGAGTTTTGGAAAACTACCAAACATTATTACCATGTATCCTTTGGCTAATAGCTAAAATGTTTACTCTGGATCCTATTTATTTGAAAAACCAGAGTAATGACAGGTGAAAAACTGCCAAACATAAAAACCAGACCAGAATGAGACTCTGGCTCTCCCTGAGAAAGAAATCCTCTTGGGCTGCTGTGAGAGCCTGAGGGCTGGATAATTGACCAGCAGGCAATTTTGTGTTTACTGAAAGCCACATACTGAGCAGCAAGGACTCAATAGCCTCTACTGAATGTTTTTGTTCTGAAACTAATTTTCCTATGTAAGGACACCTGTCAGGTCCACATGTGTGATACATTAGCAGATGGGCAACTTATCTAGGCTGTGGGAAAGCAGCAGAAAAATACTGCAAAATGCTGCATTGGCAAAACAGCCTTCTCAAAGTGAGTGAAGGGGACGCTAAGTCGTCTTAGACATCACTATAAATTAGTATCACCTAATTCTTTTCTTCCCCCAAATATTAATGGTTAGAGTCTACTGGTCAAAAAGAATAGTGAAAATGTTCAAGTTAGTTTTCTAATTCATATTTCAATGCCTATTAAAACATGCACAAAGATATCAATCACCATCAAAGAACACGTGACTTACAACACACAGCATTTAAAGACAACAATACAACATTCTTGGAGACATCTGATCAATGAAAAAAAAATCACAAAAACCTGAAGCTCACATAATTGCAGAATTTCAAAAATTAGCACAGAAACCTACCTGGCATACATGATTTGCAATGCTGTAAGAATATGCGATAAGGCCTGCTGTTTGGCCAGGTTTCCATCCAATGACAAGAGAATCTTGGCAAGAGAAGGGTGATATGGCTTAGAATTACTTGCACCACTTATTTTATTACTGGCAGCAGAAGAATTGACATCTGAAGGCACGCCTATAACAGGAAAATAAAATTTGCATTTTGTTTTTAAGATCACAGTTTGCTCTATTTCTATAATATCTGACCTTATAGGTTAGTTCCAAAACACACTGCAATCTGCATTTTGCTATTTCACAGGGCACATATTAGGCTCATTAACAGGCCTTCAGAATAAGAAAACCACTTATCCATACTTCGATAAAGAAGCTATTTTCAGCAAAGTTTAACTGTAACTGCAAAAAGATGTAGGTGCTTTTATAAAATGCACTTACAACCGTTTATGTTATATACATATAAGCTATGAAAATGCTGCAATAACTACCTGTATTTTCTTACCCTGGTAAGGCAAGATGAAAAAAGAATACAAAACAACAAAGAGAGAAGATGTTCACCAATAAAGTCCCATCAGGCTCACTTCCCTGCGAACTCCCAGGTCTCAGTAGAGGGAGGGAGCCAGGTGGAGCTGGGACATGTGTCTATGTCAACTCATCCAAACTGATACACAGATTTAATGCAATTCCTACCAGAATTCCAGCAAGAGTTTTTGTCAAGAGACAAGATTATTCTAAAATGTATATGGAAAGGCAAAGGAGCAAGAATAGAAATAGAAAAATAAGAAGGAGGAACGAGTCTACCCAATTTCAAAAGTTGTTGTAATACCATAATCAAAACTGTGTGGTACTGGCATAAGAATCAAAGGAATAAACAGAGAACGCAGAAATAGAACCACACAAATATGCCTCACTGACTGTTGACAAATGGGCAAAAGCAACTCAGTGGAGGCAGGACAGCCTTTCAGCACGTGGTGGTGGAGCAACTGGACGTCTGTGGGCAAAAAACCCAAACTTCAGCCTAAGTCTACACCTTATGCAAAATTAAATCCAAATGGATCATGACTTAAGTAGAAAATACAAAACTATAAATCTTTTAGAAAAGAATAGGAGACAGTCTTTAGGATCTAGCACTAGGCAAAAGTATAGACTTGACACCAAAAGTATGATCTATAAAAGAAAAAACTGATGAATTAGACTTCATCAAAATTAAGCATTTTTTTAATGAAAGGAAATGAAAAGACAAGCTACAGACCAGGAGAAAACATTTGCATAACACATGTCTGCCAAAGGACTAGAAACATCTAGAATATATAATGAACTCTCTAAACTCAACAGAAAAAAAAAGCCAATTAGAAAAGGGCATGAAGACATATTTTACCAAAGAGGAGATATGGACAGTAAATAAGCACATGAAAAGATGGTTAACATAATTAGCCATAAGGAAAATATTAAAACCACAATGAGATACAATGACCTATCTATCAGTATGGCTACATTTTAAAAAGATAGTGAGGATATGGGAAAAACTGGATCATCCTCCACTGCTAATGAGAATATAAAATGGCACAGCGATTCTGGAAAACAGTTGAGCAGTTTCTTGTCAAACTAAACATAATTACCACGTGACCAGCAATCACACTCTTGGGCATTTATGTCAAGGAAATAAGAATTTATTTTCACAAAAAGTGAATTTTCACATTCACCTGTGTATGAATGACATGGCAGTTTTATTTGTAACAGCCAAAACCTAGAAATAATCCAGATGTCCTTCGATGATTGAGTATTCGATGGAATACTGAACATACTACGTAATATGTAACAACTTGGATGAATTGCCAGAGGATTAGGCTGAGTGGAAAAAGCCAAACTCAAAAGTTATACCATAATGTGACATGAAAAGAGCTATATGTTAAGAAGATACTGAGTAATTTGAACCAGAAAGGAGAAGAGGAGAGTCAAGCCTTATCTTCATCTACCCCAGAAAAGACAGCACAGGAAGGCGAAGCTACTCGCCCCAGTTCTTACAGCCAGTAACTAACACAGCCAGAAAGTCACATTCCAGTTTTTCATAAAAGCAGATGCTGCTGGAGCCTAAATGTCCCCTCCTGAGAGATAAGGGGAAAAAACAAAATATTTGTATGACAAGATGAGGTTCACTTTAAAAAAAAATTGTATTTATTTCTACATGCTAGCAAGGAGCAATGTGAATATTCCCATACAGTAGAAGAAATGATATTTTTAGAGACCATTTAATAATCTGAAATTCTTAGAGATAATCTAACAGAAGATATACAAGACCTATACAACACTGGGACTAGAAAACATTGCTGAGAGAAACTAAACACCTAACAAATAAAGAGAAACACTATGTTCATGGGTTAGAAGACTGAATACTGTGAATCCATCCTTTCACATTGACTTACAGAGTTAATGCAATCCATATCAAATTCCCAAGCAAGCGGTTTTATAAAAACTGACAAGCTCATTTTAAGTCATATGGAAATGCAAAGGGCCTGCAACAGCCAAAATATATTTGAAAAAGAACAAAGCTAAAAAACTGTTGCAACCTGAGTTCAAGCCTTTTATAAAGCTGTAGTAATCAAGACAATGTGGCATTGCCAACAAAATACACGAATAAATCAATGAAACATACTGGGAGTCCAGAAATAGATCCGTACATCTACAGACAACTGATTTCTGACAAAGGCAAAAGGCAATTCATTAGGAAAAGCATAGTTTTTCAACAAATACAACTGAAACAACTGGACAATCATGCCCAAAAAAGCCTTTCAATCTGAACCTCCCACCATATATAAAATTTAATCAACTGGTCATAGATACACATATCTAAAACTATAAAACTTCTATAACAGAACATAGAAGGAGAATCTTTATAATCTTGAGGCAAAGGTTTTGTAGACACAACATCAAAAGTACACTCTACAAAAGAATAAAATGAATAAACTAGGCTTCATCAAAATTAAAAACTTCTAATCTTTAAGATTCACCTGTGAAGAGAATAAAATGACAAGCCACATTGCCAGAAAATATTAGCAAATTCTATATTAGGCAAAGGACTTGTAACCCAGAATATATAAGGAATTCTCAAACTCAGTAAGAAAACAATCAACCTATTTAAATATAGGAAAAGACTTGAACAGACATTCACCAAAAAAGGTATCTGATTTGTAAATAAGCAAGATGCTTGAGATCATTAGTTATTAGGGAAATGCAGATTAAAACCACAACGAGATACCACTATACATCTGTCAATATAACTAAAATTAAAGACTGAACGTATCAAGGGTTGACAAAAATGTGGAGGATCTGGACCTCTGGAACATCCACTTTGCAAAACAGTATGTAGTGATCTTAAGAAGCTAGACATACACCTACCATATGATCCAACCACTCCTCTCTTAGAAGTTTACCCAAGAGAATTTCAAGTGGATGTCCATACACAAACTTGTACGGAAATGTCCATTAGCAATTTCACTTGTATAGTCAAAAACTGGAAACAGCCCAAACATTCATCAACAGAAAAATGGATAAACAAATTGCATTTGTTTATCTTAAGATACTATTCAACAATTTAAAAGAATAAACTATTGATACATGCAACATAAGTGAATCCCAAAATTATTATGCTGAGTGGAAAAAGTAAGATTTTTAAAAAGAGTATATGCTGTATGAGTCCATTTATAGTAAGCTGTAAAACATGCAAACTGGCCTGCCACAGTGGCTCCTGCCTATGATCCCAGCACTTTGGGAGGCCGAGGTGGGAGGATCACTTGAGCTCAGGAGTTCCAGACCAACCTGAGCAACATGGCAAAACCATGTCTCCACCAAACAAACAAAAATTAGCCAGGCATGGTGACATGTGCCTGTAGTCCCAGCTATTTGGGAGGCTAAGGTGGGAGGATCACTTGAGCCCAGGAGGTGGAAGCTGCAGTGAGCCGAGATCATGCCACTGCACTCCAGCCTGGGCGACAGAGTGAGACCCGGTCTACAAAAAAAAAGAAAACAAACAAATAAACAAAACACCCAACAAAACAACAACAACAACAAAAAAGAAAACATGCAAACTGATCTCTAGTGACAGAATTGGTGCATACGGCAGGAAGGAGGGAGTTAAAAGCAAAAGGGAGGGGTACAGAGGGCCAGAGAGGAACGCTGGGGTAGTGTATGAGTTCATTATCTTTGATTGTGCTGATGCTTTCATGGATCATACATATTCCAAAGTCAATCAAAATGCATACTTTAAATAGGTGCAGTTTATTATATGTCAATTATAACTGAATAAAGCTGTTAAAAAATACAAAAGAGCCCAGTACAGTGCCTGTATCTCTCAGGCAGTTATTAGGAGTCCTGTTTACACAGAAGGACAGCGCTGTGAGTTTACCTGATCATAAATACAAGAATCAGCAACATACTTTCTTCTAAAATTTTCATTCCAGCAGCATAAATCGCATGAGCGCACACCATAATTCTTCTGTGTCTTTAGATTCATAATGTAGTTAACACGGCACTACAACCTCTAATGTGTTGGCACAATTAAATAAATATAAGGTTGCTGTAACCTACTGGAAAATCTCAGAGAAGATGCAAATCTGTGTTACCTAAATAGGAAGCACCTAAAGGGTCCCTTGCAGTCTGGAAGAGGACGGGCTCGTGGACAGAGGGCGTGGCCACATCCATAGTTGTCCACGCCACACTGTGGGACGACCCACAAGCCACGCGTGTGATCTTCTGGCCTTCTAAGCCTTGCACGAGCGTGGGCTTCCTGTTAACCGTGGTCGTGCCATTGCCCTGCTGGCCGTGGTCATTGTCACCCCAAGCATACACCTGTTTATGAGGGGAAAAATGCTTATAATTTTTCAACATTTCAGGACATTTTCTTTAATGTAATTTTTACTTCAAAATGCTTAACGTGTATGCCATGGTAGTTGAAAGAATTGAGTTCTGAAAAGTAAAAACAAACCATTTCACAATCTTACAAAATGGCATCAGTGTACTACAATTCTGAAGAAAATCTAACCATGAAAATGCTTGCCAATAACCATAAAAAGAGTATTTTCTTAATATTAATCCAATTAATTCTGTTTTGTTGCAAGACACACAGAAGGTCTTCTCTTCAAAAAAGTGCAATAATTTTTTCCCTTTTACTTTGCAAAGAAAAATGACCAAAAATAATATGCTCATTTTTCAAGTAAGTTGCTCCTTGGCCTTATAGAATTATAAAGTATAATTCATTTTGACTAAAAAAACAGTAATGGTAATTTTGTTTTCATAAATAAAATTTTAAATTGAATATCCACAGGCCGGTCATAGCGTATGCTTCTCCAAGCAGAAGAGAGTGTAACACTTGTCAGGCACCAGCTCTGTCTCTAAAATGAGGCATGGATCCCTCCTGCCAGTTAGCAATTCTCTAAAGCAAAGTCTTGCTAATACCTTGCAGTAGGAGCATCTTCAAGAATAACAATCTTTTGGCCGGGCACGGTGGCTCACTCCTGTAATCCCAGCACTTTGGGAGGCCGAGGCGGGTGGATCACGAGGTCAGGAGATCGAGACCACGGTGAAACCCTGTCTCTACTAAAAATACAAAAAATTAGCTGGTAGCGATGGCAGGCACCTGTAGTCCCAGCTACTCGGGAGGCTGAAGCAGGAGAATGGCGTGAACCCAGGAGGCGGAGCTTGCAGTGAGCCGAGATCGCGCCACTGCACTCCAGCCTGGGCGACAAAGCGAGACTCTGTCTCAAAAAAAAAATAATAATAAAAAGAATAACAATCTTTCCACACACTTTTCACGTGGACTTCAGAGTGGGAACGCCTCTTTTCTGAGGACCCCGCCCCCAACCCCTGCTGCTAAGCAGGCAGATGCACCAGCGGGCAAAAGGGACGGGTCCCGCCCCCATGGTTCTTCAAGCAGTAAGACTCGGCTGAGTTCATCAACAGCTGCGATTTCAACAGGACGAGGGCCGTGTCGTGACCCCCAAGTCCCCCAAGTCAGGATGGCACGCCACCCCCAGGCCACCTGCAGCCTTACCTGCCCTGAGTCCATGACCGCCAGGCAATGCTGGGCCCCGACAGCCACATGCACGATCTTCTTCCCTCTCAGCCCTTCCACCACCTGCGGCTTCCGAACGTGCACGTCAGAGCGGTGGCCCAACCTGAAGTAATCCCCCTTTCCCCTGAGAGGAGGCCCGTGGTGGAGTGTTACAATACGGTTATGGTCTTACCATGCGATACAAGAAGACACTCATTGTCTCACATCTTTCACAGCCAGCTCAATGACATCACACACAGCACCCAAGGTCTTCGAACTTGTATTCAAAATCATACACCATTAATTCAAATTAACTTATTAAGTCAGCTGGGAAAAACCTTAATACCTTAATACATGTTCTACAATATTTAAGTTACTGTTGTAGGTTTTCATATAGACTGAAAATAAGACACACTACTGCAAACACCTATCCAAAGTCCTATCTGGTATACATCTTTCTTAAAGTGCCAATGTTGGCCAGTCGCGGTGGTTCACGCCTGTAATCCCAGCACTTTGGGAGGCTGAGGTGGGTGGATCACGAGGTCAGGAGATTGAGACCATCCTGGCTAACACGGTGAAACCCCATCTCTACTAAAAATACAAAAAAATTAGCCGGGCATGGTGGCAGACACCTGTAGTCCCAGCTACTCGGGAGGCTGAGGCAGGAGAATGGTGTGAACCCCGGAGGCGGAGCTTGCAATGAGCTGAGATTGTGCCACTGCATTCCAGCCTGGGCGATAGAGCGAGACTCCATCTCAAATAAATAAATAAATAAATAAATAAATAAATAAATAAATAAATAAATAGTGCCAATGTTATGACCAGAGGCAGCAAGGCCTGACACAGCATCCAAGGCCAGTCTGGGCACCTGCTCTTTTGCACATTAATATAATAAGCTTTAACAAGAAATACATGTTAACTTTCTCAGGATCAAAGGATTCAGAAGGCTATTTTGCTCTCATTTTATCCTTAGGCTTCAGCAGAAGAAACACTTCCTATAAATCTCGCCCAAACAGGAAAGGTAAGTGGCCTAAAATTTTTCTAGTATTTTCAAAATGACCCAGTTACAATAGGAAATTTCTTCTTGTACTATTGTCACTAATCCCGACTCAATATCCTTTAAAGGACAAAGATGCATGCATAAGTAAAAATATGACAGGTCACAATCATGCCGGGGTGGTCCTGGGGCGAGGCCCAAGTTCCCTGCACGCACCGGCACAAGCACGCACACTGTGATGGGGAGGACGTTTACGTACCATGTCCACACCACTCCAGACTTGGTGAGCGCCAGTAGGAACTGAGCTCCACACTCAATCTGGCACACCCCCTGTCCATTTAGTCTCTCAATGTTCTGGGGAATGTTGCAGCCTTCACTTCCGCCCCGGCCCAATTTTCCAAAGTCACCATCACCCCAGGAAAATACCAAACCTAGGTTTAAAAATAGGGAAGGGAAGGGAAGGGAGAGAAGAAAGGAAAGATAAAGAAAGCCCAACCTCCTTCCAAAATGTCATGAGAATCTTGAGCACATATGGTCCTTGGCATGACCACATGACCTGCAGAGCCCCTGTTATAGAACTCATTTTTATATTTTCCTTAGTATAACAGTTAATGTAATATGTCATTTTTGTTAATAGTGTCTTTTTGTCATTTTACTTTTTAAAAGATTGTATTGAAATATACATACAGGAAAGTGCATCTATCATAAGTGTGCAAATTGATGAATTCTAAAATCTTTATTGTACCTGTTTAGCACCTAGATTGACACTGAACATAACTAACAACCAGAAATCTCCGTGTACTCCCTTCCTGTAACTACCCCTGCGCCCGACCAAATCACTCTCTTCTAACAGCATAACTTTGTGTGACTAGCTTTTTTAATGTAAAAGAATGAAATCTACAGCATGTATTCATTTGCATCTGGCTTCTGCCACCCAACATTATATTTGTGGGATTCATTTGTACAGTTGCATATTAGTTTGCAGATCCCTCACTCTCGTTTCTATATGGTATTATATTGCATAAACGTACCACACTTTATCTAACTACTGTTAAATATTTGTGCATCTTCTACTTGGGGGCGATTTCAAATAGTGCTGCTATGAACATTCTTGTAAATGTCTTTTGGTGAACATATGCAACACATATATGCGTTGTTGTTGGTTCCCAGGAGGGGCATTCCTGGGTCATAAACAATGCATGTGTTCAGGTTTAGTACAGTATAATGCCAAACAGGTTTCCAAAGTGTTTGTGCCACTTTACATACCCGCCATTATTGAAAAAGAGTTCTGTTTGCTCCACATTTTCACCAATACTTGATATTTTGTTTTTTTTTCTTTTAAACCGTACTAGTGGGTGTGCAGTGATATTGCAATGTGGTTTTAATTTGCATCTTCCTTGTGACAAATTAACCTTGATTACTGTAAGCCACTTGGAAATGTGATTTAAATTCATATAAAGATATAGTAGCAAAACACATAGTAAGTTACTTTCATATCCAGAAAGTTTAGATAGAATGATTTCTATGTAAGCTTTTACTGTGTAGTCTGAGTCCATGAATATTGATTACAAAAAACACATCTGTAGGTGAGTTACAATACCTCACTTATAATTCAAAATTCATGTTGTGTTAGCTCAATATTTTTCAAATAATTTTTGCATGCAATTTTCACCTTCTTTCTGAGTAGTTTCAGGTATTTTGTATGGTTCCAGCAGTCAGTTAGGTTGCCATTGTTTGGAAGCACACATCCACGTATCTGCACCATGATGATATGACACGCCCATACCCCCCATTTCACATTTTGTCAGAAGTGCATAGTTATCACTAACTTTGCCAGTAGAAATGTACTCCCAATTTCCCACGGACTTATCTTGAATAATCTCTCCACTGAAGCATAACAGGTTTTGAATTCTGTTAGAATAGTTGTTTTTACTATCTTTTAATTTTATACAAATTTCAAAGTTACGTAATACTTTTATTTAAAAAGTCAAACAAAGCTTTTCCTCTCCCTTACCCACATGTTAGCCCAGCAGAGGGGGAAAGCATTGGCCCCAGGCCAAAATCATAAACGCTTTCAATTAACTAATAATAATTGCTGGCATGTTGCCATTAAATATCCTTGTCTCATTATCCCTGGTTGCTTCATCAGACCCATAGGTCACTGAAGCCCACTTTTGAGACAAAGACTATTTCTCCCCCAAAAGTCAAGGGAAATATAAAAAGTGAAATTAGTGATTAAGCATAGAAGTCAATTAATACAATCATTTTGTCTTAATTATTTAAAGTCCAGTTTTTTTCCTCCAGCAAACCTGAAAATACACTATCCTCCAGCTATCAGAATTATATTGAGATCTACTCACATTTATGATGATGTTCAGAGATTCATCATTGGGAAGGAAAATGCACACGCTGCGGCGGTCTTGCATGACTCTGTTGTGGAAATTCAATTTGTTCATTGTGTTTTGGGCTCTCTGGGTGGTCAGGGCTGGGCTCTGGGTCCTTGGCAATTCCTCAGGTTCCCAGCACTCCAAAGCCAAGCTCACCTCCTCATCACACGCCCTGCAGGAGAAGCATCAGGGTGTCCGACTACGTGGGTTTCATAGCTGTGGAAAAGCCAAAGGGGAGACTCCTGAAGAAAGGCGGTGAAGACTGTGAAGAGCGGGTCAGGAAGATGAGCACAGCACTGCTACTCCTGTGGGCACAGGGACAGCATGTCTCCAGCCAGCGCCACCTTGTTTAATACATGGGAACTCACTGAAATTCATTCTGTATTTTGCCCGCAAAGTTTTAAAGCTTTCATCCACAGTCAGGAATTAAACTTATACCAATGAGAGCCTCACACATTCAAGGATGTACTAAGCACTACAGGCCTCACAGAAACAGAGATCCCATCTTGGAGTTTTCAGTCCCACATGGGAGATAAAGGGTTTTGAACATGAAATGACAAAAACAACAGCAAGAAGAAAATTCTCGTCCTTTTTCATTACTATCAAACTCAAATAAATGTCTTGGCTCTTACATTACATTCATTCTTCAACCATTGTGGTCTGGCTTCCACTTCCTTCACTTCACCAACATGGCTCTGCCAAAGGAAGCCTGTGATCTCTAGGCCATCACTTTAATTGATCTCTCTACAACATTTATCCTGGTCGTTAAGCCCTCCTTACAACATTCTTCTCTCTTTGTTTTTATGGCTCTGTCTCTCCTGCTTCTTTAACCTGATAATGCATACTTGATTTTTCCATTTATTATTTCATCAACCAATTAATACACAGATAAAACAAGACTGTGTATATCAAACCATGTTTGTATAGAAAAAATGGATTTTGGATGCCTCTCATATGTAATTAGTTCTATTAAACATATTAATTGTATTGTTTAATTTATCAGGTTTTTGACACAGAGAATTTTGTTTGCAAGTAATAAAAATTTTATCTCCAATTTTCAATAATTACACCCATTATTTCTGTTTTATGTCTCATTGCATTGGTGAGATCTTGCAGAATAATTTTAGAACAGTAGTGGGTATTTTCTACTTTTAATGGGTGTGTCTAGTATTTCATATATTGTTGCTTATAGAACACTATTCAACCAAGACATGTCAAGACTAGTTGTCTCTCAAACCATTAGTATTTATATTATTCCTTTCCAGCTACATTTGTGGGATGTAAAAGACCATTTCCAGGAATATGGAACTGTTTTACTAGGTGGAGGGTATATATAACCATACAATAGTCACAGAAACTACATTAATACTCACATAAATCAAAGCATAAATGACATAGAATCTTGGCAGATTTGCTTAAGGTTAAATGTATAACTCTTATCAGCAGGAGGTGAAAGAATATATTCTTAGATACTTGGCACATTTAGAAAATATAATCTAATATTCTTTTTAAAGAACAGGCCGGGCACGGTGGCTCACGCCTGTAATCCCAGCACTTTGGGAGGCCAAGGCGGGCGGATCACGAGGTCAGGAGATCCAGACCATCCTGGCTAACACAGTGAAACCCCGTCTCTACCAAAAATACAAAAAATTATCTGGGCATGGTGGCGGGCGCCTGTAGTCCCAGCTACTCGGGAGGCTGAGGCAGGAGAATGGCGTGAACCCAGGAGGTGGAGCTTGCAGTGAGCCGAGATCACGCCACTGCACTCCGGCCTGGGCAAAAGAGCGAGACTCCGTCTCAAACAAACAAACACACAAATAAATAAATAAATAAAACCTCATCTACAAGGGAATTACTTGAAATTAAAACAAATGGTAATCATATATATGGTACTTCATTATTAGGAAGGTGGCTAAAAGCCCATTTAGACATATTCTGCTTTTCTTAAAGAATAATAATAGTTTCATGTTAGGTTATAGCCAGCACAGCACCTCGTGGGGTCATCAGAGGCCTGTGCTATCATTCTCACTAGGATGGATGGTTAACCCATGTGTTCTAGGACCACAAACTATGCCCCAATCTACTCATCCATCTAGAAAAAAAGGCATGCTTTTAGTTCAACAATTCCAAAGCATCAGTTGGAGGACCAGTGTTGGCTGCATCAGAATCACCTGGGTGTTTGTAATAAATACAGAATCCTGAGCAGGTATTCTGGCATTTCTATTCTTACAGAATCTCCAGGGTCAGGGCCAGGTATTTCTGATGTGTAGCAACAGATGGAAACCACCACTTCAGTTAGCAGAAGGAAGGCACTGAGCAGAGGGTTGAATATAATACATTGGAAAAATATCTTAAAGATAAAGAATTGGGAAAAAGTAATATATGTGAATATCACATCATCATTATAATAGGAAAAAACAAGGTCCTCAACATTGTCAAAGGTATAAATTCCTAAAACAGGTCCAATTCGTGTTCTCAAAACATTTTCCTGAAAAATGTTACTAGGTGGTATAGGGATAAATAGGTTTGCAAAGTACTGTACCCTCTATATATCTTGTCTCAGAAATTCAGAAAGTGTTAAAGACTCTGAGAAGTCCTGAAGGCAACTTCTTATATTTAATGCAGTATATCTCAAACTCACTTGAGCACACAATACTTTTTTCCCCCGAGGCATATCTATTAAGGTCCTATAGAACAATATTCTTAGGCATACCATTTAGAGATACAATTCTAAAATGATTTTATCAAATATTATATTTCATGGCAAAGTTTTTCCCTGTATATTGATATATTCCAACACTTAGTCTTCCTTTTTGCAATATAAATCTTTTCAAGAGGAAATTATAAGCATTGATTAAATGCATCTTAAATTCAAAACCTTAAATAATATTCATCCCAGTATAATTCTTCTTATTGAAATCTATACTTCAAATTGAGTTAGTCCTATAATTTTTCACTTCTAATTAAACCAATTAAAGCAGGGTATGTCTACTGACCTACTTTCCAGAATTTAAAAAATAAACTAGGAAAAAATATCTTCTGAGCTGTGGGATGTTTCCAGAGCTTCATTAAAATAACTTGAAATTTTCATTTGGGTACAATTTTTGTTTATTTTATGGTTCAAATATGCAGCACAAAAGATGACTGGAAGAGGATTATTGAATCAAATTTAATAAAAGCAGAGTCTATATGAGGCAGTGCTGCTTCATTGCTGCTTTTTCTGCTTTGAGGATGGCAAACTAGAAAAGCCCTTAGATTAAGTTTTTACTTTACCTAAGACAGCATTAAAGCTGATTAAAAGGTTCCACTGAAATGGCAAAATGGCCATATCTCTAATAAGCGCCAGTTTAAAACTTAATCTTAAATTGGGCAGTCCTGGGGAAAAGAATTAGATTAAATTTATACCAATTTGAATTCTAGAAGTCAGTCTCATAGCAGCCATTGGCTACTTATACTGTGTGCTAAACTAAATCTCAACTCAGTCCCAGGAGGACACATTTCCTACTACAGGGCAACCCTTTTCCACCCAGTGATCTTAGGATTGATTATCTATGAAGGGTAGACCATGTGGTAGTAACATATTTTCCAGGGAACAAAATAAATCAGAATTAATAGTGATCAAACCCCACCCAGCCTCTTTATTAATACCCAACTTACAAAAACATATTTTAAGCTGTACAATTCCTCCACTGGAAATTTAAGCGCACATTATTATGAGTTCCTTATTTCCTGATAAGTCCCAATGGTTACAAAATTACTCAGTTTCTTTGAAGAATCAGGAAGCCACCACCCATGGGCATTCAATGCTGATTGTCATTTTTAACAAATTGTGGGAAATAAGCTTTAAAACTGGGTCACTACCCCTAAAAGTATGCAGTTTAGTTATAATATATCAATATTGATTTGTTAGTTGTGACAAATATACCATAATCATGTAAGATGTTAGCAACAGGGGAAACTGGGTGCCTGTGTGGTACACAGAAACTCTCTATACCACCTTTGCAACTATTTTCTAAATCTAAAACTATGCTAAAATTTTTTTAAATTTAAAAATTAAAAGTAGGTCACCAGAAATTTCCTACCCACGTAATATAGTCTATTTTGAATGTAGGCAAAAGAGGATTCTCAATTCTAGGACTGTCTCTCTAAAAAAGTAAAAAGCTGGCAATTTGATAAGATTACTGCAAGAGAAGCATGACTAAGTAGGCATATATCAACAGTCAATATGGTACCTTTATTACCTAAGAAAAACAAGGCAAAAATTTATCTTGGAAAACTGGATTGCAGAGAACCCTATCTTCTAATTTAATCATCACACACTTATATAGCTCATGTTACACACACAGTACGGTAATATTTATTTGCTGAAAAGCAGAATACGAAAGCATTAGATACTCCCCCTCCACCTATGAGTTCACCATCTAGTTAAGTACACGTCACTGCCAAGAAGCTTAAAATGAATAGTATTGTCCCCGATTTCTAAGAGCACACATACGCTGACGGGCAACTCTCATGCCAACCTCAAAGGAAGGTAGAATGGATAACAGCGTTAAGTATACAAATACTGTGCTGTGAACACTGTAGCTAAGACCATTCTGGAATAAACACTGTATCATCTTTAATGTATAGTATCCTATCCCAAAAGTGATATCAAAATGTCTTTAGTAAAATGAGTTCTGTTCTTCTTCATTCTTTCATTCAGCACCTACTGTCTGCCAAGTGCTGCTGTATATGCTGAGCACACTAACAGCACTAACAAAAATACCCTGCTCTAATAGAAACAGACAATAAGCATATGACGTAGATGGTGTTATGTACTATGAAGAGAAATAAGCCCAGAGTAGATGAGAGTTGATGGAGTTGTGTCTTAATTTGCCTTATTTTACATATATTTAATGTATTAATAAAATCGTGCTGACATCCTATGTGGAAAGGTTTACTGAAAATTTGAGAGACAGAGAGAGAATGGCTGATCTGTAGAACATGGGTACTGTCTAAAAGAACCTTCACTGATTCTTTCAAACTTTTCCAGAGATAAACTTAGACTCATTTTGAAAGTTGCTTTATTACCAAAAAATTGCCACTCCATGAAAAGTTCAGCACTTGATGCCAATAGGTGTGACAACAAAAAAGCAACTTCGGCATCACATATATGGTCAGGAAAACCATCAGAAACTAAGAGATTTTTTTTTTTTTTTTTTGGTGACAGAGTCTTGCTCTGTCACCCAGGCTGGAGTACAGTGTTGCAATCTGGGCTCACTGCAACCTCCGCCTCCCCGGTTCAAGTGATTATCCTGCCTCAGCCTACCGAGTAGATGGGATTACAGGCGTGCACCACCACACCCCAAAATGAGGTTTCACCATGTTGGCCAGGCTGGTCTCAAACTCCTGACCTCAGGTGATCCACCTACCTCTGTTGCAGGAAGTCAGGGACCCCGAACGGAGGGACCGGCTGAAGCCATGGCAGAAGAACATAAATTGTGAAGATTTCATGGAGATTTATTAGTTCCCCAAATTAATACTTTTATAATTTCTTACGCCTGTCTTTACTGCAGTCTCTGAACATAAATTGTGAAGATTTCATGGACACTTATCACTTCCTCAATCAATACCCTTGTGATTTCCTATGCCTGTCTTTACTTTAATCTCTTAATCCCGTCATCTTCGTAAGCTGAGGAGGATGTATGTCACCTCAGGACCCTGTGATGATTGTGTTAACTGCACAAATTGTTTGTAGAGCATGTGTGTTTGAACAATATGAAATCTGGGCACCTTGAAAAAACAACAGGATAACAGCAATGTTCAGGGAACAAGAGAGATAACCTTAAACTCTGACTACCAGTGAGCCAGGCAGAACAGAGCCATATTTCTCTTCTTTCAAAAGCAAATGGGAGACATATCATTGAGTTCTTTTTCTCAGCAAGGAACATCCCTGAGAAAGAGAATGCGTCCCTGAGGGGAGGCCTCTGAAATGGCCACTTTGGGGACGGCTGTCTTTTACAGTCACAGCAGAGGGAAGAAATAAGCCCCGGTCTCCCATAGCGCTCCCAGTCTTATTAGGATGAGGAAATTCCTGCCTAATAAATTTTGGTCAGACCAGTTGTCTGCTCTCAAACCCTGTTTCCTGATAAGATGTTATCAATGACAACGCGTGTCTGAAACTTCATTAGCAATTTTAATTTCGCCCCAGTCCTGTGGTCCTGTGATCTCGCCCTGCCTCCACTTGCCTTGTGATATTTTATTACCTTGTGAAGCATGTGATCTCTGTGACCCACACCCTATTCGTACACTCCCTCCCCTTTTGAAAATTGCTAATAAAAACTTGCCGGTTTTACGGATCAGGGGGCATCACGGAACCTGCCCACATGTGATGTCTCCTCCGGACACCCAGCTTTAAAATTTCTCTTTTGTACTCTTTCCCTTTATTTCTCAGACTGGCCGACACTTGGGGAAAATAGAAAAGAACCCATGTGAAATATCGGGGGTGAATTTTGCCCGATACACCTCAGCCTCCCAAAGTGCTAGGATTACAGGCGTGAGCCTTCGCGCCCGGCCAATAACTCTTTTTTTTTTTAAACATTGAAACAACATAAATATGGAAATGAACTACTCACATATGTTATTATATTGCCCATATCCTTCTGCAGCTTGCCTTTTTTACCCAAAGTTTTCTTCATGAGATTTACCCATGTTAATTCTTTTTAATCTAGTATGTTCATGTTTAATTGCTGTATAATATTCCACCACATGGATATGAGTTTAATTATCCAATCTCTTGTTGGTTAACTTACATTCTGCATCATCTTGTATTACTGCAAACACTACTGTGATAAACAGTTATTCCAAATTTCTTTGTACACATGTATTTTTTTGCTCAGGTATGTGCATCTTCAACTTCATTAGAGATTATAAAATTGCGCTCCACTTTACCTAGCTGAGTTTCCACTGGCCCATATCTCTGCCAGCAATTCTGTCAGACTTATATTTTTGCCACTCTGAAGATGACAGAATAGTCATTTTAACTTTCAATTTATCCATGAGTTTCTGGTTCAAGTATCTTTTCCCACGTTTACTGACCATTCCAATTTCTTCCTCTGTAAAGTAACTCTTCACATCCTATGCCCATTTTGTCTTAAGTTTTCCTTTTCATTATTAGGCTATTTTTCATATCCTGGATACTAATCATTACAAAAAGTTTCCCTACAACAAGATCACAAAGACAGTTAGGTAAATTTTCTTTGAAATTTTTTCCAGTTTTCCTTTTCATATTTTAGTCTTACAATGTCAGAAAAAAAGACCTAACACTCAAATGTCAAAAAAAACCTAACTGAATAAAAAAGTGGTACATCCACACTACAAAGTACTAATTTAAAAAAAGATGAAGAACATTTCTATAAACAGATATGAAGTCATCTCTGAGAGAAGTTTAAAAAGGTGCAAAATGGGCCGGTGCAGTGGCTCACACCTGTAATTCCCAGCACTTTGAAAACATTCTGAGAGGCTGAGGCAGGTGGATCGCCTGAACCCAAGAGCTCGATATCAGCCTGGGCAGCATGGCAAAACTCAGTCACTACCAAAAATACAAAAAAAATAGCTGGGTGTGGTGGCACACACCTGTGGTTCCAGCTACCCTGGAGGCTGAGGTGGGAAGACAGCTTGAGTCTAGGAGGCAGAGGTTTCAGTGAGCCAAGATCACCCCACTGTACTCCAGCCTCAGTGACAGAGTGAGACCCCACCCCAGGTCAAAAAACAAATAAAGTGCACAATGGTATATGCTATCTTTTATCTAAGGGAGGGAGAAAATATTCCTGTCTCAGTCTCCTGAGTGGCTGGGACTGCAGGCTGAGCCACCATGCCCGGCTAATTTTGTATTTTGTATTTTTTTTTTTTTTTTTTTTTGGTGGAGATGGGGCTTCTCCATGTTCATGGGGCTGGTCTCAAACTCCCGACCTCAGGTTATCTGCCTGCCTCGGCCTCTCATGGTGCTGGGATGGGAACAGGAATTAAAAGAAATTAAAAAATGTGTAAACAAAAACTCAGTTGTATGTAAAAAAACCCAATTCCCCCTGAGAAAGAGAGGAGCTGGAGTCCTTCAATAAAAACTACTACCTCCTGTTTTTCTATGGCAGTGAGCCTTATCTCTCCTCCCTTCCCGGGCATTATAAAAACCCTAATTCCCTAACTGTACAACTGCAAGGTCACTAAACTAACTCAAGTTACAAAATATATTTTTCCTAAAAAAGGAAAAAATAATATAATGCATGATTCAACTGAACAATTATCTTTGTTTCTCACTTCTATCATATGCTTCATCCTGCACAGATCTACCCCCACCCCATAAAATGCTTAAAATGTAAGTCTTGTTCAGAACTCAGTGCTTTAAATGTTAATCCGACTGGGCCAATGCACGTAAATAATTAATTAATAACCTCCTAAACCCCATCAGTCTCTCTAATTCCTTAAAAATCCTGCTACAGGATTGTAAGCATGAGCCACCGGGGTGCTGGGATTGCAGGTGTGAGCCACCGCACCCAGCCCAATTTATTAATCAGAAAAGAATAGATTGGCCTGGTGTGGTGGCTCACGCTTGTGATCCCAAGAATTTGGACAGCCGAGCGTGTTGGATCCCTTGAGCCTAGGAGTTCCAGACCAGCCTGGGCAACATGGTGAAACCGGGTCACTTTTTTTGTTTGTTTTTTGTTTTTGTTTTTGTTTTTTGAGGCGGAGTTCTGCTCTTGTTGCCCAGGCTGGAGTGCAGTGGTGTGGACTCAGCTCGCCGGGCCTCTGCCTCCCGGGTTTGGGTGGTTCTCCTGCCACAGCCTCCCTAGTGGCTGGGATTGCAGGCGTGAGCCATCATGCTCGGCTCTTTTTTTATTTTTTTGGTGGAGATGGGGTTTCTCCATGTTGGTCAGGCTAGTCTCAAACTCCTAATCTCAGCTTATCTGCCCGCCTCGGCCTCCAGGGGTGCTGGGATTTCAGGCATGAGTCACCACGCAAGGCCCAATTTATTAATCATAAAGCAACTGATCGGCCTGGCATGGTGGCTTATGATTCTGATCCCAGGATTTGTATGGCTGAGCGTGGGGGATCGCTTGAGCCTAGGAGTTCCAGGCTGGCCTGGGCAACATGATGAAACTTGGTTTCTCTTTTTTTTTTTTTTTTGAGACAGAATTTCGCTCTTGCTGACTGGCTGGAGTGCAGTGGCGTGGTCTCGGCTGCCTGTGGCCTCCGCCTCCAGGTTTGGTTGGTTCTCCTGCCTCAGCTTCCCAAGTGGCTGGGATTGCAGGTGTGAGCCACTATGCTCGGCTTTTTTTTTTTTTTTTTTTTTTTTTTTTTTTTGGTAGAGACGGGGTTTCTTCATGTTTGTCAGGCTGATCTCAAACTCCCGACCGCAGGCGATCCGCCCGCCTCGGCCTCCCTGGGTGCTGGGATTGCAGGCTTGAGTCACCATTCCTGGCCCAATTTATTAATTAGAAAGGAATAGATTGGCCTGGAGTGGTGGCTCATGCTTGTGACCCCAGGAATTTGGACGGCCGAGCGCGGCAGATCGCTTGAGCCTAGGAGTTCCAGACCAGCCTGGGCAACACGGTGAAACCTGGTCACTTTTTTTTTTTGTATTTTTTTTTTGAGGTGGAGTTACGCTCTTGTTGCCCAGGCTGGAGTGCAGTGGCGTGGACTCAGCTCACTGGGCCTCCGCCTCCCCGGTTTGGGTGGTTCTCCTGCCTCAGCCTCCCGAGTGGCTGGAATTGCAGGTGTGAACCACCATGCCTGCTAACTTTGTATTTTTTTTTTTTTTTTTTTTTAGTATAGACGAGTATTCGCCACATTGGTCAGGCTGGTCTCAAACTCCCGACTGCAGGTTATCCACCCGCCTCAGCCTCTCGGGGTGGTGCGATTCCAGGCATGAGCCACTGTGACCGGCCCAATTTATTAATCAGAAAGGAATAGATTGGCCTGGCGTGGTGGCTCACGCTGGTGATCCCAGCTGGGACTTTGGACGGCCGAGCACTGAGGATCGCTTGAGCCTAGGAGTTCCAGACCGGCCTGGGCAACGTGGTGAAACCGGTCTTTTTTTTTTTTTTTTTTTTGAGGCAGAGTTTCGCTCTTGTTGCCCAGGCTGGAGTGCAGTGGCCCGGTCTCGGCTCCCCGCGGCCTCTACCTCCCGGGTTTGGGTGGTTCTCCTGCCTTAGCCTCCAGAGTGGCTGGGATTGCAGGCGTGAGCCACCATGCCAAGTTAGTTTTTTATTTTTTTATTTTTTTGGTAGAGACTGGGTTTCTCCATGTTACTCGGGCTGGTCTCCCGCTCCTCACCTCAGGTGATCTGCCGGACTCCACCTTCTGGGGTGCTGGGATTGCAGGCGTGAGTTACTGCGCCTGACCCCGACACCAGGTCTCTTAACAAAAAAACAAAACAAAAACCATAAAGATTAGCCTGACCTGGTGGGCCCGGCGGGCAGTCCCAGCTACTCTGAAGGCTAATGTAGGAGGATTGCTTGAGCCAGGGGGTGAAGGTGGCAGTGAGCCATGTTGGCGCTGCTGCAGTCCAGACTGGGCGACAGAGCGGGACAGTGTCTCAGGAAAAGGGAAAGGAAAAAAAAATAAAGAAAAAGAAAGTGTATAAAATTGCTAAATCAGGGAACAGCTTAAGAGTATATTATTGAGAGAAATAGAGGCAAAGGTGAGCAGACACCAATGTTCACTTAGTGGAACTGCAGGTATCTCTAGACAGGAGGCGGCTACTTTTCCAAAAGAAATCTACTACTGACTTAAAAAAAAAAAAAAGGTGGTTTGTTACAATATACAAATAGCTAAACTTTATATAGCCACCACCCTCTTCTAGCACTGCTCTAAGCCTTTTCCTGCTCTGAAAGAGCTACTGTTACCTCCATTGTAGAAAAAACAGATGCCAGAGGTTGTTGTGGAAGGACCACGGAAACTATGAAATTTACTTGTAAGTTTCGGACTTAAAGGTTCTTCCTGCTCTGCTCCATACACTGCAACATTTTAGTTAACACACCTCTTAAAATACTGGTCCTTTCTGTATTTGGAGAGACTCATATTGCAGTTTGAAGTTTTTTCTGGCACTAAGCATTTGGTCATAAGCTCATTTGTGTTTTATGACAGGTTTAAGTACCTCTTCAGACATTGTTCAGTTAGGAATGTAAATATGAGCAAACAGGTATCTGAAATAGATAACCTAGAAAAAAATCACTTATGAGAAAGTCAAGAAAATGTAAACTCTGAATTTGTGGCTATTTTCAGAATGTATTTTTTGGTATTTAATGGCATTATGAGTATATTCATTTTTTAAAATTCCTTGTCTTCTACAGATACATATAAGGTAATTTAAAAAATGATATGATATATAGGTTTTACTTCAAAATAATTCAGAGGAAGAAGGAATGTATATAAATGAAGTGGGAATACAAATGGAACAAAACAGGATGTGGCCAGGTGGCCTCTCCTTGGGCAGAGGAGGTGAGGCTCACCTCACAAAGATCTTTGGAGAGAGGGAGGCGGGGATCTGAGCACAGTGGGAGCCCCCCTCTTCCAGCCTGCCCACCCCGCCTGAGGGCTCCACTCACCACCATGCTTGCCTGCAGCCCCAAGCTCCTGGGGGGCTGGGGCTCCTGGACCGGGCTCATCAGCAGGGTTCTGGGCAGTGGCCAGGAATTTTCTGTGCCCATTGTTGTAGTTGCTATAAGCCGCAACACCATCTGCTGCAGCTCCAGCAGCTTCACCTGGAGGGAGGGGTGCTCAGCTGCCATGCCGCTGCCTGCGCCCACCCTCACACCCACCCCCACCCCCACAGAGATGTTGCACACCCTACCTTCATCTCCTCCCTGAGCTCCAGCCTGATGGTGTCCTCCTACCAGTGCCGCATCTTTGGCACGGCCCCCTGGTTCTGATAAAAGGTGATGGATTTTCCTGCGGGAGGACAGGGCTCAGACGCTGGGGCCCCTCCGACGGTCCTGCAGCTCCCCCTGCCGTGCCCTGGCCTCCCACTCACTGATGGCATCTATCTCGCCAGTGGTGGATGAAGCAAAGTTCTTTTTTCTTCACCAGCTCACTCAGGTCTGCCTTCTCCTCCAGGTGGTCCATAAAGCTGCTCTGGAGCCAAAATATTGCAGTCACATCTCGGCAGCGACCTGCCCTCAGGTGGCATTTTCAAGTCATGGAGAAGGCGGAGGTGAGTCCTGGCATGGGCCAGCTTCTCCGTGACTTCCTGCAGGGCCCGGTGGGTCTCCCCACTCACAGACTCGCCCCCAGGCCCTGGGGCTCCAGGGCCTCTGGCTGCCTCTGGCTCCTTCTGGGCCGAGGCCACCGGGTGAGCCAGGCGCTGGCAGCACACCCTCTGCTCTTTCACCTGCTCTTGTAACTGTGCCTGCTTCTCCTGGGCACTAGCTCCAGCGGACTTGAAAAATGCCACCTGAGGGCAAGACGCGAGCATTCTTGTAGGGGCATACACGGAGCAAACGGGGCAGAGAGGTGGAGTGCAGGCCCTTCCCTTGGGGCCTCAGAGAGTACACGTTTGTCACAGGTGAAATGGTGTCTGACCACTGGCTCCCAGAAGGGGTGAGGGTCCAGAGAAATCAGAAGGCAGGGAAACGAAGAGCATAAAGGGGTCTTGGAGGGACCACAGAGAAAGGTGGCAAAATGGGTGCAGGGGGAGTCAGGCTCACCATGGCCTCCCTGCTCTCCAGGTCCTCTGGGACACTCGGCATGGGCCGAGGTGCCTCCTCCCCCTCACTGTCCAGATGTTCTCCTCCGTGTCCTGTGGGGGGTGGCCAGAGGGGTCTTCAGACAACCCAACAAGGGAGGTACTGTGGGCCCACCTCTACCTCCACCCTCACTGTGTAACCCTGAGCCAGCCCCTCCCCAGAGAGGAATGAGCTGTTGTTCTTTATTTTTACTTTTAAGAATCAAGATCTTGCTATTCCGCCCAGGCACACTCCCACTACTGGTCGATGTGGGAGTTCTGACCTGCTCCCTTTCTGACCTTGGCCAGTTCAGCCACCCTTAGGCAACTTGGTGACCCCCCGCTCACAGGAGGTCACCACACTGATGCCGAACTTAGTGCAGGCACCCGGTCGGCATAATGACCAGCTGTTCTAAAGGTCTCTTCCAACTCCTCAATCCTATGCTGCTAGCAGTCCCCCCTTCCTCCTGGGGCTCTCTCCTCTTCCTCTGAGCAGTCTCCCGTACCTTCCCCAGGGAGAGCCATGAGGCTCAGCTGGGCCGTTAGCTGCTGGTTCTGCTGGCTGGCCGCTTCCAGGTGCTCCTAAGGGGCCAGGACAGAGTGAGAAGGGATGGAGTTTGCCAGGTCGTCCCCCTCACAGCCCCATCCTTGGCAGCTCCCTCCCCTGGGTCTCCTGCAACTTTTGGCAGGCCATCTCGGCCACTGCTTTGCCCCAAACTTCCTGCTGCTGCAGCTGTTTCATTAGCTGGGTCTGTTGCAGGCACTGCCTGTACAGCGCCTCCTTCTCACAGGTCAGCTGCTGATAGGCGGCCACCTGCTGCTGATAGGTGGCCACGTACTGCTGCAGGTGACCCAGGTAATGGTCTGGCTGCTGCTGCAGACTCTGAGCCTCTTGGCTCTTCAGCTCCACCTGCAGGAAGACCCTGGGTGTGAGGGCATGTGGTGGCTGGCTTCCAGATTCTGGGCCCATTAACAGGGTAGCAACAGCACTGTGGGGCTCTGTCGCCTGCCCAGGCCCCTGTCCCCTTACTCCAGGCCTAAGTGACTGCCTCCCTTTCCTAGAACCCCATGCCTCCTTCCCCAGCCTCAAATCTCATACCCTCTTCTCATTTAATCCTCAGCACCTCTGTAAGGAAAATGCTAACTTCCCTTTGAAGTTAAAGAAACAGAGACTTAGAGATGCAAAGTACTTGAATGGTGACCAGTGGAACCGAGGCTGGAATCCAGTTTTAATCTAAGGAGACTTTTTGTTTTGTTTTCCGACAAGAGTGTCACTCTGTGGCCCAGGCTGGAGTGCAGTGGTGCAATCTCAGCTCACTGCAACCTCCACCTCCTGGGCTCAAGCGATTCTCCTGCCTCAGCCTCCAGAGTAGGTGGAATTACAGGCATGCGCCACAATGCCCTGCTAATTTTTATTTTTTATTTTTGTAATTTTAGTAGACA